>NC_000016.10:36669487-36969487 GCF_000001405.40 Homo sapiens
TGAATTCTCAGTAACTTCCTTGTGTTGTGTGTATTCAACTCACAGAGTTGAACGATCCTTTACACAGAGCAGATTTGAAACACTGTTTTTCTGGAATTTGCAAGTGGAGATTTCAGCCGCTTTGAGGTCAATGGTAGAAAAGGAAATATCTTCGTATAAAAACTAGACAGAATGATTCTCAGAAACTCCTTTGTGATGTGTGCGTTCAACTCACAGAGTTTAACCTTTCTTTTCACAGAGCAGTTAGGAAACACTCTGTTTGTGAAGCCTGCCAGTGGATATTCGGACCTCTTTGAGGCCTTCGTTGGAAACGGGATTTCTTCATATTATGCTAGACAGAAGATTTCTCAGTAACTTCTTTGTGTTGTGTGTATGCAACTCACAGAGTTCAACCTTCCTTTAGACAGAGCAGATTTGAAACACTCTTTTTGTGGAATTTGCAAGTGGAGATTTCAAGCGCTTCGATGCCAATGGTAGAAAAGGAAATATCTTCGTATAAAAACAAGACAAACTCGTTCCCAGACACTGCGTAGTGATGTGTGTGTTTAACTCACAGAGTTTAACCTTTCTTTTCATACAGCATTCTGGAAACCCTGTGTTTGTAAAGTCTGCAAGTGGATATTTGGACCTCTTAGATGCCTTCGTTGGAAACGGGATTTCTTCATATAATGCTAGAGGGAAGAATTCTTAGTAACTTCTTTGTGTTGTGTGTATTCAACTGACAGAGTTGAACCTTCCTTTAGACAGAGCAGATTTGAAAGTCTCTTTTTGTGGAATTTGCAAGTGGAGATTTCAAGCGCTTTGAGGCCAAAAGCAGAAAAGGAAATATTTTCCTATAAAAACTCGACAGAATCTTTCTCAGAAACTGCTCTGGGATGTGTGCGTTCAACTCACAGAGTTTAACTTTTCTTTTCATTCAGCAGTTTGGAAACACTCTGTTTGGAAAGTCTGCACGTGGATATTTTGACCTCTTTGAGGCCTTCGTTGGAAACGGGTTTTTTTCATGTAAGGCTAGACAGAAGAAATCTCAGTAACTTCCTTGTGTTGTGTGTATTCAACTGACAGAGTTGAACCTTCCTTTAGACAGAGCAGATTCGAAACACTCTTTTTCTGCAATTTGCAAGTGGAGACTTCAAGCGCTTTGAGGCCAAAGGCAGAAAAGGAAATATCTTCGTATAAAAACCCGACAGAATCATTCTCAGAAACTGCTCTGTGATGTGTGCGTTCAACTCACAGAGTTTAACTTTTCTTTTCATTCAGCAGTTTGGAAACACTCTGTTTGTAAAGTCTGCAAGTGGATATCTTGGCCTCTTAGAGGCCTTCGTTGGAAACGGGTTTTTTCATTTAAGGTTAGACAGAGGAATTCCCAGTAACTTCCTTGTGTTGTGTGCATTCAACTCACAGAGTTGAATGATTCTTTACACAGAGCAGATTTGAGACACTCTTTTGGTGGAATTTGTAAGTGGAGAATTCAGCCGCTTTGAGGTCAACGGTAGAAAAGGAAATATCTTCGTATAAAAACTAGACAGAATGATTCTCAGAAACTGTTTTGTGATGTGTGCTTTCAACTCACAGAGTTTAACCTTTCTTTTCAAAGAGCAGTTAGGAAACACTCTGTTTGTAAAGTCTGCAAGTGGATATTCAGACCTCTTTGAGGCCTTCGTTGGAAACGGGATTTCTTCATATTATGCTAGACAGATGAATTCTCAGTAACTTCCTTGTGTTGTGTGTATTCAACTCACAGAGTTGAACGATCCTTTACACAGAGCAGATTTGAAACACTGTTTTTCTGGAATTTGCAAGTGGAGATTTCAGCCGCTTTGAGGTCAATGGTAGAAAAGGAAATATCTTCGTATAAAAACTAGACAGAATGATTCTCAGAAACTCCTTTGTGATGTGTGCGTTCAACTCACAGAGTTTAACCTTTCTTTTCACAGAGCAGTTAGGAAACACTCTGTTTGTGAAGCCTGCCAGTGGATATTCGGACCTCTTTGAGGCCTTCGTTGGAAACGGGATTTCTTCATATTATGCTAGACAGAAGATTTCTCAGTAACTTCTTTGTGTTGTGTGTATGCAACTCACAGAGTTCAACCTTCCTTTAGACAGAGCAGATTTGAAACACTCTTTTTGTGGAATTTGCAAGTGGAAATTTCAAGCGCATCGATGCCAATGGTAGAAAAGGAAATATCTTCGTATAAAAACAAGACAAACTCGTTCCCAGACACTGCGTAGTGATGTGTGTGTTTAACTCACAGAGTTTAACCTTTCTTTTCATACAGCATTCTGGAAACCCTCTGTTTGTAAAGTCTGCAAGTGGATATTTGGACCTCTTAGATGCCTTCGTTGGAAACGGGATTTCTTCATATAATGCTAGAGGGAAGAATTCTTAGTAACTTCTTTGTGTTGTGTGTATTCAACTGACAGAGTTGAACCTTCCTTTAGACAGAGCAGATTTGAAAGTCTCTTTTTGTGGAATTTGCAAGTGGAGATTTCAAGCGCTTTGAGGGCAAAAGCAGAAAAGGAAATACTTTCCTATAAAAACTAGACAGAATCTTTCTCAGAAACTGCTCTGGGATGTGTGCGTTCAACTCACAGAGTTTAACTTTTCTTTCCATTCAGCAGTTTGGAAACACTCTGTTTGGAAAGTCTGCACGTGGATATTTTGACCTCTTTGAGGCCTTCGTTAGAAACGGGTTTTTTTCATGTAAGGCTAGACAGAAGAAATCTCAGTAACTTCCTTGTGTTGTGTGTATTCAACTGACAGAGTTGAACCTTCCTTTAGACAGAGCAGATTCGAAACACTCTTTTTCTGCAATTTGCAAGTGGAGACTTCAAGCGCTTTGAGGCCAAAGGCAGAAAAGGAAATATCTTCGTATAAAAACCCGACAGAATCATTCTCAGAAACTGCTCTGTGACGTGTGCGTTCAACTCACAGAGTTTAACTTTTCTTTTCATTCAGCAGTTTGGAAACACTCTGTTTGTAAAGTCTGCAAGTGGATATCTTGGCCTCTTAGAGGCCTTCGTTGGAAACGGGTTTTTTCATGTAAGGTTAGACAGAGGAATTCCCAGTAACTTCCTTGTGTTGTGTGCACTCAACTCACAGAGTTGAATGATTCTTTACACAGAGCAGATTTGAGACACTCTTTTGGTGGAATTTGTAAGTGGAGAATTCAGCCGCTTTGAGGTCAACGGTAGAAAAGGAAATATCTTCGTATAAAAACTAGACAGAATGATTCTCAGAAACTGTTTTGTGATGTGTGCGTTCAACTCACAGAGTTTAACCTTTCTTTTCAAAGAGCAGTTAGGAAACACTCTGTTTGTAAAGTCTGCAAGTGGATATTCAGACCTCTTTGAGGCCTTCGTTGGAAACGGGATTTCTTCATATTATGCTAGACAGATGAATTCTCAGTAACTTCCTTGTGTTGTGTGTATTCAACTCACAGAGTTGAACGATCCTTTACACAGAGCAGATTTGAAACACTGTTTTTCTGGAATTTGCAAGTGGAGATTTCAGCCGCTTTGAGGTCAATGGTAGAAAAGGAAATATCTTCGTATAAAAACTAGACAGAATGATTCTCAGAAACTCCTTTGTGATGTGTGCGTTCAACTCACAGAGTTTAACCTTTCTTTTCACAGAGCAGTTAGGAAACACTCTGTTTGTGAAGCCTGCCAGTGGATATACGGACCTCTTTGAGGCCTTCGTTGGAAACGGGATTTCTTCATATTATGCTAGACAGAAGATTTCTCAGTAACTTCTTTGTGTTGTGTGTATGCAACTCACAGAGTTCAACCTTCCTTTAGACAGAGCAGATTTGAAACACTCTTTTTGTGGAATTTGCAAGTGGAGATTTCAAGCGCTTTGAGGCCAAAAGCAGAAAAGGAAATATTTTCCTATAAATACTAGACAGAATCTTTCTCAGAAACTGCTCTGTGATGTGTGCGTTCAACTCACAGAGTTTAACTTTTCTTTTCATTCAGCAGTTTGGAAACACTCTGTTTGTAAAGTCTGCAAGTGGATATCTTGGCCTCTTAGAGGCCTTCGTTGGAAACGGGTTTTTTCATGTAAGGATAGACAGAGGAATTCCCAGTAACTTCCTTGTGTTGTGTGCATTCAACTCACAGAGTTGAATGATTCTTTACACAGAGCAGATTTGAGACACTCTTTTGGTGGAATTTGTAAGTGGAGAATTCAGCCGCTTTGAGGTCAACGGTAGAAAAGGAAATATCTTCGTATAAAAACTAGACAGAATGATTCTCAGAAAGTGTTTTGTGATGTGTGCATTCAACTCACAGAGTTTAACCTTTCTTTTCAAAGAGCAGTTAGGAAACACTCTGTTTGTAAAGTCTGCAAGTGGATATTCAGACCTCTTTGAGGCCTTCGTTGGAAACGGGATTTCTTCATATTATGCTAGACAGATGAATTCTCAGTAACTTCCTTGTGTTGTGTGTATTCAACTCACAGAGTTGAACGATCCTTTACAGAGAGCAGATTTGAAACACTGTTTTTCTGGAATTTGCAAGTGGAGATTTCAGCTGCTTTGAGGTCAATGGTAGAAAAGGAAATATCTTCGTATAAAAACTAGACAGAATGATTCTCAGAAACTCCTTTGTGATGTGTGCGTTCAACTCACAGAGTTTAACCTTTCTTTTCACAGAGCAGTTAGGAAACACTCTGTTTGTGAAGCCTGCCAGTGGATATTCGGACCTCTTTGAGGCCTTCGTTGGAAACGGGATTTCTTCATATTATGCTAGACAGAAGATTTCTCAGTAACTTCTTTGTGTTGTGTGTATGCAACTCACAGAGTTCAACCTTCCTTTAGACAGAGCAGATTTGAAACACTCTTTTTGTGGAATTTGCAAGTGGAGATTTCAAGCGCTTCGATGCCAATGGTAGAAAAGGAAATATCTTCGTATAAAAACAAGACAAACTCGTTCCCAGACACTGCGTAGTGATGTGTGTGTTTAACTCACAGAGTTTCACCTTTCTTTTCATACAGCATTCTGGAAACCCTCTGTTTGTAAAGTCTGCAAGTGGATATTTGGACCTCTTAGATGCCTTCGTTGGAAACGGGATTTCTTCATATAATGCTAGAGGGAAGAATTCTTAGTAACTTCTTTGTGTTGTGTGTATTCAACTGACAGAGTTGAACCTTCCTTTAGACAGAGCAGATTTGAAAGTCTCTTTTTGTGGAATTTGCAAGTGGAGATTTCAAGCGCTTTGAGGCCAAAAGCAGAAAAGGAAATATTTTCCTATAAAAACTAGACAGAATCTTTCTCAGAAACTGCTCTGGGATGTGTGCGTTCAACTCACAGAGTTTAACTTTTCTTTTCATTCAGCAGTTTGGAAACACTCTGTTTGGAAAGTCTGCACGTGGATATTTTGACCTCTTTGAGGCCTTCGTTGGAAACGGGTTTTTTTCATGTAAGGCTAGACAGAAGAAATCTCAGTAACTTCCTTGTGTTGTGTGTATTCAACTGACAGAGTTGAACCTTCCTTTAGACAGAGCAGATTCGAAACACTCTTTTTCTGCAATTTGCAAGTGGAGACTTCAAGCGCTTTGAGGCCAAAGGCAGAAAAGGAAATATCTTCGTATAAAAACCCGACAGAATCATTCTCAGAAACTGCTCTGTGATGTGTGAGTTCAACTCACAGAGTTTAACTTTTCTTTTCATTCAGCAGTTTGGAAACACTCTGTTTGTAAAGTCTGCAAGTGGATATCTTGGCCTCTTAGAGGCCTTCGTTGGAAACGGGTTTTTTCATGTAAGGTTAGACAGAGGAATTCCCAGTAACTTCCTTGTGTTGTGTGCATTCAACTCACAGAGTTGAATGATTCTTTACACAGAGCAGATTTGAGACACTCTTTTGGTGGAATTTGTAAGTGGAGAATTCAGCCGCTTTGAGGTCAACGGTAGAAAAGGAAATATCTTCGTATAAAAACTAGACAGAATGATTCTCAGAAACTGTTTTGTGATGTGTGCGTTCAACTCACAGAGTTTAACCTTTCTTTTCAAAGAGCAGTTAGGAAACACTCTGTTTGTAAAGTCTGCAAGTGGATATTCAGACCTCTTTGAGGCCTTCGTTGGAAACGGGATTTCTTCATATTATGCTAGACAGATGAATTCTCAGTAACTTCCTTGTGTTGTGTGTATTCAACTCACAGAGTTGAACGATCCTTTACACAGAGCAGATTTGAAACACTGTTTTTCTGGAATTTGCAAGTGGAGATTTCAGCCGCTTTGAGGTCAATGGTAGAAAAGGAAATATCTTCGTATAAAAACTAGACAGAATGATTCTCAGAAACTCCTTTGTGATGTGTGCGTTCAACTCACAGAGTTTAACCTTTCTTTTCACAGAGCAGTTAGGAAACACTCTGTTTGTGAAGCCTGCCAGTGGATAATCGGACCTCTTTGAGGCCTTCGTTGGAAACGGGATTTCTTCATATTATGCTAGACAGAAGATTTCTCAGTAACTTCTTTGTGTTGTGTGTATGCAACTTACAGAGTTCAACCTTCCTTTAGAGAGAGCATATTTGAAACACTCTTTTTGTGGAATTTGCAAGTGGAGATTTCAAGCGCTTCGATGCAAATGGTAGAAAAGGAAATATCTTCGTATAAAAACAAGACAAACTCGTTCCCAGACACTGCGTAGTGATGTGTGTGTTTAACTCACAGAGTTTAACCTTTCTTTTCATACAGCATTCTGGAAACCCTGTGTTTGTAAAGTCTGCAAGTGGATATTTGGACCTTTTAGATGCCTTCGTTGGAAACGGGATTTCTTCATATAATGCTAGAGGGAAGAATTCTTAGTAACTTCTTTGTGTTGTGTGTATTCAACTGACAGAGTTGAACCTTCCTTTAGACAGAGCAGATTTGAAAGTCTCTTTTTGTGGAATTTGCAAGTGGAGATTTCAAGCGCTTTGAGGCCAAAAGCAGAAAAGGAAATATTTTCCTATAAAAACTAGACAGAATCTTTCTCAGAAACTGCTCTGGGTTGTGTGTGTTCAACTCACAGAGTTTAACTTTTCTTTTCATTCAGCAGTTTGGAAACACTCTGTTTGGAAAGTCTGCACGTGGATATTTTGACCTCTTTGAGGCCTTCGTTGGAAACGGGTTTTTTTCATGTAAGGCTAGACAGAAGAAATCTCAGTAACTTCCTTGTGTTGTGTGTATTCAACTGACAGAGTTGAACCTTCCTTTAGACAGAGCAGATTCGAAACACTCTTTTTCTGCAATTTGCAAATGGAGACTTCAAGCGCTTTGAGGCCAAAGGCAGAAAAGGAAATATCTTCGTATAAAAACCCGACAGAATCATTCTCAGAAACTGCTCTGTGATGTGTGCGTTCAACTCACAGAGTTTAACTTTTCTTTTCATTCAGCAGTTTGGAAACAGTCTGTTTGTAAAGTCTGCAAGTGGATATCTTGGCCTCTTAGAGGCCTTCGTTGGAAACGGGTTTTTTCATGTAAGGTTAGACAGAGGAATTCCCAGTAACTTCCTTGTGTTGTGTGCATTCAACTCACAGAGTTGAATGATTCTTTACACAGAGCAGATTTGAGACACTCTTTTGGTGGAATTTGTTAGTGGAGAATTCAGCCGCTTTGAGGTCAACGGTAGAAAAGGAAATATCTTCGTATAAAAACTAGACAGAATGATTCTCAGAAACTGTTTTGTGATGTGTGCGTTCAACTCACAGAGTTTAACCTTTCTTTTCAAAGAGCAGTTAGGAAACACTCTGTTTGTAAAGTCTGCAAGTGGATATTCAGACCTCTTTGAGTCCTTCGTTGGAAACGGGATTTCTTCATATTATGCTAGACAGATGAATTCTCAGTAACTTCCTTGTGTTGTGTGTATTCAACTCACAGAGTTAAACGATCCTTTACACAGAGCAGATTTGAAACACTGTTTTTCTGGAATTTGCAAGTGGAGATTTCAGCCGCTTTGAGGTCAATGGTAGAAAAGGAAATATCTTCGTATAAAAACTAGACAGAATGATTCTCAGAAACTCCTTTGTGATGTGTGCGTTCAACTCACAGAGTTTAACCTTTCTTTTCACAGAGCAGTTAGGAAACACTCTGTTTGTGAAGCCTGCCAGTGGATATTCGGACCTCTTTGAGGCCTTCGTTGGAAACGGGATTTCTTCATATTATGCTAGACAGAAGATTTCTCAGTAACTTCTTTGTGTTGTGTGTATGCAACTCACAGAGTTCAACCTTCCTTTAGACAGAGCAGATTTGAAACACTCTTTTTGTGGAATTTGCAAGTGGAGATTTCAAGCGCTTTGAGGCCAAAAGGCAGAAAAGGAAATATTTTCCTATAAAAACTAGACAGAATCTTTCTCAGAAACTGCTCTGTGATGTGTGCGTTCAACTCACAGAGTTTAACTTTTCTTTTCATTCAGCAGTTTGGAAACACTCTGTTTGTAAAGTCTGCAAGTGGATATCTTGGCCTCTTAGAGGCCTTCGTTGGAAACGGGTTTTTTCATGTAAGGATAGACAGAGGAATTCCCAGTAACTTCCTTGTGTTGTGTGCATTCAACTCACAGAGTTGAATGATTCTTTACACAGAGCAGATTTGAGACACTCTTTTGGTGGAATTTGTAAGTGGAGAATTCAGCCGCTTTGAGGTCAACGGTAGAAAAGGAAATATCTTCGTATAAAAACTAGACAGAATGATTCTCAGAAACTGTTTTGTGATGTGTGCGTTCAACTCACAGAGTTTAACCTTTCTTTTCAGAGAGCAGTTAGGAAACACTCTGTTTGTGAAGCCTGCCAGTGGATATTCGGACCTCTTTGAGGCCTTCGTTGGAAACGGGATTTCTTCATATTATGCTAGACAGAAGATTTCTCAGTAACTTCTTTGTGTTGTGTGTATGCAACTCACAGAGTTCAACCTTCCTTTAGACAGAGCAGATTTGAAACACTCTTTTTGTGGAATTTGCAAGTGGAGATTTCAAGCGCTTCGATGCCAATGGTAGAAAAGGAAATATCTTCGTATAAAAACAAGACAAACTCGTTCCCAGACACTGCGTAGTGATGTGTGTGTTTAACTCACAGAGTTTAACCTTTCTTTTCATACAGCATTCTGGGAACCCTCTGTTTGTAAAGTCTGCAAGTGGATATTTGGACCTCTTAGATGCCTTCGTTGGAAACGGGATTTCTTCATATAATGCTAGAGGGAAGAATTCTTAGTAACTTCTTTGTGTTGTGTGTATTCAACTGACAGAGTTGAACCTTCCTTTAGACAGAGCAGATTTGAAAGTCTCTTTTTGTGGAATTTGCAAGTGGAGATTTCAAGCGCTTTGAGGCCAAAAGCAGAAAAGGAAATATTTTCCTATAAAAACTAGACAGAATCATTCTCAGAAACTGCTCTGTGATGTGTGTGTTCAATTCACAGAGTTTAACTTTCTTTTCATTCAGCAGTTTGGAAACACTCTGTTTGGAAAGTCTGCACGTGGATATTTTGACCTCTTTGAGGCCTTCGTTGGAAACGGGTTTTTTTCATGTAAGGCTAGACAGAAGAAATCTCAGTAACTTCCTTGTGTTGTGTGTATTCAACTGACAGAGTTGAACCTTCCTTTAGACAGAGCAGATTCGAAACGCTCTTTTTCTGCAATTTGCAAGTGGAGACTTCAAGCGCTTTGAGGCCAAAGGCAGAAAAGGAAATATCTTCGTATAAAAACCCGACAGAATCATTCTCAGAAACTGCTCTGTGATGTGTGCGTTCAACTCACAGAGTTTAACTTTTCTTTTCATTCAGCAGTTTGGAAACACTCTGTTTGTAAAGTCTGCAAGTGGATATCTTGGCCTCTTAGAGGCCTTCGTTGGAAACGGGTTTTTTCATGTAAGGTTAGACAGAGGAATTCCCAGTAACTTCCTTGTGTTGTGTGCATTCAACTCACAGAGTTGAATGATTCTTTACACAGAGCAGATTTGAGACACTCTTTTGGTGGAATTTGTAAGTGGAGAATTCAGCCGCTTTGAGGTCAACGGTAGAAAAGGAAATATCTTCGTATAAAAACTAGAAAGAATGATTCTCAGAAACTGTTTTGTGATGTGTGCGTTCAACTCACAGAGTTTAACCTTTCTTTTCAAAGAGCAGTTAGGAAACACTCTGTTTGTAAAGTCTGCAAGTGGATATTCAGACCTCTTTGAGGCCTTCGTTGGAAACGGGATTTCTTCATATTATGCTAGACAGATGAATTCTCAGTAACTTCCTTGTGTTGTGTGTATTCAACTCACAGAGTTGAACGATCCTTTACACAGAGCAGATTTGAAACACTGTTTTTCTGGAATTTGCAAGTGGAGATTTCAGCCGCTTTGAGGTCAATGGTAGAAAAGGAAATATCTTCGTATAAAAACTAGACAGAATGATTCTCAGAAACTCCTTTGTGATGTGTGCGTTCAACTCACAGAGTTTAACCTTTCTTTTCACAGAGCAGTTAGGAAACACTCTGTTTGTGAAGCCTGCCAGTGGATAATCGGACCTCTTTGAGGCCTTCGTTGGAAACGGGATTTCTTCATATTATGCTAGACAGAAGATTTCTCAGTAACTTCTTTGGGTTGTGTGTATGCAACTCACAGAGTTCAACCTTCCTTTAGACAGAGCAGATTTGAAACACTCTTTTTGTGGAATTTGCAAGTGGAGATTTCAAGCGCTTCGATGCCAATGGTAGAAAAGGAAATATCTTCGTATAAAAACAAGACAAACTCGTTCCCAGACACTGCGTAGTGATGTGTGTGTTTAACTCACAGAGTTTAACCTTTCTTTTCATACAGCATTCTGGAAACCCTGTGTTTGTAAAGTCTGCAAGTGGATATTTGGACCTCTTAGATGCCTTCGTTGGAAACGGGATTTCTTCATATAATGCTAGAGGGAAGAATTCTCAGTAACTTCTTTGTGTTGTGTGTATTCAACTGACAGAGTTGAACCTTCCTTTAGACAGAGCAGATTTGAAAGTCTCTTTTTGTCGAATTTGCAAGTGGAGATTTCAAGCGCTTTTAGGCCAAAAGCAGAAAAGGAAATATTTTCCTATAAAAACTAGACAGAATCTTTCTCAGAAACTGCTCTGGGATGTGTGCGTTCAACTCACAGAGTTTAACTTTTCTTTTCATTCAGCAGTTTGGAAACACTCTGTTTGGAAAGTCTGCACGTGGATATTTTGACCTCTTTGAGGCCTTCGTTGGAAACGGGTTTTTTTCATGTAAGGCTAGACAGAAGAAATCTCAGTAACTTCCTTGTGTTGTGTGTATTCAACTGACAGAGTTGAACCTTCCTTTAGACAGAGCAGATTCGAAACACTCTTTTTCTGCAATTTGCAAGTGGAGACTTCAAGCGCTTTGAGGCCAAAGGCAGAAAAGGAAATATCTTCGTATAAAAACCCGACAGAATCATTCTCAGAAACTGCTCTGTGATGTGTGCGTTCAACTCACAGAGTTTAACTTTTCTTTTCATTCAGCAGTTTGGAAACACTCTGTTTGTAAAGTCTGCAAGTGGATATCTTGGCCTCTTAGAGGCCTTCGTTGGAAACGGGTTTTTTCATGTAAGGATAGACAGAGGAATTCCCAGTAACTTCCTTGTGTTGTGTGCATTCAACTCACAGAGTTGAATGATTCTTTACACAGAGCAGATTTGAGACACTCTTTTGGTGGAATTTGTAAGTGGAGAATTCAGCCGCTTTGAGGTCAACGGTAGAAAAGGAAATATCTTCGTATAAAAACTAGACAGAATGATTCTCAGAAACTGTTTTGTGATGTGTGCGTTCAACTCACAGAGTTTAACCTTTCTTTTCAAAGAGCAGTTAGGAAACACTCTGTTTGTAAAGTCTGCAAGTGGATATTCAGACCTCTTTGAGGCCTTCGTTGGAAACGGGATTTCTTCATATTATGCTAGACAGATGAATTCTCAGTAACTTCCTTGTGTTGTGTGTATTCAACTCACAGAGTTGAACGATCCTTTTCACAGAGCAGATTTGAAACACTGTTTTTCTGGAATTTGCAAGTGGAGATTTCAGCCGCTTTGAGGTCAATGGTAGAAAAGGAAATATCTTCGTATAAAAACTAGACAGAATGATTCTCAGAAACTCCTTTGTGATGTGTGCGTTCAACTCACAGAGTTTAACCTTTCTTTTCACAGAGCAGTTAGGAAACACTCTGTTTGTGAAGCCTGCCAGTGGATATTCGGACCTCTTTGAGGCCTTCGTTGGAAACGGGATTTCTTCATATTATGCTAGACAGAAGATTTCTCAGTAACTTCTTTGTGTTGTGTGTATGCAACTCACAGAGTTCAACCTTCCTTTAGACAGAGCAGATTTGAAACACTCTTTTTGTGGAATTTGCAAGTGGAGATTTCAAGCGCTTCGATGCCAATGGTAGAAAAGGAAATATCTTCGTATAAAAACAAGACAAACTCGTTCCCAGACACTGCGTAGTGATGTGTGTGTTTAACTCACAGAGTTTAACCTTTCTTTTCATACAGCATTCTGGAAACCCTGTGTTTGTAAAGTCTGCAAGTGGATATTTGGACCTCTTAGATGCCTTCGTTGGAAACGGGATTTCTTCATATAATGCTAGAGGGAAGAATTCTTAGTAACTTCTTTGTGTTGTGTGTATTCAACTGACAGAGTTGAACCTTCCTTTAGACAGAGCAGATTTGAAAGTCTCTTTTTGTGGAATTTGCAAGTGGAGATTTCAAGCGCTTTGAGGCCAAAAGCAGAAAAGGAAATATTTTCCTATAAAAACTCGACAGAATCTTTCTCAGAAACTGCTCTGGGATGTGTGCGTTCAACTCACAGAGTTTAACTTTTCTTTTCATTCAGCAGTTTGGAAACACTCTGTTTGGAAAGTCTGCACGTGGATATTTTGACCTCTTTGAGGCCTTCGTTGGAAACGGGTTTTTTTCATGTAAGGCTAGACAGAAGAAATCTCAGTAACTTCCTTGTGTTGTGTGTATTCAACTGACAGAGTTGAACCTTCCTTTAGACAGAGCAGATTCGAAACACTCTTTTTCTGCAATTTGCAAGTGGAGACTTCAAGCGCTTTGAGGCCAAAGGCAGAAAAGGAAATATCTTCGTATAAAAACCCGACAGAATCATTCTCAGAAACTGCTCTGTGATGTGTGCGTTCAACTCACAGAGTTTAACTTTTCTTTTCATTCAGCAGTTTGTAAACACTCTGTTTGTAAAGTCTGCAAGTGGATATCTTGGCCTCTTAGAGGCCTTCGTTGGAAACGGGTTTTTTCATGTAAGGTTAGACAGAGGAATTCCCAGTAACTTCCTTGTGTTGTGTGCATTCAACTCACAGAGTTGAATGATTCTTTACACAGAGCAGATTTGAGACACTCTTTTGGTGGAATTTGTAAGTGGAGAATTCAGCCGCTTTGAGGTCAACGGTAGAAAAGGAAATATCTTCGTATAAAAACTAGACAGAATGATTCTCAGAAACTGTTTTGTGATGTGTGCGTTCAACTCACAGAGTTTAACCTTTCTTTTCAAAGAGCAGTTAGGAAACACTCTGTTTGTAAAGTCTGCAAGTGGATATTCAGACCTCTTTGAGGCCTTCGTTGGAAACGGGATTTCTTCATATTATGCTAGACAGATGAATTCTCAGTAACTTCCTTGTGTTGTGTGTATTCAACTCACAGAGTTAAACGATCCTTTACACAGAGCAGATTTGAAACACTGTTTTTCTGGAATTTGCAAGTGGAGATTTCAGCCGCTTTGAGGTCAATGGTAGAAAAGGAAATATCTTCGTATAAAAACTAGACAGAATGATTCTCAGAAACTCCTTTGTGATGTGTGCGTTCAACTCACAGAGTTTAACCTTTCTTTTCATACAGCATTCTGGAAACCCTGTGTTTGTAAAGTCTGCAAGTGGATATTTGGACCTCTTAGATGCCTTCGTTGGAAACGGGATTTCTTCATATAATGCTAGAGGGAAGAATTCTTAGTAACTTCTTTGTGTTGTGTGTATTCAACTGACAGAGTTGAACCTTCCTTTAGACAGAGCAGATTTGAAAGTCTCTTTTTGTGGAATTTGCAAGTGGAGATTTCAAGCGCTTTGAGGCCAAAAGCAGAAAAGGAAATATTTTCCTATAAAAACTCGACAGAATCTTTCTCAGAAACTGCTCTGGGATGTGTGCGTTCAACTCACAGAGTTTAACTTTTCTTTTCATTCAGCAGTTTGGAAACACTCTGATTGGAAAGTCTGCACGTGGATATTTTGACCTCTTTGAGGCCTTCGTTGGAAACGGGTTTTTTTCATGTAAGGCTAGACAGAAGAAATCTCAGTAACTTCCTTGTGTTGTGTGTATTCAACTGACAGAGTTGAACCTTCCTTTAGACAGAGCAGATTCGAAACACTCTTTTTCTGCAATTTGCAAGTGGAGACTTCAAGCGCTTTGAGGCCAAAGGCAGAAAAGGAAATATCTTCGTATAAAAACCCGACAGAATCATTCTCAGAAACTGCTCTGTGATGTGTGCGTTCAACTCACAGAGTTTAACTTTTCTTTTCATTCAGCAGTTTGGAAACACTCTGTTTGTAAAGTCTGCAAGTGGATATCTTGGCCTCTTAGAGGCCTTCGTTGGAAACGGGTTTTTTCATGTAAGGATAGACAGAGGAATTCCCAGTAACTTCCCTTGTGTTGTGTGCATTCAACTCACAGAGTTGAATGATTCTTTACACAGAGCAGATTTGAGACACTCTTTTGGTGGAATTTGTTAGTGGAGAATTCAGCCGCTTTGAGGTCAACGGTAGAAAAGGAAATATCTTCGTATAAAAACTAGACAGAATGATTCTCAGAAACTGTTTTGTGATGTGTGCGTTCAACTCACAGAGTTTAACCTTTCTTTTCAAAGAGCAGTTAGGAAACACTCTGTTTGTAAAGTCTGCAAGTGGATATTCAGACCTCTTTGAGGCCTTCGTTGGAAACGGGATTTCTTCATATTATGCTAGACAGATGAATTCTCAGTAACTTCCTTGTGTTGTGTGTATTCAACTCACAGAGTTGAACGATCCTTTACACAGAGCAGATTTGAAACACTGTTTTTCTGGAATTTGCAAGTGGAGATTTCAGCTGCTTTGAGGTCAATGGTAGAAAAGGAAATATCTTCGTATAAAAACTAGACAGAATGATTCTCAGAAACTCCTTTGTGATGTGTGCGTTCAACTCACAGAGTTTAACCTTTCTTTTCACAGAGCAGTTAGGAAACACTCTGTTTGTGAAGCCTGCCAGTGGATATTCGGACCTCTTTGAGGCCTTCGTTGGAAACGGGATTTCTTCATATTATGCTAGACAGAAGATTTCTCAGTAACTTCTTTGTGTTGTGTGTATGCAACTCACAGAGTTCAACCTTCCTTTAGACAGAGCAGATTTGAAACACTCTTTTTGTGGAATTTGCAAGTGGAGATTTCAAGCGCTTCGATGCCAATGGTAGAAAAGGAAATATCTTCGTATAAAAACAAGACAAACTCGTTCCCAGACACTGCGTAGTGATGTGTGTGTTTAACTCACAGAGTTTCACCTTTCTTTTCATACAGCATTCTGGAAACCCTGTGTTTGTAAAGTCTGCAAGTGGATATTTGGACCTCTTAGATGCCTTCGTTGGAAACGGGATTTCTTCATATAATGCTAGAGGGAAGAATTCTTAGTAACTTCTTTGTGTTGTGTGTATTCAACTGACAGAGTTGAACCTTCCTTTAGACAGAGCAGATTTGAAAGTCTCTTTTTGTGGAATTTGCAAGTGGAGATTTCAAGCACTTTGAGGCCAAAAGCAGAAAAGGAAATATTTTCCTATAAAAACTCGACAGAATCTTTCTCAGAAACTGCTCTGGGATGTGTGCGTTCAACTCACAGAGTTTAACTTTTCTTTCCATTCAGCAGTTTGGAAACACTCTGTTTGGAAAGTCTGCACGTGGATATTTTGACCTCTTTGAGGCCTTCGTTGGAAACGGGTTTTTTTCATGTAAGGCTAGACAGAAGAAATCTCAGTAACTTCCTTGTGTTGTGTGTATTCAACTGACAGAGTTGAACCTTCCTTTAGACAGAGCAGATTCGAAACACTCTTTTTCTGCAATTTGCAAGTGGAGACTTCAAGCGCTTTGAGGCCAAAGGCAGAAAAGGAAATATTTTCGTATAAAAACCCGACAGAATCATTCTCAGAAACTGCTCTGTGATGTGTGCGTTCAACTCACAGAGTTTAACTTTTCTTTTCATTCAGCAGTTTGGAAACACTCTGTTTGTAAAGTCTGCAAGTGGATATCTTGGCCTCTTAGAGGCCTTCGTTGGAAACGGGTTTTTTCATGTAAGGTTAGACAGAGGAATTCCCAGTAACTTCCTTGTGTTGTGTGCATTCAACTCACAGAGTTGAATGATTCTTTACACAGAGCAGATTTGAGGCACTCTTTTGGTGGAATTTGTAAGTGGAGAATTCAGCCGCTTTGAGGTCAACGGTAGAAAAGGAAATATCTTCGTATAAAAACTAGAAAGAATGATTCTCAGAAACTGTTTTGTGATGTGTGCGTTCAACTCACAGAGTTTAACCTTTCTTTTCAAAGAGCAGTTAGGAAACACTCTGTTTGTAAAGTCTGCAAGTGGATATTCAGACCTCTTTGAGGCCTTCGTTGGAAACGGGATTTCTTCATATTATGCTAGACAGATGAATTCTCAGTAACTTCCTTGTGTTGTGTGTATTCAACTCACAGAGTTGAACGATCCTTTACACAGAGCAGATTTGAAACACTGTTTTTCTGGAATTTGCAAGTGGAGATTTCAGCCGCTTTGAGGTCAATGGTAGAAAAGGAAATATCTTCGTATAAAAACTAGACAGAATGATTCTCAGAAACTCCTTTGTGATGTGTGCGTTCAACTCACAGAGTTTAACCTTTCTTTTCACAGAGCAGTTAGGAAACACTCTGTTTGTGAAGCCTGCCAGTGGATATTCGGACCTCTTTGAGGCCTTCGTTGGAAACGGGATTTCTTCATATTATGCTAGACAGAAGATTTCTCAGTAACTTCTTTGGGTTGTGTGTATGCAACTCACAGAGTTCAACCTTCCTTTAGACAGAGCAGATTTGAAACACTCTTTTTGTGGAATTTGCAAGTGGAGATTTCAAACGCTTCGATGCCAATGGTAGAAAAGGAAATATCTTCGTATAAAAACAAGACAAACTCGTTCCCAGACACTGCGTAGTGATGTGTGTGTTTAACTCACAGAGTTTCACCTTTCTTTTCATACAGCATTCTGGAAACCCTGTGTTTGTAAAGTCTGCAAGTGGATATTTGGACCTCTTAGATGCCTTCGTTGGAAACGGGATTTCTTCATATAATGCTAGAGGGAAGAATTCTTAGTAACTTCTTTGTGTTGTGTGTATTCAACTGACAGAGTTGAACCTTCCTTTAGACAGAGCAGATTTGAAAGTCTCTTTTTGTGGAATTTGCAAGTGGAGATTTCAAGCGCTTTGAGGCCAAAAGCAGAAAAGGAAATATTTTCCTATAAAAACTCGACAGAATCTTTCTCAGAAACTGCTCTGGGATGTGTGCGTTCAACTCACAGAGTTTAACTTTTCTTTTCATTCAGCAGTTTGGAAACACTCTGTTTGGAAAGTCTGCACGTGGATATTTTGACCTCTTTGAGGCCTTCGTTGGAAACGGGTTTTTTTCATGTAAGGCTAGACAGAAGAAATCTCAGTAACTTCCTTGTGTTGTGTGTATTCAACTGACAGAGTTGAACCTTCCTTTAGACAGAGCAGATTCGAAACACTCTTTTTCTGCAATTTGCAAGTGGAGACTTCAAGCGCTTTGAGGCCAAAGGCAGAAAAGGAAATATCTTCGTATAAAAACCCGACAGAATCATTCTCAGAAACTGCTCTGTGATGTGTGCGTTCAACTCACAGAGTTTAACTTTTCTTTTCATTCAGCAGTTTGGAAACACTCTGTTTGTAAAGTCTGCAAGTGGATATCTTGGCCTCTTAGAGGCCTTCGTTGGAAACGGGTTTTTTCATGTAAGGATAGACAGAGGAATTCCCAGTAACTTCCTTGTGTTGTGTGCATTCAACTCACAGAGTTGAATGATTCTTTACACAGAGCAGATTTGAGACACTCTTTTGGTGGAATTTGTAAGTGGAGAATTCAGCCGCTTTGAGGTCAACGGTAGAAAAGGAAATATCTTCGTATAAAAACTAGACAGAATGATTCTCAGAAACTGTTTTGTGATGTGTGCGTTCAACTCACAGAGTTTAACCTTTCTTTTCAAAGAGCAGTTAGGAAACACTCTGTTTGTAAAGTCTGCAAGTGGATATTCAGACCTCTTTGAGGCCTTCGTTGGAAACGGGATTTCTTCATATTATGCTAGACAGATGAATTCTCAGTAACTTCCTTGGTTGTGTGTATTCAACTCACAGAGTTGAACGATCCTTTACACAGAGCAGATTTGAAACACTGTTTTTCTGGAATTTGCAAGTGGAGATTTCAGCTGCTTTGAGGTCAATGGTAGAAAAGGAAATATCTTCGTATAAAAACTAGACAGAATGATTCTCAGAAACTCCTTTGTGATGTGTGCGTTCAACTCACAGAGTTTAACCTTTCTTTTCACAGAGCAGTTAGGAAACACTCTGTTTGTGAAGCCTGCCAGTGGATATTCGGACCTCTTTGAGGCCTTCGTTGGAAACGGGATTTCTTCATATTATGCTAGACAGAAGATTTCTCAGTAACTTCTTTGTGTTGTGTGTATGCAACTCACAGAGTTCAACCTTCCTTTAGACAGAGCAGATTTGAAACACTCTTTTTGTGGAATTTGCAAGTGGAGATTTCAAGCGCTTCGATGCCAATGGTAGAAAAGGAAATATCTTCGTATAAAAACAAGACAAACTCGTTCCCAGACACTGCGTAGTGATGTGTGTGTTTAACTCACAGAGTTTCACCTTTCTTTTCATACAGCATTCTGGAAACCCTCTGTTTGTAAAGTCTGCAAGTGGATATTTGGACCTCTCAGATGCCTTCGTTGGAAACGGGATTTCTTCATATAATGCTAGAGGGAAGAATTCTTAGTAACTTCTTTGTGTTGTGTGTATTCAACTGACAGAGTTGAACCTCCCTTTAGACAGAGCAGATTTGAAAGTCTCTTTTTGTGGAATTTGCAAGTGGAGATTTCAAGCGCTTTGAGGCCAAAAGCAGAAAAGGAAATATTTTCCTATAAAAACTAGACAGAATCATTCTCAGAAACTGCTCTGTGATGTGTGTGTTCAACTCACAGAGTTTAACTTTCTTTTCATTCAGCAGTTTGGAAACACTCTGTTTGGAAAGTCTGCACGTGGATATTTTGACCTCTTTGAGGCCTTCGTTGGAAACGGGTTTTTTTCATGTAAGGCTAGACAGAAGAAATCTCAGTAACTTCCTTGTGTTGTGTGTATTCAACTGACAGAGTTGAACCTTCCTTTAGACAGAGCAGATTCGAAACGCTCTTTTTCTGCAATTTGCAAGTGGAGACTTCAAGCGCTTTGAGGCCAAAGGCAGAAAAGGAAATATCTTCGTATAAAAACCCGACAGAATCATTCTCAGAAACTGCTCTGTGATGTGTGCGTTCAACTCACAGAGTTTAACTTTTCTTTTCATTCAGCAGTTTGGAAACACTCTGTTTGTAAAGTCTGCAAGTGGATATCTTGGCCTCTTAGAGGCCTTCGTTGGAAACGCGTTTTTTCATGTAAGGTTAGACAGAGGAATTCCCCAGTAACTTCCTTGTGTTGTGTGCATTCAACTCACAGAGTTGAATGATTCTTTACACAGAGCAGATTTGAGACACACTTTTGGTGGAATTTGTAAGTGGAGAATTCAGCCGCTTTGAGGTCAACGGTAGAAAAGGAAATATCTTCGTATAAAAACTAGAAAGAATGATTCTCAGAAACTGTTTTGTGATGTGTGCGTTCAACTCACAGAGTTTAACCTTTCTTTTCAAAGAGCAGTTAGGAAACACTCTGTTTGTAAAGTCTGCAAGTGGATATTCAGACCTCTTTGAAGCCTTCGTTGGAAACGGGATTTCATCATATTATGCTAGACAGATGAATTCTCAGTAACTTCCTTGTGTTGTGTGTATTCAACTCACAGAGTTGAACGATCCTTTACACAGAGCAGATTTGAAACACTGTTTTTCTGGAATTTGCAAGTGGAGATTTCAGCCGCTTTGAGGTCAATGGTAGAAAAGGAAATATCTTCGTATAAAAACTAGACAGAATGATTCTCAGAAACTCCTTTGTGATGTGTGCGTTCAACTCACAGAGTTTAACCTTTCTTTTCACAGAGCAGTTAGGAAACACTCTGTTTGTGAAGCCTGCCAGTGGATATTCGGACCTCTTTGAGGCCTTCGTTGGAAACGGGATTTCTTCATATTTTGCTAGACAGAAGATTTCTCAGTAACTTCTTTGTGTTGTGTGTATACAACTCACAGAGTTCAACCTTCCTTTAGACAGCGCAGATTTGAAACACTCTTTTTGTGGAATTTGCAAGTGGAGATTTCAAGCGCTTCGATGCCAATGGTAGAAAAGGAAATATCTTCGTAGAAAAACAAGACAAACTCGTTCCCAGACACTGCGTAGTGATGTGTGTGTTTAACTCACAGAGTTTAACCTTTCTTTTCATACAGCATTCTGGAAACCCTCTGTTTGTAAAGTCTGCAAGTGGATATTTGGACCTCTTAGATGCCTTCGTTGGAAACGGGATTTCTTCATATAATGCTAGAGGGAAGAATTCTTAGTAACTTCTTTGTGTTGTGTGTATTCAACTGACAGAGTTGAACCTTCCTTTAGACAGAGCAGATTTGAAAGTCTCTTTCTGTGGAATTTGCAAGTGGAGATTTCAAGCGCTTTGAGGCCAAAAGCAGAAAAGGAAATATTTTCCTATAAAAACTCGACAGAATCTTTCTCAGAAACTGCTCTGGGATGTGTGCGTTCAACTCACAGAGTTTAACTTTTCTTTTCATTCAGCAGTTTGGAAACACTCTGTTTGGAAAGTCTGCACGTGGATATTTTGACCTCTTTGAGGCCTTCGTTGGAAACGGGTTTTTTTCATGTAAGGCTAGACAGAAGAAATCTCAGTAACTTCCTTGTGTTGTGTGTATTCAACTGACAGAGTTGAACCTTCCTTTAGACAGAGCAGATTCGAAACACTCTTTTTCTGCAATTTGCAAGTGGAAACTTCAAGCGCTTTGAGGCCAAAGGCAGAAAAGGAAATATCTTCGTATAAAAACCCGACAGAATCACTCTCAGAAACTGCTCTGTGATGTGTGCGTTCAACTCACAGAGTTTAACTTTTCTTTTCATTCAGCAGTTTGGAAACACTCTGTTTGTAAAGTCTGCAAGTGGATATCTTGGCCTCTTAGAGGCCTTCGTTGGAAACGGGTTTTTTCATGTAAGGATAGACAGAGGAATTCCCAGTAACTTCCTTGTGTTGTGTGCATTCAACTCACAGAGTTGAATGATTCTTTACACAGAGCAGATTTGAGACACTCTTTTGGTGGAATTTGTAAGTGGAGAATTCAGCCGCTTTGAGGTCAACGGTAGAAAAGGAAATATCTTCGTATAAAAACTAGACAGAATGATTCTCAGAAACTGTTTTGTGATGTGTGCGTTCAACTCACAGAGTTTAACCTTTCTTTTCAAAGAGCAGTTAGGAAACACTCTGTTTGTAAAGTCTGCAAGTGGATATTCAGACCTCTTTGAGGCCTTCGTTGGAAACGGGATTTCTTCATATTATGCTAGACAGATGAATTCTCAGTAACTTCCTTGTGTTGTGTGTATTCAACTCACAGAGTTAAACGATCCTTTACACAGAGCAGATTTGAAACACTGTTTTTCTGGAATTTGCAAGTGGAGATTTCAGCCGCTTTGAGGTCAATGGTAGAAAAGGAAATATCTTCGTATAAAAACTAGACAGAATGATTCTCAGAAACTCCTTTGTGATGTGTGCGTTCAACTCACAGAGTTTAACCTTTCTTTTCACAGAGCAGTTAGGAAACACTCTGTTTGTGAAGCCTGCCAGTGGATATTCGGACCTCTTTGAGGCCTTCGTTGGAAACGGGATTTCTTCATATTATGCTAGACAGAAGATTTCTCAGTAACTTCTTTGGGTTGTGTGTATGCAACTCACAGAGTTCAACCTTCCTTTAGACAGAGCAGATTTGAAACACTCTTTTTGTGGAATTTGCAAGTGGAGATTTCAAGCGCTTCGATGCCAATGGTAGAAAAGGAAATATCTTCGTATAAAAACAAGACAAACTCGTTCCCAGACACTGCGTAGTGATGTGTGTGTTTAACTCACAGAGTTTAACCTTTCTTTTCATACAGCATTCTGGAAACCCTCTGTTTGTAAAGTCTGCAAGTGGATATTTGGACCTCTTAGATGCCTTCGTTGGAAACGGGATTTCTTCATATAATGCTAGAGGGAAGAATTCTTAGTAACTTCTTTGTGTTGTGTGTATTCAACTGACAGAGTTGAACCTTCCTTTAGACAGAGCAGATTTGAAAGTCTCTTTTTGTGGAATTTGCAAGTGGAGATTTCAAGCGCTTTGAGGCCAAAAGCAGAAAAGGAAATATTTTCCTATAAAAACTCGACAGAATCTTTCTCAGAAACTGCTCTGGGATGTGTGCGTTCAACTCACAGAGTTTAACTTTTCTTTTCATTCAGCAGTTTGGAAACACTCTGTTTGGAAAGTCTGCACGTGGATATTTTGACCTCTTTGAGGCCTTCGTTGGAAACGGGTTTTTTTCATGTAAGGCTAGACAGAAGAAATCTCAGTAACTTCCTTGTGTTGTGTGTATTCAACTGACAGAGTTGAACCTTCCTTTAGACAGAGCAGATTCGAAACACTCTTTTTCTGCAATTTGCAAGTGGAGACTTCAAGCGCTTTGAGGCCAAAGGCAGAAAAGGATATATCTTCGTATAAAAACCCGACAGAATCATTCTCAGAAACTGCTCTGTGATGTGTGCGTTCAACTCACAGAGTTTAACTTTTCTTTTCATTCAGCAGTTTGGAAACACTCTGTTTGTAAAGTCTGCAAGTGGATATCTTGGCCTCTTAGAGGCCTTCATTGGAAACGGGTTTTTTCATGTAAGGTTAGACAGAGGAATTCCCAGTAACTTCCTTGTGTTGTGTGCATTCAACTCACAGAGTTGAATGATTCTTTACACAGAGCAGATTTGAGACACACTTTTGGTGGAATTTGTAAGTGGAGAATTCAGCCGCTTTGAGGTCAACGGTAGAAAAGGAAATATCTTCGTATAAAAACTAGAAAGAATGATTCTCAGAAACTGTTTTGTGATGTGTGCGTTCAACTCACAGAGTTTAACCTTTCTTTTCAAAGAGCAGTTAGGAAACACTCTGTTTGTAAAGTCTGCAAGTGGATATTCAGACCTCTTTGAAGCCTTCGTTGGAAACGGGATTTCATCATATTATGCTAGACAGATGAATTCTCAGTAACTTCCTTGTGTTGTGTGTATTCAACTCACAGAGTTGAACGATCCTTTACACAGAGCAGATTTGAAACACTGTTTTTCTGGAATTTGCAAGTGGAGATTTCAGCCGCTTTGAGGTCAATGGTAGAAAAGGAAATATCTTCGTATAAAAACTAGACAGAATGATTCTCAGAAACTCCTTTGTGATGTGTGCGTTCAACTCACAGAGTTTAACCTTTCTTTTCACAGAGCAGTTAGGAAACACTCTGTTTGTGAAGCCTGCCAGTGGATATTCGGACCTCTTTGAGGCCTTCGTTGGAAACGGGATTTCTTCATATTATGCTAGACAGAAGATTTCTCAGTAACTTCTTTGTGTTGTGTGTATGCAACTCACAGAGTTCAACCTTCCTTTAGACAGAGCAGATTTGAAACACTCTTTTTGTGGAATTTGCAAGTGGAGATTTCAAGCGCTTCGATGCCAATGGTAGAAAAGGAAATATCTTCGTATAAAAACAAGACAAACTCGTTCCCAGACACTGCGTAGTGATGTGTGTGTTTAACTCACAGAGTTTAACCTTTCTTTTCATACAGCATTCTGGAAACCCTCTGTTTGTAAAGTCTGCAAGTGGATATTTGGACCTCTTAGATGCCTTCGTTGGAAACGGGATTTCTTCATATAATGCTAGAGGGAAGAATTCTTAGTAACTTCTTTGTGTTGTGTGTATTCAACTGACAGAGTTGAACCTTCCTTTAGACAGAGCAGATTTGAAAGTCTCTTTTTGTGGAATTTGCAAGTGGAGATTTCAAGCGCTTTGAGGCCAAAAGCAGAAAAGGAAATATTTTCCTATAAAAACTAGACAGAATCATTCTCAGAAACTGCTCTGTGATGTGTGTGTTCAATTCACAGAGTTTAACTTTCTTTTCATTCAGCAGTTTGGAAACACTCTGTTTGGAAAGTCTGCACGTGGATATTTTGACCTCTTTGAGGCCTTCGTTGGAAACGGGTTTTTTTCATGTAAGGCTAGACAGAAGAAATCTCAGTAACTTCCTTGTGTTGTGTGTATTCAACTGACAGAGTTGAACCTTCCTTTAGACAGAGCAGATTCGAAACGCTCTTTTTCTGCAATTTGCAAGTGGAGACTTCAAGCGCTTTGAGGCCAAAGGCAGAAAAGGAAATATCTTCGTATAAAAACCCGACAGAATCATTCTCAGAAACTGCTCTGTGATGTGTGCGTTCAACTCACAGAGTTTAACTTTTCTTTTCATTCAGCAGTTTGGAAACACTCTGTTTGTAAAGTCTGCAAGTGGATATCTTGGCCTCTTAGAGGCCTTCGTTGGAAACGCGTTTTTTCATGTAAGGTTAGACAGAGGAATTCCCAGTAACTTCCTTGTGTTGTGTGCATTCAACTCACAGAGTTGAATGATTCTTTACACAGAGCAGATTTGAGACACTCTTTTGGTGGAATTTGTTAGTGGAGAATTCAGCCGCTTTGAGGTCAATGGTAGAAAAGGAAATATCTTCGTATAAAAACTAGACAGAATGATTCTCAGAAACTGTTTTGTGATGTGTGCGTTCAACTCACAGAGTTTAACCTTTCTTTTCAAAGAGCAGTTAGGAAACACTCTGTTTGTAAAGTCTGCAAGCGGATATTCAGACCTCTTTGAGACCTTCGTTGGAAACGGGATTTCTTCATATTATGCTAGACAGATGAATTCTCAGTAACTTCCTTGTGTTGTGTGTATTCAACTCACAGAGTTGAACGATCCTTTACACAGAGCCGATTTGAAACACTTTTTCTGGAATTTGCAAGTGGAGATTTCAGCCGCTTTGAGGTCAATGGTAGAAAAGGAAATATCTTCGTATAAAAACTAGACAGAATGATTCTCAGAAACTCCTTTGTGATGTGTGCGTTCAACTCACAGAGTTTAACCTTTCTTTTCACAGAGCAGTTAGGAAACACTCTGTTTGTGAAGCCTGCCAGTGGATATTCGGACCTCTTTGAGGCCTTCGTTGGAAACGGGATTTCTTCATATTATGCTAGACAGAAGATTTCTCAGTAACTTCTTTGTGTTGTGTGTATGCAACTCACAGAGTTCAACCTTCCTTTAGACAGAGCAGATTTGAAACACTCTTTTTGTGGAATTTGCAAGTGGAGATTTCAAGCGCTTCGATGCCAATGGTAGAAAAGGAAATATCTTCGTATAAAAACAAGACAAACTCGTTCCCAGACACTGCGTAGTGATGTGTGTGTTTAACTCACTGAGTTTAACCTTTCTTTTCATACAGCATTCTGGAAACCCTCTGTTTGTAAAGTCTGCAAGTGGATATTTGGACCTCTTAGATGCCTTCGTTGGAAACGGGATTTCTTCGTATAATGCTAGAGGGAAGAATTCTTAGTAACTTCTTTGTGTTGTGTGTATTCAACTGACAGAGTTGAACCTTCCTTTAGACAGAGCAGATTTGAAAGTCTCTTTTTGTGGAATTTGCAAGTGGAGATTTCAAGCGCTTTGAGGCCAAAAGCAGAAAAGGAAATATTTTCCTATGAAAACTCGACAGAATCTTTCTCAGAAACTGCTCTGGGATGTGTGCGTTCAACTCACAGAGTTTAACTTTTCTTTTCATTCAGCAGTTTGGAAACACTCTGTTTGGAAAGTCTGCACGTGGATATTTTGACCTCTTTGAGGCCTTCGTTGGAAACGGGTTTTTTTCATGTAAGGCTAGACAGAAGAAATCTCAGTAACTTCCTTGTGTTGTGTGTATTCAACTGACAGAGTTGAACCTTCCTTTAGACAGAGCAGATTCGAAACACTCTTTTTCTGTAATTTGCAAGTGGAGACTTCAAGCGCTTTGAGGCCAAAGGCAGAAAAGGAAATATCTTCGTATAAGAACCCGACAGAATCATTCTCAGAAACTGCTCTGTGATGTGTGCGTTCAACTCACAGAGTTTAACTTTTCTTTTCATTCAGCAGTTTGGAAACACTCTGTTTGTAAAGTCTGCAAGTGGATATCTTGGCCTCTTAGAGGCCTTCGTTGGAAACGGGTTTTTTCATGTAAGGATACACACAGGAATTCCCAGTAACTTCCTTGTGTTGTGTGCATTCAACTCACAGAGTTGAATGATTCTTTACACAGAGCAGTTTTGAGACACTCTTTTGGTGGAATTTGTAAGTGGAGAATTCAGCCGCTTTGAGGTCAACGGTAGAAAAGGAAATATCTTCGTATAAAAACTAGACAGAATGATTCTCAGAAACTGTTTTGTGATGTGTGCGTTCAACTCACAGAGTTTAACCTTTCTTTTCAAAGAGCAGTTAGGAAACACTCTGTTTGTAAAGTCTGCAAGAGGATATTCAGACCTCTTTGAGGCCTTCGTTGGAAACGGGATTTCTTCATATTATGCTAGACAGATGAATTCTCAGTAACTTCCTTGTGTTGTGTGTATTCAACTCACAGAGTTGAACGATCCTTTACACAGAGCAGATTTGAAACACTGTTTTTCTGGAATTTGCAAGTGGAGATTTCAGCCGCTTTGAGGTCAATGGTAGAAAAGGAAATATCTTCGTATAAAAACTAGACAGAATGATTCTCAGAAACTCCTTTGTGATGTGTGCGTTCAACTCACAGAGTTTAACCTTTCTTTTCACAGAGCAGTTAGGAAACACTCTGTTTGTGAAGCCTGCCAGTGGATATTCGGACCTCTTTGAGGCCTTCGTTGGAAACGGGATTTCTTCATATTATGCTATTCAGAAGATTTCTCAGTAACTTCTTTGTGTTGTGTGTATGCAACTCACAGAGTTCAACCTTCCTTTAGACAGAGCAGATTTGAAACACTCTTTTTGTGGAATTTGCAAGTGGAGATTTCAAGCGCTTCGATGCCAATGGTAGAAAAGGAAATATCTTCGTATAAAAACAAGACAAACTCGTTCCCAGACACTGCGTAGTGATGTGTGTGTTTAACTCACAGAGTTTAACCTTTCTTTTCATACAGCATTCTGGAAACCCTGTGTTTGTAAAGTCTGCAAGTGGATATTTGGACCTCTTAGATGCCTTCGTTGGAAACGGGATTTCTTCATATAATGCTAGAGGGAAGAATTCTTAGTAACTTCTTTGTGTTGTGTGTATTCAACTGACAGAGTTGAACCTTCCTTTAGACAGAGCAGATTTGAAAGTCTCTTTTTGTGGAATTTGCAAGTGGAGATTTCAAGCGCTTTGAGGCCAAAAGCAGAAAAGGAAATATTTTCCTATAAAAACTCGACAGAATCTTTCTCAGAAACTGCTCTGGGACGTGTGCGTTCAACTCACAGAGTTTAACTTTTCTTTTCATTCAGCAGTTTGGAAACACTCTGTTTGGAAAGTCTGCACGTGGATATTTTGACCTCTTTGAGGCCTTTGTTGGAAACGGGTTTTTTTCATGTAAGGCTAGACAGAAGAAATCTCAGTAACTTCCTTGTGTTGTGTGTATTCAACTGACAGAGTTGAACCTTCCTTTAGACAGAGCAGATTCGAAACACTCTTTTTCTGCAATTTGCAAGTGGAGACTTCAAGCGCTTTGAGGCCAAAGGCAGAAAAGGAAATATCTTCGTATAAAAACCCGACAGAATCATTCTCAGAAACTGCTCTGTGATGTGTGCGTTCAACTCACAGAGTTTAACTTTTCTATTCATTCAGCAGTTTGGAAACACTCTGTTTGTAAAGTCTGCAAGTGGATATCTTGGCCTCTTAGAGGCCTTCGTTGGAAACGGGTTTTTTCATGTAAGGTTAGACAGAGGAATTCCCAGTAACTTCCTTGTGTTGTATGCATTCAACTCACAGAGTTGAATGATTCTTTACACAGAGCAGATTTGAGACACTCTTTTGGTGGAATTTGTAAGTGGAGAATTCAGCCGCTTTGAGGTCAACGGTAGAAAAGGAAATATCTTCGTATAAAAACTAGAAAGAATGATTCTCAGAAACTGTTTTGTGATGTGTGCGTTCAACTCACAGAGTTTAACCTTTCTTTTCAAAGAGCAGTTAGGAAACACTCTGTTTGTAAAGTCTGCAAGTGGATATTCAGACCTCTTTGAGGCCTTCGTTGGAAACGGGATTTCTTCATATTATGCTAGACAGATGAATTCTCAGTAACTTCCTTGTGTTGTGTGTATTCAACTCACAGAGTTGAACGATCCTTTACACAGAGCAGATTTGAAACACTGTTTTTCTGGAATTTGCAAGTGGAGATGTCAGCCGCTTTGAGGTCAATGGTAGAAAAGGAAATATCTTCGTATAAAAACTAGACAGAATGATTCTCAGAAACTCCTTTGTGATGTGTGCGTTCAACTCACAGAGTTTAACCTTTCTTTTCACAGAGCAGTTAGGAAACACTCTGTTTGTGAAGCCTGCCAGTGGATATTCGGACCTCTTTGAGGCCTTCGTTGGAAACGGGATTTCTTCATATTATGCTAGACAGAAGATTTCTCAGTAACTTCTTTGTGTTGTGTGTATGCAACTCACAGAGTTCAACCTTCCTTTAGACAGAGCAGATTTGAAACACTCTTTTTGTGGAATTTGCAAGTGGAGATTTCAAGCGCTTCGATGCCAATGGTAGAAAAGGAAATATCTTCGTATAAAAACAAGACAAACTCGTTCCCAGACACTGCGTAGTGATGTGTGTGTTTAACTCACAGAGTTTAACCTTTCTTTTCATACAGCATTCTGGAAACCCTGTGTTTGTAAAGTCTGCAAGTGGATATTTGGACCTCTTAGATACCTTCGTTGGAAACGGGATTTCTTCATATAATGCTAGAGGGAAGAATTCTTAGTAACTTCTTTGTGTTGTGTGTATTCAACTGACAGAGTTGAACCTTCCTTTAGACAGAGCAGATTTGAAAGTCTCTTTTTGTGGAATTTGCAAGTGGAGATTTCAAGTGCTTTGAGGCCAAAAGCAGAAAAGGAAATATTTTCCTATAAAAACTCGACAGAATCTTTCTCAGAAACTGCTCTGGGATGTGTGCGTTCAACTCACAGAGTTTAACTTTTCTTTTCATTCAGCAGTTTGGAAACACTCTGTTTGGAAAGTCTGCACGTGGATATTTTGACCTCTTTGAGGCCTTCGTTGGAAACGGGTTTTTTTCATGTAAGGCTAGACAGAAGAAATCTCAGTAACTTCCTTGTGTTGTGTGTATTCAACTGACAGAGTTGAACCTTCCTTTAGACAGAGCAGATTCGAAACACTCTTTTTCTGCAATTTGCAAGTGGAGACTTCAAGCGCTTTGAGGCCAAAGGCAGAAAAGGAAATATCTTCGTATAAAAACCCGACAGAATCATTCTCAGAAACTGCTCTGTGATGTGTGCGTTCAACTCACAGAGTTTAACTTTTCTTTTCATTCAGCAGTTTGGAAACACTCTGTTTGTAAAGTCTGCATGTGGATATCTTGGCCTCTTAGAGGCCTTCGTTGGAAACGGGTTTTTTCATGTAAGGATAGACAGAGGAATTCCCAGTAACTTCCTTGTGTTGTGTGCATTCAACTCACAGAGTTGAACGATTCTTTACACAGAGCAGATTTGAGACACTCTTTTGGTGGAATTTGTAAGTGGAGAATTCAGCCGCTTTGAGGTCAACGGTAGAAAAGGAAATATCTTCGTATTAAAACTAGACAGAATGATTCTCAGAAACTGTTTTGTGATGTGTGCGTTCAACTCACAGAGTTTAACCTTTCTTTTCAAAGAGCAGTTAGGAAACACTCTGTAAAGTCTGCAAGTGGATATTCAGACCTCTTTGAGGCCTTCGTTGGAAACGGGATTTCTTCATATTATGCTAGACAGATGAATTCTCAGTAACTTCCTTGTGTTGTGTGTATTCAACTCACAGAGTTGAACGATCCTTTACACAGAGCAGATTTGAAACACTGTTTTTCTGGAATTTGCAAGTGGAGATGTCAGCCGCTTTGAGGTCAATGGTAGAAAAGGAAATATCTTCGTATAAAAACTAGACAGAATGATTCTCAGAAACTCCTTTGTGATGTGTGCGTTCAACTCACAGAGTTTAACCTTTCTTTTCACAGAGCAGTTAGGAAACACTCTGTTTGTGAAGCCTGCCAGTGGATATTCGGACCTCTTTGAGGCCTTCGTTGGAAACGGGATTTCTTCATATTATGCTAGACAGAAGATTTCTCAGTAACTTCTTTGTGTTGTGTGTATGCAACTCACAGAGTTCAACCTTCCTTTAGACAGAGCAGATTTGAAACACTCTTTTTGTGGAATTTGCAAGTGGAGATTTCAAGCGCTTCGATGCCAATGGTAGAAAAGGAAATATCTTCGTATAAAAACAAGACAAACTCGTTCCCAGACACTGCGTAGTGATGTGTGTGTTTAACTCACAGAGTTTCACCTTTCTTTTCATACAGCATTCTGGAAACCCTCTGTTTGTAAAGTCTGCAAGTGGATATTTGGACCTCTTAGATGCCTTCGTTGGAAACGGGATTTCTTCATATAATGCTAGAGGGAAGAATTCTTAGTAACTTCTTTGTGTTGTGTGTATTCAACTGACAGAGTTGAACCTTCCTTTAGACAGAGCAGATTTGAAAGTCTCTTTTTGTGGAATTTGCAAGTGGAGATTTCAAGCGCTTTGAGGCCAAAAGCAGAAAAGGAAATATTTTCCTATAAAAACTAGACAGAATCTTTCTCAGAAACTGCTCTGGGTTGTGTGTGTTCAACTCACAGAGTTTAACTTTTCTTTTCATTCAGCAGTTTGGAAACACTCTGTTTGGAAAGTCTGCACGTGGATATTTTGACCTCTTTGAGGCCTTCGTTGGAAACGGGTTTTTTTCATGTAAGGCTAGACAGAAGAAATCTCAGTAACTTCCTTGTGTTGTGTGTATTCAACTGACAGAGTTGAACCTTCTTTTAGACAGAGCAGATTCGAAACACTCTTTTTCTGCAATTTGCAAGTGGAGACTTCAAGCGCTTTGAGGCCAAAGGCAGAAAAGGAAATATCTTCGTATAAAAACCCGACAGAATCATTCTCAGAAACTGCTCTGTGATGTGTGCGTTCAACTCACAGAGTTTAACTTTTCTTTTCATTCAGCAGTTTGGAAACACTCTGTTTGTAAAGTCTGCAAGTGGATATCTTGGCCTCTTAGAGGCCTTCGTTGGAAACGGGTTTTTTCATGTAAGGTTAGACAGAGGAATTCCCAGTAACTTCCTTGTGTTGTGTGCATTCAACTCACAGAGTTGAATGATTCTTTACACAGAGTAGATTTGAGACACTCTTTTGGTGGAATTTGTTAGTGGAGAATTCAGCCGCTTTGAGGTCAACGGTAGAAAAGGATATATCTTCGTATAAAAACTAGACAGAATGATTCTCAGAAACTGTTTTGTGATGTGTGCGTTCAACTCACAGAGTTTAACCTTTCTTTTCAAAGAGCAGTTAGGAAACACTCTGTTTGTAAAGTCTGCAAGTGGATATTCAGACCTCTTTGAGGCCTTCGTTGGAAACGGGATTTCTTCATATTATGCTAGACAGATGAATTCTCAGTAACTTCCTTGTGTTGTGTGTATTCAACTCACAGAGTTGAACGATCCTTTACACAGAGCAGATTTGAAACACTGTTTTTCTGGAATTTGCAAGTGGAGATGTCAGCCGCTTTGAGGTCAATGGTAGAAAAGGAAATATCTTCGTATAAAAACTAGACAGAATGATTCTCAGAAACTCCTTTGTGATGTGTGCGTTCAACTCACAGAGTTTAACCTTTCTTTTCACAGAGCAGTTAGGAAACACTCTGTTTGTGAAGCCTGCCAGTGGATATTCGGACCTCTTTGAGGCCTTCGTTGGAAACGGGATTTCTTCATATTATGCTAGACAGAAGATTTCTCAGTAACTTCTTTGTGTTGTGTGTATGCAACTCACAGAGTTCAACCTTCCTTTAGACAGAGCAGATTTGAAACACTCTTTTTGTGGAATTTGCAAGTGGAGATTTCAAGCGCTTCGATGCCAATGGTAGAAAAGGAAATATCTTCGTATAAAAACAAGACAAACTCGTTCCCAGACACTGCGTAGTGATGTGTGTGTTTAACTCACAGAGTTTAACCTTTCTTTTCATACAGCATTCTGGAAACCCTCTGTTTGTAAAGTCTGCAAGTGGATATTTGGACCTCTTAGATGCCTTCGTTGGAAACGGGATTTCCTCATATAATGCTAGAGGGAAGAATTCTTAGTAACTTCTTTGTGTTGTGTGTATTCAACTGACAGAGTTGAACCTTCCTTTAGACAGAGCAGATTTGAAAGTCTCTTTTTGTGGAATTTGCAAGTGGAGATTTCAAGCGCTTTGAGGCCAAAAGCAGAAAAGGAAATATTTTCCTATAAAAACTCGACACAATCTTTCTCAGAAACTGCTCTGGGATGTGTGCGTTCAACTCACAGAGTTTAACTTTTCTTTTCATTCAGCAGTTTGGAAACACTCTGTTTGGAAAGTCTGCACGTGGATATTTTGACCTCTTTGAGGCCTTCGTTGGAAACGGGTTTTTTTCATGTAAGGCTAGACAGAAGAAATCTCAGTAACTTCCTTGTGTTGTGTGTATTCAACTGACAGAGTTGAACCTTCCTTTAGACAGAGCAGATTCGAAACACTCTTTTTCTGCAATTTGCAAGTGGAGACTTCAAGCGCTTTGAGGCCAAAGGCAGAAAAGGAAATATCTTCGTATAAAAACCCGACAGAATCATTCTCAGAAACTGCTCTGTGATGTGTGCGTTCAACTCACAGAGTTTAACTTTTCTTTTCATTCAGCAGTTTGGAAACACTCTGTTTGTAAAGTCTGCAAGTGGATATCTTGGCCTCTTAGAGGCCTTCGTTGGAAGCGGGTTTTTTCATGTAAGGATAGACAGAGGAATTCCCAGTAACTTCCTTGTGTTGTATGCATTCAACTCACAGAGTTGAATGATTCTTTACACAGAGCAGATTTGAGACACTCTTTTGGTGGAATTTGTAAGTGGAGAATTCAGCCGCTTTGAGGTCAACGGTAGAAAAGGAAATATCTTCGTATAAAAACTAGAAAGAATGATTCTCAGAAACTGTTTTGTGATGTGTGCTTTCAACTCACAGAGTTTAACCTTTCTTTTCAAAGAGCAGTTAGGAAACACTCTGTTTGTAAAGTCTGCAAGTGGATATTCAGACCTCTTTGAGGCCTTCGTTGGAAACGGGATTTCTTCATATTATGCTAGACAGATGAATTCTCAGTAACTTCCTTGTGTTGTGTGTATTCAACTCACAGAGTTGAACGATCCTTTACACAGAGCAGATTTGAAACACTGTTTTTCTGGAATTTGCAAGTGGAGATGTCAGCCGCTTTGAGGTCAATGGTAGAAAAGGAAATATCTTCGTATAAAAACTAGACAGAATGATTCTCAGAAACTCCTTTGTGATGTGTGCGTTCAACTCACAGAGTTTAACCTTTCTTTTCACAGAGCAGTTAGGAAACACTCTGTTTGTGAAGCCTGCCAGTGGATATTCGGACCTCTTTGAGGCCTTCGTTGGAAACGGGATTTCTTCATATTATGCTAGACAGAAGATTTCTCAGTAACTTCTTTGTGTTGTGTGTATGCAACTCACAGAGTTCAACCTTCCTTTAGACAGAGCAGATTTGAAACACTCTTTTTGTGGAATTTGCAAGTGGAGATTTCAAGCGCTTCGATGCCAATGGTAGAAAAGGAAATATCTTCGTATAAAAACAAGACAAACTCGTTCCCAGACACTGCGTAGTGATGTGTGTGTTTAACTCACAGAGTTTAACCTTTCTTTTCATACAGCATTCTGGAAACCCTCTGTTTGTAAAGTCTGCAAGTGGATATTTGGACCTCTTAGATGCCTTCGTTGGAAACGGGATTTCTTCATATAATGCTAGAGGGAAGAATTCTTAGTAACTTCTTTGTGTTGTGTGTATTCAACTGACAGAGTTGAACCTTCCTTTAGACAGAGCAGATTTGAAAGTCTCTTTTTGTGGAATTTGCAAGTGGAGATTTCAAGCGCTTTGAGGCCAAAAGCAGAAAAGGAAATATTTTCCTATAAAAACTCGACAGAATCTTTCTCAGAAACTGCTCTGGGATGTGTGCGTTCAACTCACAGAGTTTAACTTTTCTTTTCATTCAGCAGTTTGGAAACACTCTGTTTGGAAAGTCTGCACGTGGATATTTTGACCTCTTTGAGGCCTTCGTTGGAAACGGGTTTTTTTCATGTAAGGCTAGACAGAAGAAATCTCAGTAACTTCCTTGTGTTGTGTGTATTCAACTGACAGAGTTGAACCTTCCTTTAGACAGAGCAGATTCGAAACACTCTTTTTCTGCAATTTGCAAGTGGAAACTTCAAGCGCTTTGAGGCCAAAGGCAGAAAAGGAAATATCTTCGTATAAAAACCCGACAGAATCACTCTCAGAAATTGCTCTGTGATGTGTGCGTTCAACTCACAGAGTTTAACTTTTCTTTTCATTCAGCAGTTTGGAAACACTCTGTTTGTAAAGTCTGCAAGTGGATATCTTGGCCTCTTAGAGGCCTTCGTTGGAAACGGGTTTTTTCATGTAAGGTTAGACAGAGGAATTCCCAGTAACTTCCTTGTGTTGTGTGCATTCAACTCACAGAGTTGAATGATTCTTTACACAGAGCAGATTTGAGACACTCTTTTGGTGGAATTTGTAAGTGGAGAATTCAGCCGCTTTGAGGTCAACGGTAGAAAAGGAAATATCTTCGTATAAAAACTAGACAGAATGATTCTCAGAAACTGTTTTGTGATGTGTGCGTTCAACTCACAGAGTTTAACCTTTCTTTTCAGAGAGCAGTTAGGAAACACTCTGTTTGTAAAGTCTGCAAGTGGATATTCAGACCTCTTTGAGGCCTTCGTTGGAAACGGGATTTCTTCATATTATGCTAGACAGATGAATTCTCAGTAACTTCCTTGTGTTGTGTGTATTCAACTCACAGAGTTGAACGATCCTTTACACAGAGCAGATTTGAAACACTGTTTTTCTGGAATTTGCAAGTGGAGATTTCAGCCGCTTTGAGGTCAATGGTAGAAAAGGAAATATCTTCGTATAAAAACTAGACAGAATGATTCTCAGAAACTCCTTTGTGATGTGTGCGTTCAACTCACAGAGTTTAACCTTTCTTTTCACAGAGCAGTTAGGAAACACTCTGTTTGTGAAGCCTGCCAGTGGATATTCGGACCTCTTTGAGGCCTTCGTTGGAAACGGGATTTCTTCATATTATGATAGACAGAAGATTTCTCAGTAACTTCTTTGTGTTGTGTGTATGCAACTCACAGAGTTCAACCTTCCTTTAGACAGAGCAGATTTGAAACACTCTTTTTGTGGAATTTGCAAGTGGAGATTTCAAGCGCTTCGATGCCAATGGTAGAAAAGGAAATATCTTCGTATAAAAACAAGACAAACTCGTTCCCAGACACTGCGTAGTGATGTGTGTGTTTAACTCACAGAGTTTAACCTTTCTTTTCATACAGCATTCTGGAAACCCTGTGTTTGTAAAGTCTGCAAGTGGATATTTGGACCTCTTAGATGCCTTCGTTGGAAACGGGATTTCTTCATATAATGCTAGAGGGAAGAATTCTTAGTAACTTCTTTGTGTTGTGTGTATTCAACTGACAGAGTTGAACCTTCCTTTAGACAGAGCAGATTTGAAAGTCTCTTTTTGTGGAATTTGCAAGTGGAGATTTCAAGCGCTTTGAGGCCAAAAGCAGAAAAGGAAATATTTTCCTATAAAAACTCGACAGAATCTTTCTCAGAAACTGCTCTGGGATGTGTGCGTTCAACTCACAGAGTTTAACTTTTCTTTTCATTCAGCAGTTTGGAAACACTCTGTTTGGAAAGTCTGCACGTGGATATTTTGACCTCTTTGAGGCCTTCGTTGGAAACGGGTTTTTTTCATGTAAGGCTAGACAGAAGAAATCTCAGTAACTTCCTTGTGTTGTGTGTATTCAACTGACAGAGTTGAACCTTCCTTTAGACAGAGCAGATTCGAAACACTCTTTTTCTGCAATTTGCAAGTGGAGACTTCAAGCGCTTTGAGGCCAAAGGCAGAAAAGGAAATATCTTCGTAGAAAAACCCGACAGAATCATTCTCAGAAACTGCTCTGTGATGTGTGCGTTCAACTCACAGAGTTTAACTTTTCTTTTCATTCAGCAGTTTGGAAACACTCTGTTTGTAAAGTCTGCAAGTGGATATCTTGGCCTCTTAGAGGCCTTCGTTGGAAACGGGTTTTTTCATGTAAGGATACACACAGGAATTCCCAGTAACTTCCTTGTGTTGTGTGCATTCAACTCACAGAGTTGAATGATTCTTTACACAGAGCAGATTTGAGACACTCTTTTGGTGGAATTTGTAAGTGGAGAATTCAGCCGCTTTGAGGTCAACGGTAGAAAAGGAAATATCTTCGTATAAAAACTAGACAGAATGATTCTCAGAAACTGTTTTGTGATGTGTGCGTTCAACTCACAGAGTTTAACCTTTCTTTTCAAAGAGCAGTTAGGAAACACTCTGTTTGTAAAGTCTGCAAGTGGATATTCAGACCTCTTTGAGGCCTTCGTTGGAAACGGGATTTCTTCATATTATGCTAGACAGATGAATTCTCAGTAACTTCCTTGTGTTGTGTGTATTCAACTCACAGAGTTGAACGATCCTTTACACAGAGCAGATTTGAAACACTGTTTTTCTGGAATTTGCAAGTGGAGATTTCAGCCGCTTTGAGGTCAATGGTAGAAAAGGAAATATCTTCGTATAAAAACTAGACAGAATGATTCTCAGAAACTCCTTTGTGATGTGTGCGTTCAACTCACAGAGTTTAACCTTTCTTTTCACAGAGCAGTTAGGAAACACTCTGTTTGTGAAGCCTGCCAGTGGATATTCGGACCTCTTTGAGGCCTTCGTTGGAAACGGGATTTCTTCATATTATGCTAGACAGAAGATTTCTCAGTAACTTCTTTGTGTTGTGTGTATGCAACTCACAGAGTTCAACCTTCCTTTAGACAGAGCAGATTTGAAACACTCTTTTTGTGGAATTTGCAAGTGGAGATTTCAAGCGCTTCGATGCCAATGGTAGAAAAGGAAATATCTTCGTATAAAAACAAGACAAACTCGTTCCCAGACACTGCGTAGTGATGTGTGTGTTTAACTCACAGAGTTTCACCTTTCTTTTCATACAGCATTCTGGAAACCCTCTGTTTGTAAAGTCTGCAAGTGGATATTTGGACCTCTTAGATGCCTTCGTTGGAAACGGGATTTCTTCATATAATGCTAGAGGGAAGAATTCTTAGTAACTTCTTTGTGTTGTGTGTATTCAACTGACAGAGTTGAACCTTCCTTTAGACAGAGCAGATTTGAAAGTCTCTTTTTGTGGAATTTGCAAGTGGAGATTTCAAGCGCTTTGAGGCCAAAAGCAGAAAAGGAAATATTTTCCTATAAAAACTAGACAGAATCTTTCTCAGAAACTGCTCTGGGATGTGTGCGTTCAACTCACAGAGTTTTTTTCTTTTCATTCAGCAGTTTGGAAACACTCTGTTTGGAAAGTCTGCACGTGGATATTTTGACCTCTTTGAGGCCTTCGTTGGAAACGGGTTTTTTTCATGTAAGGCTAGACAGAAGAAATCTCAGTAACTTCCTTGTGTTGTGTGTATTCAACTGACAGAGTTGAACCTTCCTTTAGACAGAGCAGATTCGAAACACTCTTTTTCTGCAATTTGCAAGTGGAGACTTCAAGCGCTTTGAGGCCAAAGGCAGAAAAGGAAATATCTTCGTATAAAAACCCGACAGAATCATTCTCAGAAACTGCTCTGTGATGTGTGCGTTCAACTCACAGAGTTTAACTTTTCTTTTCATTCAGCAGTTTGGAAACACTCTGTTTGTAAAGTCTGCAAGTGGATATCTTGGCCTCTTAGAGGCCTTCGTTGGAAACGGGTTTTTTCATGTAAGGTTAGACAGAGGAATTCCCAGTAACTTCCTTGTGTTGTGTGCATTCAACTCACAGAGTTGAATGATTCTTTACACAGAGCAGATTTGAGACACTCTTTGGGTGGAATTTGTAAGTGGAGAATTCAGCCGCTTTGAGGTCAACGGTAGAAAAGGAAATATCTTCGTATAAAAACTAGACAGAATGATTCTCAGAAACTGTTTTGTGATGTGTGCTTTCAACTCACAGAGTTTAACCTTTCTTTTCAAAGAGCAGTTAGGAAACACTCTGTTTGTAAAGTCTGCAAGTGGATATTCAGACCTCTTTGAGGCCTTCGTTGGAAACGGGATTTCTTCATATTATGCTAGACAGATGAATTCTCAGTAACTTCCTTGTGTTGTGTGTATTCAACTCACAGAGTTGAACGATCCTTTACACAGAGCAGATTTGAAACACTGTTTTTCTGGAATTTGCAAGTGGAGATTTCAGCCGCTTTGAGGTCAATGGTAGAAAAGGAAATATCTTCGTATAAAAACTAGACAGAATGATTCTCAGAAACTCCTTTGTGATGTGTGCATTCAACTCACAGAGTTTAACCTTTCTTTTCACAGAGCAGTTAGGAAACACTCTGTTTGTGAAGCCTGCCAGTGGATATTCGGACCTCTTTGAGGCCTTCGTTGGAAACGGGATTTCTTCATATTATGCTAGACAGAAGATTTCTCAGTAACTTCTTTGTGTTGTGTGTATGCAACTCACAGAGTTCAACCTTCCTTTAGACAGAGCAGATTTGAAACACTCTTTTTGTGGAATTTGCAAGTGGAGATTTCAAGCGCTTCGATGCCAATGGTAGAAAAGGAAATATCTTCGTATAAAAACAAGACAAACTCGTTCCCAGACACTGCGTAGTGATGTGTGTGTTTAACTCACAGAGTTTAACCTTTCTTTTCATACAGCATTCTGGAAACCCTCTGTTTGTAAAGTCTGCAAGTGGATATTTGGACCTCTTAGATGCCTTCGTTGGAAACGGGATTTCTTCATATAATGCTAGAGGGAAGAATTCTTAGTAACTTCTTTGTGTTGTGTGTATTCAACTGACAGAGTTGAACCTTCCTTTAGACAGAGCAGATTTGAAAGTCTCTTTTTGTGGAATTTGCAAGTGGAGATTTCAAGCGCTTTGAGGCCAAAAGCAGAAAAGGAAATATTTTCCTATAAAAACTAGACAGAATCTTTCTCAGAAACTGCTCTGGGATGTGTGCGTTCAACTCACAGAGTTTAACTTTTCTTTTCATTCAGCAGTTTGGAAACACTCTGTTTGGAAAGTCTGCACGTGGATATTTTGACCTCTTTGAGGCCTTCGTTGGAAACGGGTTTTTTTCATGTAAGGCTAGACAGAAGAAATCTCAGTAACTTCCTTGTGTTGTGTGTATTCAACTGACAGAGTTGAACCTTCCTTTAGACAGAGCAGATTCGAAACACTCTTTTTCTGCAATTTGCAAGTGGAGACTTCAAGCGCTTTGAGGCCAAAGGCAGAAAAGGAAATATCTTCGTATAAAAACCCGACAGAATCATTCTCAGAAACTGCTCTGTGATGTGTGCGTTCAACTCACAGAGTTTAACTTTTCTTTTCATTCAGCAGTTTGGAAACACTCTGTTTGTAAAGTCTGCAAGTGGATATCTTGGCCTCTTAGAGGCCTTCGTTGGAAACGGGTTTTTTCATGTAAGGTTAGACAGAGGAATTCCCAGTAACTTCCTTGTGTTGTGTGCATTCAACTCACAGAGTTGAATGATTCTTTACACAGAGCAGATTTGAGACACTCTTTGGGTGGAATTTGTAAGTGGAGAATTCAGCCGCTTTGAGGTCAACGGTAGAAAAGGAAATATCTTCGTATAAAATCTAGACAGAATGATTCTCAGAAACTGTTTTTTGATGTGTGCGTTCAACTCACAGAGTTTAACCTTTCTTTTCAAAGAGCAGTTAGGAAACACTCTGTTTGTAAAGTCTGCAAGTGGATATTCAGACCTCTTTGAGGCCTTCGTTGGAAACGGGATTTCTTCATATTATGCTAGACAGATGAATTCTCAGTAACTTCCTTGTGTTGTGTGTATTCAACTCACAGAGTTGAACGATCCTTTACACAGAGCAGATTTGAAACACTGTTTTTCTGGAATTTGCAAGTGGAGATGTCAGCCGCTTTGAGGTCAATGGTAGAAAAGGAAATATCTTCGTATAAAAACTAGACAGAATGATTCTCAGAAACTCCTTTGTGATGTGTGCGTTCAACTCACAGAGTTTAACCTTTCTTTTCACAGAGCAGTTAGGAAACACTCTGTTTGTGAAGCCTGCCAGTGGATATTCGGACCTCTTTGAGGCCTTCGTTGGAAACGGGATTTCTTCATATTATGCTAGACAGAAGATTTCTCAGTAACTTCTTTGTGTTGTGTGTATGCAACTCACAGAGTTCAACCTTCCTTTAGACAGAGCAGATTTGAAACACTCTTTTTGTGGAATTTGCAAGTGGAGATTTCAAGCGCTTTGAGGCCAAAAGCAGAAAAGGAAATATTTTCCTATAAAAACTAGACAGAATATCTTTCTCAGAAACTGCTCTGTGATGTGTGCGTTCAACTCACAGAGTTTAACTTTTCTTTTCATTCAGCAGTTTGGAAACACTCTGTTTGTAAAGTCTGCAAGTGGATATCTTGGCCTCTTAGAGGCCTTCGTTGGAAACGGGTTTTTTCATGTAAGGATAGACAGAGGAATTCCCAGTAACTTCCTTGTGTTGTGTGCATTCAACACACAGAGTTGAATGATTCTTTACAAAGAGCAGATTTGAGACTCTCTTTTGGTGGAATTTGTAAGTGGAGAATTCAGCCGCTTTGAGGTCAACGGTAGAAAAGGAAATATCTTCGTATAAAAACTAGACAGAATGATTCTCAGAAACTGTTTTGTGATGTGTGCGTTCAACTCACAGAGTTTAACCTTTCTTTTCAAAGAGCAGTTAGGAAACACTCTGTTTGTAAAGTCTGCAAGTGGATATTCAGACCTCTTTGAGGCCTTCGTTGGAAACGGGATTTCTTCATATTATGCTAGACAGATGAATTCTCAGTAACTTCCTTGTGTTGTGTGTATTCAACTCACAGAGTTAAACGATCCTTTACACAGAGCAGATTTGAAACACTGTTTTTCTGGAATTTGCAAGTGGAGATTTCAGCCGCTTTGAGGTCAATGGTAGAAAAGGAAATATCTTCGTATAAAAACTAGACAGAATGATTCTCAGAAACTCCTTTGTGATGTGTGCGTTCAACTCACAGAGTTTAACCTTTCTTTTCACAGAGCAGTTAGGAAACACTCTGTTTGTGAAGCCTGCCAGTGGATATTCGGACCTCTTTGAGGCCTTCGTTGGAAACGGGATTTCTTCATATTATGCTAGACAGAAGATTTCTCAGTAACTTCTTTGTGTTGTGTGTATGCAACTCACAGAGTTCAACCTTCCTTTAGACAGAGCAGATTTGAAACACTCTTTTTGTGGAATTTGCAAGTGGAGATTTCAAGCGCTTCGATGCCAATGGTAGAAAAGGAAATATCTTCGTATAAAAACAAGACAAACTCGTTCCCAGACACTGCGTAGTGATGTGTGTGTTTAACTCACAGAGTTTAACCTTTCTTTTCATACAGCATTCTGGAAACCCTGTGTTTGTAAAGTCTGCAAGTGGATATTTGGACCTCTTAGATGCCTTCGTTGGAAACGGGATTTCTTCATATAATGCTAGAGGGAAGAATTCTTAGTAACTTCTTTGTGTTGTGTGTATTCAACTGACAGAGTTGAACCTTCCTTTAGACAGAGCAGATTTGAAAGTCTCTTTTTGTGGAACTTGCAAGTGGAGATTTCAAGCGCTTTGAGGCCAAAAGCAGAAAAGGAAATATTTTCCTATAAAAACTAGACAGAATCTTTCTCAGAAACTGCTCTGGATGTGTGCGTTCAACTCACAGAGTTTAACTTTTCTTTTCATTCAGCAGTTTGGAAACACTCTGTTTGGAAAGTCTGCACGTGGATATTTTGACCTCTTTGAGGCCTTCGTTGGAAACGGGTTTTTTTCATGTAAGGCTAGACAGAAGAAATCTCAGTAACTTCCTTGTGTTGTGTGTATTCAACTGACAGAGTTGAACCTTCCTTTAGACAGAGCAGATTCGAAACACTCTTTTTCTGCAATTTGCAAGTGGAGACTTCAAGCGCTTTGAGGCCAAAGGCAGAAAAGGAAATATCTTCGTATAAAAACCCGACAGAATCATTCTCAGAAACTGCTCTGTGATGTGTGCGTTCAACTCACAGAGTTTAACTTTTCTTTTCATTCAGCAGTTTGGAAACACTCTGTTTGTAAAGTCTGCAAGTGGATATCTTGGCCTCTTAGAGGCCTTCGTTGGAAACGGGTTTTTTCATGTAAGGATAGACAGAGGAATTCCCAGTAACTTCCTTGTGTTGTGTGCATTCAACTCACAGAGTTGAATGATTCTTTACACAGAGCAGATTTGAGACACTCTTTTGGTGGAATTTGTAAGTGGAGAATTCAGCCGCTTTGAGGTCAACGGTAGAAAAGGAAATATCTTCGTATAAAAACTAGACAGAATGATTCTCAGAAACTGTTTTGTGATGTGTGCGTTCAACTCACACAGTTTAACCTTTCTTTTCAGAGAGCAGTTAGGAAACACTCTGTTTGTAAAGTCTGCAAGTGGATATTCAGACCTCTTTGAGGCCTTCGTTGGAAACGGGATTTCTTCATATTATGCTAGACAGATGAATTCTCAGTAACTTCCTTGTGTTGTGTGTATTCAACTCACAGAGTTGAACGATCCTTTACACAGAGCAGATTTGAAACACTGTTTTTCTGGAATTTGCAAGTGGAGATTTCAGCCGCTTTGAGGTCAATGGTAGAAAAGGAAATATCTTCGTATAAAAACTAGACAGAATGATTCTCAGAAACTCCTTTGTGATGTGTGCGTTCAACTCACAGAGTTTAACCTTTCTTTTCACAGAGCAGTTAGGAAACACTCTGTTTGTGAAGCCTGCCAGTGGATATTCGGACCTCTTTGAGGCCTTCGTTGGAAACGGGATTTCTTCATATTATGCTAGACAGAAGATTTCTCAGTAACTTCTTTGTGTTGTGTGTATGCAACTCACAGAGTTCAACCTTCCTTTAGACAGAGCAGATTTGAAACACTCTTTTTGTGGAATTTGCAAGTGGAGATTTCAAGCGCTTCAATGCCAATGGTAGAAAAGGAAATATCTTCGTATAAAAACAAGACAAACTCGTTCCCAGACACTGCGTAGTGATGTGTGTGTTTAACTCACAGAGTTTAACCTTTCTTTTCATACAGCATTCTGGAAACCCTGTGTTTGTAAAGTCTGCAAGTGGATATTTGGACCTCTTAGATGCCTTCATTGGAAACGGGATTTCTTCATATAATGCTAGAGGGAAGAATTCTTAGTAACTTCTTTGTGTTGTGTGTATTCAACTGACAGAGTTGAACCTTCCTTTAGACAGAGCAGATTTGAAAGTCTCTTTTTGTGGAATTTGCAAGTGGAGATTTCAAGCGCTTTGAGGCCAAAAGCAGAAAAGGAAATATTTTCCTATAAAAACTCGACAGAATCTTTCTCAGAAACTGCTCTGGGATGTGTGCGTTCAACTCACAGAGTTTAACTTTTCTTTTCATTCAGCAGTTTGGAAACACTCTGTTTGGAAAGTCTGCACGTGGATATTTTGACCTCTTTGAGGCCTTCGTTGGAAACGGGTTTTTTTCATGTAAGGCTAGACAGAAGAAATCTCAGTAACTTCCTTGTGTTGTGTGTATTCAACTGACAGAGTTGAACCTTCCTTTAGACAGAGCAGATTCGAAACACTCTTTTTCTGCAATTTGCAAGTGGAGACTTCAAGCGCTTTGAGGCCAAAGGCAGAAAAGGAAATATCTTCGTATAAAAACCCGACAGAATCATTCTCAGAAACTGCTCTGTGATGTGTGCGTTCAACTCACAGAGTTTAACTTTTCTTTTCATTCAGCAGTTTGGAAACACTCTGTTTGTAAAGTCTGCAAGTGGATATCTTGGCCTCTTAGAGGCCTTCGTTGGAAGCGGGATTTTTCATGTAAGGATAGACAGAGGAATTCCCAGTAACTTCCTTGTGTTGTATGCATTCAACTCACAGAGTTGAATGATTCTTTACACAGAGCAGATTTGAGACACTCTTTTGGTGGAATTTGTAAGTGGAGAATTCAGCCGCTTTGAGGTCAACGGTAGAAAAGGAAATATCTTCGTATAAAAACTAGAAAGAATGATTCTCAGAAACTGTTTTGTGATGTGTGCTTTCAACTCACAGAGTTTAACCTTTCTTTTCAAAGAGCAGTTAGGAAACACTCTGTTTGTAAAGTCTGCAAGTGGATATTCAGACCTCTTTGAGGCCTTCGTTGGAAACGGGATTTCTTCATATTATGCTAGACAGAGGAATTCCCAGTAACTTCCTTGTGTTGTGTGCATTCAACTCACAGATTTGAATGATTCTTTCCACAGAGCAGATTTGAGACACTCTTTTGTTAGAATTTGTAAGTGGAGAAATCAGCAGCTTTGAGGTCAATGGTAGAAAAGGAAATATCTTCGTATAAAAACTAGACAGAATGATTCTCAGAAACTCCTTTGTGATGTGTGCGTCCAACTCGCAGAGTTTAACCTTTCTTTTCATAGAGCAGTTAGGAAACACTCTGTTTGTGAAGTCTGCCAGTGGATATTCGCACCTATTTAAAGCCTTCGTTGGAAACGGGATTTCTTCATCTTATGCTAGACAGAAGATTTCTCAGTAACTTCTTTGTGTTGTGTGTATGCAACTCACAGAGTTCAACCTTCCTTTAGAAAGAGCAGATTTGAAACACTCTTTTTGTGGAATTTGCAAGTGGAGATTTCAAGCGCTTCGATGCCAATGGTAGAAAAGGAAATATACTTCGTATAAAAACAAGACAAACTCGTTCCCAGACACTGCGTAGTGATGTGTGTGTTTAACTCACAGAGTTTAACCTTTCTTTTCATACAGCATTCTGGAAACCCTCTGTTTGTAAACTCTGCAAGTGGATATTTGGACCTCTTAAATGCCTTCGTTGGAAACGGGATTTCTTCATATAATGCTAGAGGGAAGAATTCTTAGTAACTTCTTTGTGTTGTGTGTATTCAACTGACAGAGTTGAACTTTCCTTTAGACAGAGCAGATTTGAAACTCTCTTTTTGTGGAATTTGCAAGTGGAGATTTCAAGCGCTTTGAGGCCAAAAACAGAAAAGGAAATATTTTCCTATAAAAACTAGACAGAATCATTCTCAGAAACTGCTCAGTGATGTGTGCGTTCAACTCACAGAGTTTAACTTTTCTTTTCATTCAGCAGTTTGGAAACACTCTGTTTGGAAAGTCTGCACGTGGATATTTTGACCTCTTTGAGGCCTTCGTTGGGAACGGGTTTTTTTCATGTAATGCTAGACAGAAGAAATCTCAGTAACTTCCTTGTGTTGTGTGTATTCAACTGCCAGGGTTGAACCTTCCTTTAGACAGAGCAGATTCGAAACACTCTTTTTGTGCAATTTGCAAGTGGAGACTTCAAGCGCTTTGAGGCCAAAGGCAGAAAAGGAAATATCTTCGTATAAAAAACAGACAGAATCATTCTGAGAAACTGCTCTGTGATGTGTGCGTTCAACTCACAGAGTTTAACTTGTCTTTTCATTCAGCAGTTTGGAAACACTCTGTTTGTAAAGTCTGCAAGTGGATATATTGGCCTCTTTGAGGCCTTCGTTGGAAACGGGTTTTTTTCATGTAAGGCTAGACAGAGGAATTCCCAGTAACTTCCTTGTGTTGTGTGCATTCAACTCACAGAGTTGAATGATTCTTTACACAGAGCAGATTTGAGACACTCTTTTGGTGGAATTTGTAAGTGGAGAATTCAGCCGCTTTGAGGTCAATGGTAGAAAACGAAATATCTTCGTATAAAAACTAGACAGAATGATTCTCAGAAACTGTTTTTGATGTGTGCGTTCAACTCACAGAGTTTAACCTTTCTTTTCACAGAGCAGTTAGGAAACACTCTGTTTGTAAAGTCTGCAAGTGGATACTCAGACCTCTTTGAGGCCTTCATTGGAAAAGGGATTTCTTCATATTATGCTAGACAGAAGAAATCTCAGTAACTTCCTTGTGGTGTGTGTATTCAACTCACAGAGTTGAACCATCCTTTACACAGAGCAGATCTGAAACACTCTTTTTGTGGAATTTGCAAGTGGAGATTTCAGCCGCTTTGAGGTCAATGGTAGAAAAAGAAATATCTTCGTATAAAAACTAGACAGAATGATTCTCAGAAACTCCTTTGTGATGTGTGCGTTCAACTCACAGAGTTTAACCTTTCTTTTCACAGAGCAGTTAGGAAACACTCTGTTTGTGAAGCCTGCCAGTGGATATTCGGACCTCTTTGAGGCCTTCGTTGGAAACGGGATTTCTTCATATTATGCTAGACAGAAGATTTCTCAGTAACTTCTTTGTGTTGTGTGTATGCAACTCACAGAGTTCAACCTTCCTTTAGACAGAGCAGATTTGAAACACTCTTTTTGTGGAATTTGCAAGTGGAGATTTCAAACGCTTCGATGCCAATGGTAGAAAAGGAAATATCTTCATACAAAAACAAGACAAACTCGTTCCCAGACACTGCGTAGTGATGTGTGTGTTTAACTCACAGAGTTTAACCTTTCTTTTCATACAGCATTCTGGAAACCCTGTGTTTGTAAAGTCTGCAAGTGGATATTTGGACCTCTTAGATGCCTTCGGTTGGAAACGGGATTTCTTCATATAATGCTAGAGGGAAGAATTCTTAGTAACTTCTTTGTGTTGTGTGTATTCAACTGACAGAGTTGAACCTTCCTTTAGACAGAGCAGATTTGAAAGTCTCTTTTTGTGGAATTTGCAAGTGGAGATTTCAAGCGCTTTGAGGCCAAAAGCAGAAAAGGAAATATTTTCCTATAAAAACTAGACAGAATCTTTCTCAGAAACTGCTCTGGGATGTGTGCGTTCAACTCACAGAGTTTAACTTTTCTTTTCATTCAGCAGTTTGGAAACACTCTGTTTGGAAAGTCTGCACGTGGATATTTTGACCTCTTTGAGGCCTTCGTTGGAAACGGGTTTTTTTCATGTAAGGCTAGACAGAAGAAATCTCAGTAACTTCCTTGTGTTGTGTGTATTCAACTGACAGAGTTGAACCTTCCTTTAGACAGAGCAGATTCGAAACACTCTTTTTCTGCAATTTGCAAGTGGAGACTTCAAGCGCTTTGAGGCCAAAGGCAGAAAAGGAAATATCTTCGTATAAAAACCCGACAGAATCATTCTCAGAAACTGCTCTGTGATGTGTGCGTTCAACTCACAGAGTTTAACTTTTCTTTTCATTCAGCAGTTTGGAAACACTCTGTTTGTAAAGTCTGCAAGTGGATATCTTGGCCTCTTAGAGGCCTTCGTTGGAAACGGGTTTTTTCATGTAAGGTTAGACAGAGGAATTCCCAGTAACTTCCTTGTGTTGTGTGCATTCAACTCACAGAGTTGAATGATTCTTTACACAGAGCAGATTTGAGACACTCTTTTGGTGGAATTTGTAAGTGGAGAATTCAGCCGCTTTGAGGTCAACGGTAGAAAAGGAAATATCTTCGTATAAAAACTAGACAGAATGATTCTCAGAAACTGTTTTGTGATGTGTGCGTTCAACTCACAGAGTTTAACCTTTCTTTTCAAAGAGCAGTTAGGAAACACTCTGTTTGTAAAGTCTGCAAGTGGATATTCAGACCTCTTTGAGGCCTTCGTTGGAAACGGGATTTCTTCATATTATGCTAGACAGAAGAATTCTCAGTAACTTCCTTGTGTTGTGTGCTTTCAACTCACGGAGTTGAACGATCCTTTACACAGAGCAGATTAGAAACACTCTTTTTGTGGAATTTGCAAGTGGAGATTTCAGACACTTTGAGGTCAATGATAGAAAAGGAAATATCTTCGTATAAAAACTAGACAGAATGATTCTCAGAAACTCCTTTGTGATGTGTGCGTTCAACTCACAGAGTTTAACCTTTCTTTTCATAGAGTAGTTAGGAAACACTCTGTTTGTGAAGTCTGCCAGTGGATATTCAGACCTCTTTGAGGCCTTCGTTGGAAACGGGATTTCTTCATATTATGCTAGACAGAAGATTTCTCAGTAACTTCTTTGTGTTGTGTGTATGCAACTCACAGAGTTCAACCTTCCTTTAGACAGAGCAGATTTGAAACACTCTTTTTGTGGAATTTGCAAGTGGAAATTTCAAGCGCATCGATGCCAATGGTAGAAAAGGAAATATCTTCGTATAAAAACATGACAAACTCGTTCCCAGACACTGCGTAGTGATGTGTGTGTTTAACTCACAGAGTTTAACCTTTCTTTTCATACAGCATTCTGGAAACCCTGTGTTTGTAAAGTCTGCAAGTGGATATTTGGACCTCTTAGATGCCTTCGTTGGAAACGGGATTTCTTCATATAATGCTAGAGGGAAGAATTCTTAGTAACTTCTTTGTGTTGTGTGTATTCAACTGACAGAGTTGAACCTTCCTTTAGACAGAGCAGATTTGAAAGTCTCTTTTTGTGGAATTTGCAAGTGGAGATTTCAAGCGCTTTGAGGCCAAAAGCAGAAAAGGAAATATTTTCCTATAAAAACTAGACAGAATCTTTCTCAGAAACTGCTCTGGGATGTGTGCGTTCAACTCACAGAGTTTAACTTTTCTTTTCATTCAGCAGTTTGGAAACACTCTGTTTGGAAAGTCTGCACGTGGATATTTTGACCTCTTTGAGGCCTTCGTTGGAAACGGGTTTTTTTCATGTAAGGCTAGACAGAAGAAATCTCAGTAACTTCCTTGTGTTGTGTGTATTCAACTGACAGAGTTGAACCTTCCTTTAGACAGAGCAGATTCGAAACACTCTTTTTCTGCAATTTGCAAGTGGAGACTTCAAGCGCTTTGAGGCCAAAGGCAGAAAAGGAAATATCTTCGTATAAAAACCCGACAGAATCATTCTCAGAAACTGCTCTGTGATGTGTGCGTTCAACTCACAGAGTTTAACTTTTCTATTCATTCAGCAGTTTGGAAACACTCTGTTTGTAAAGTCTGCAAGTGGATATCTTGGCCTCTTAGAGGCCTTCGGTGGAAACGGGTTTTTTCATGTAAGGTTAGACAGAGGAATTCCCAGTAACTTCCTTGTGTTGTGTGCATTCAACTCACAGAGTTGAATGATTCTTTACACAGAGCAGATTTGAGACACTCTTTTGGTGGAATTTGTAAGTGGAGAATTCAGCCGCTTTGAGGTCAACGGTAGAAAAGGAAATATCTTCGTATAAAAACTAGACAGAATGATTCTCAGAAACTGTTTTGTGATGTGTGCGTTCAACTCACAGAGTTTAACCTTTCTTTTCAGAGAGCAGTTAGGAAACACTCTGTTTGTAAAGTCTGCAAGCGGATATTCAGACCTCTTTGAGGCCTTCGTTGGAAACGGGATTTCTTCATATTATGCTAGACAGATGAATTCTCAGTAACTTCCTTGTGTTGTGTGTATTCAACTCACAGAGTTGAACGATCCTTTACACAGAGCAGATTTGAAACACTGTTTTTCTGGAATTTGCAAGTGGAGATTTCAGCCGCTTTGAGGTCAATGGTAGAAAAGGAAATATCTTCGTATAAAACCTAGACAGAATGATTCTCAGAAACTCCTTTGTGATGTGTGCGTTCAACTCACAGAGTTTAACCTTTCTTTTCACAGAGCAGTTAGGAAACACTCTGTTTGTGAAGCCTGCCAGGGGATATTCGGACCTCTTTGAGGCCTTCGTTGGAAACGGGATTTCTTCATATTATGCTAGACAGAAGATTTCTCAGTAACTTCTTTGTGTTGTGTGTATGCAACTCACAGAGTTCAACCTTCCTTTAGACAGAGCAGATTTGAAACACTCTTTTTGTGGAATTTGCAAGTGGAGATTTCAAGCGCTTCGATGCCAATGGTAGAAAAGGAAATATCTTCGTATAAAAACAAGACAAACTCGTTCCCAGACACTGCGTAGTGATGTGTGTGTTTAACTCACAGAGTTTAACCTTTCTTTTCATACAGCATTCTGGAAACCCTCTGTTTGTAAAGTCTGCAAGTGGATATTTGGACCTCTTAGATGCCTTCGTTGGGAACGGGATTTCTTCATATAATGCTAGAGGGAAGAATTCTTAGTAACTTCTTTGTGTTGTGTGTATTCAACTGACAGAGTTGAACCTTCCTTTAGACAGAGCAGATTTGAAAGTCTCTTTTTGTGGAATTTGCAAGTGGAGATTTCAAGCGCTTTGAGGCCAAAAGCAGAAAAGGAAATATTTTCCTATAAAAACTAGACAGAATCATTCTCAGAAACTGCTCTGTGATGTGTGCGTTCAACTCACAGAGCTTAACTTTTCTTTTCATTCAGCAGTTTGGAAACACTCTGTTTGGAAAGTCTGCACGTGGATATTTTGACCTCTTCGAGGCCTTCGTTGGAAACGGGTTTTTTTCATGTAAGGCTAGACAGAAGAAATCTCAGTAACTTCCTTGTGTTGTGTGTATTCAGTTGACAGGGTTGAACCTTCCTTTAGACAGAGCAGATTCGAAACACTCTTTTTCTGCAATTTGCAAGTGGAGACTTCTAGCGCATTGAGGCCAAAGGCAGAAAAGGAAATATCTTCGTATAAAAACCCGACAGAATCATTCTCAGAAACTGCTCTGTGATGTGTGCGTTCAACTCACAGAGTTTAACTTTTCTTTTCATTCAGCAGTTTGGAAACACTCTGTTTGTAAAGTCTGCAAGTGGATATCTTGGCCTCTTAGAGGCCTTCGTTGGAAACGGGTTTTTTCATGTAAGGTTAGACAGAGGAATTCCCAGTAACTTCCTTGTGTTGTGTGCATTCAACTCACAGAGTTGAATGATTCTTTACACAGAGCAGATTTGAGACACTCTTTTGGTGGAATTTGTAAGTGGAGAATTCAGCTGCTTTGAGGTCAACGGTAGAAAAGGAAATATCTTCTTATAAAAACTAGACAGAATGATTCTCAGAAACTGTTTTGTGATGTGTGCGTTCAACTCACAGAGTTTAACCTTTCTTTTCAAAGAGCAGTTAGGAAACACTCTGTTTGTAAAGTCTGCAAGTGGATATTCAGACCTCTTTGAGGCCTTCGTTGGAAACGGGATTTCTTCATATTATGCTAGACAGATGAATTCTCAGTAACTTCCTTGTGTTGTGTGTATTCAACTCACAGAGTTGAACGATCCTTTACACAGAGCAGATTTGAAACACTGTTTTTCTGGAATTTGCAAGTGGAGATTTCAGCCGCTTTGAGGTCAATGGTAGAAAAGGAAATATCTTCGTATAAAAACTAGACAGAATGATTCTCAGAAACTCCTTTGTGATGTGTGCGTTCAACTCAGAGAGTTTAACCTTTCTTTTCACAGAGCAGTTAGGAAACACTCTGTTTGTGAAGCCTGCCAGTGGATATTCGGACCTCTTTGAGGCCTTCGTTGGAAACGGGATTTCTTCATATTATGCTAGACAGAAGATTTCTCAGTAACTTCTTTGTGTTGTGTGTATGCAACTCACAGAGTTCAACCTTCCTTTAGACAGAGCAGATTTGAAACACTCTTTTTGTGGAATTTGCAAGTGGAGATTTCAAGCGCTTCGATGCCAATGGTAGAAAAGGAAATATCTTCGTATAAAAACAAGACAAACTCGTTCCCAGACACTGCGTAGTGATGTGTGTGTTTAACTCACAGAGTTTCACCTTTCTTTTCATACAGCATTCTGGAAACCCTCTGTTTGTAAAGTCTGCAAGTGGATATTTGGACCTCTTAGATGCCTTCGTTGCAAACGGGATTTCTTCATATAATGCTAGAGGGAAGAATTCTTAGTAACTTCTTTGTGTTGTGTGTATTCAACTGACAGAGTTGAACCTTCCTTTAGACAGAGCAGATTTGAAAGTCTCTTTTTGTGGAATTTGCAAGTGGAGATTTCAAGCGCTTTGAGGCCAAAAGCAGAAAAGGAAATATTTTCCTATAAAAACTCGACAGAATCTTTCTCAGAAACTGCTCTGGGATGTGTGCGTTCAACTCACAGAGTTTAACTTTTCTTTTCATTCAGCAGTTTGGAAACACTCTGTTTGGAAAGTCTGCACGTGGATATTTTGACCTCTTTGAGGCCTTCGTTGGAAACGGGTTTTTTTCATGTAAGGCTAGACAGAAGAAATCTCAGTAACTTCCTTGTGTTGTGTGTATTCAACTGACAGAGTTGAACCTTCCTTTAGACAGAGCAGATTCGAAACACTCTTTTTCTGCAATTTGCAAGTGGAGACTTCAAGCGCTTTGAGGCCAAAGGCAGAAAAGGAAATATCTTCGTATAAAAACCCGACAGAATCATTCTCAGAAACTGCTCTGTGATGTGTGCGTTCAACTCACAGAGTTTAACTTTTCTTTTCATTCAGCAGTTTGGAAACACTCTGTTTGTAAAGTCTGCAAGTGGATATCTTGGCCTCTTAGAGGCCTTCGTTGGAAACGGGTTTTTTCATGTAAGGTTAGACAGAGGAATTCCCAGTAACTTCCTTGTGTTGTGTGCATTCAACTCACAGAGTTGAATGATTCTTTACACAGAGCAGATTTGAGACACTCTTTTGGTGGAATTTGTAAGTGGAGAATTCAGCCGCTTTGAGGTCAACGGTAGAAAAGGAAATATCTTCGTATAAAAACTAGACAGAATGATTCTCAGAAACTCCTTTGTGATGTGTGCGTTCAACTCACAGAGTTTAACCTTTCTTTTCACAGAGCAGTTAGGAAACACTCTGTTTGTGAAGCCTGCCAGTGGATATTCGGACCTCTTTGAGGCCTTCGTTGGAAACGGGATTTCTTCATATTATGCTAGACAGAAGATTTCTCAGTAACTTCTTTGTGTTGTGTGTATGCAACTCACAGAGTTCAACCTTCCTTTAGACAGAGCAGATTTGAAACACTCTTTTTGTGGAATTTGCAAGTGGAGATTTCAAGCGCTTCGATGCCAATGGTAGAAAAGGAAATATCTTCGTATAAAAACAAGACAAACTCGTTCCCAGACACTGCGTAGTGATGTGTGTGTTTAACTCACAGAGTTTCACCTTTCTTTTCATACAGCATTCTGGAAACCCTGTGTTTGTAAAGTCTGCAAGTGGATATTTGGACCTCTTAGATGCCTTCGTTGGAAACGGGATTTCTTCATATAATGCTAGAGGGAAGAATTCTTAGTAACTTCTTTGTGTTGTGTGTATTCAACTGACAGAGTTGAACCTTCCTTTAGACAGAGCAGATTTGAAAGTCTCTTTTTGTGGAATTTGCAAGTGGAGATTTCAAGCGCTTTGAGGCCAAAAGCAGAAAAGGAAATATTTTCCTATAAAAACTCGACAGAATATCTTTCTCAGAAACTGCTCTGGGATGTGTGCGTTCAACTCACAGAGTTTAACTTTTCTTTTCATTCAGCAGTTTGGAAACACTCTGTTTGGAAAGTCTGCACGTGGATATTTTGACCTCTTTGAGGCCTTCGTTGGAAACGGGTTTTTTTCATGTAACGCTAGACAGAAGAAATCTCAGTAACTTCCTTGTGTTATGTGTATTCAACTGACAGAGTTGAACCTTCCTTTAGACAGAGCAGATTCGAAACACTCTTTTTCTGCAATTTGCAAGTGGAGACTTCAAGCGCTTTGAGGCCAAAGGCAGAAAAGGAAATATCTTCGTATAAAAACCCGACAGAATCATTCTCAGAAACTGCTCTGTGATGTGTGCGTTCAACTCACAGAGTTTAACTTTTCTTTTCATTCAGCAGTTTGGAAACACTCTGTTTGTAAAGTCTGCAAGTGGATATCTTGGCCTCTTAGAGGCCTTCGTTGGAAACGGGTTTTTTCATGTAAGGTTAGACAGAGGAATTCCCAGTAACTTCCTTGTGTTGTGTGCATTCAACTCACAGAGTTGAATGATTCTTTACACAGAGCAGATTTGAGACACTCTTTTGGTGGAATTTGTAAGTGGAGAATTCAGCTGCTTTGAGGTCAACGGTAGAAAAGGAAATATCTTCGTATAAAAACTAGACAGAATGATTCTCAGAAACTGTTTTGTGATGTGTGCATTCAACTCACAGAGTTTAACCTTTCTTTTCAAAGAGCAGTTAGGAAACACTCTGTTTGTAAAGTCTGCATGTGGATATTCAGACCTCTTTGAGGCCTTCGTTGGAAACGGGATTTCTTCATATTATGCTAGACAGAATAATTCTCAGTAACTTCCTTGTGTTGTGTGTATTCAACTCACAGAGTTGAACGATCCTTTACACAGAGCAGATTTGAAACACTGTTTTTCTGGAATTTGCAAGTGGAGATTTCAGCTGCTTTGAGGTCAATGGTAGAAAAGGAAATATCTTCGTATAAAAACTAGACAGAATGATTCTCAGAAACTCCTTTGTGATGTGTGCGTTCAACTCACAGAGTTTAACCTTTCTTTTCTCAGAGCAGTTAGGAAACACTCTGTGAAGTCTGCCAGTGGATATTCGGACCTCTTTGAGGCCTTCGTTGGAAACGGGATTTCTTCATATTATGCTAGACAGAAGATTTCTCAGTAACTTCTTTGTGTTGTGTGTATGCAACTCACAGAGTTCAACCTTCCTTTAGACAGAGCAGATTTGAAACACTCTTTTTGTGGAATTTGCAAGTGGAGATTTCAAGCGCTTCGATGCCAATGGTAGAAAAGGAAATATCTTCGTATAAAAACAAGACAAACTCGTTCCCAGACACTGCGTAGTGATGTGTGTGTTTAACTCACAGAGTTTAACCTTTCTTTTCATACAGCATTCTGGAAACCCTCTGTTTGTAAAGTCTGCAAGTGGATATTTGGACCTCTTAGATGCCTTCGTTGGAAACGGGATTTCCTCATATAATGCTAGAGGGAAGAATTCTTAGTAACTTCTTTGTGTTGTGTGTATTCAACTGACAGAGTTGAACCTTCCTTTAGACAGAGCAGATTTGAAAGTCTCTTTTTGTGGAATTTGCAAGTGGAGATTTCAAGCGCTTTGAGGCCAAAAGCAGAAAAGGAAATATTTTCCTATAAAAACTCGACAGAATCTGTCTCAGAAACTGCTCTGGGATGTGTGCGTTCAACTCACAGAGTTTAACTTTTCTTTTCATTCAGCAGTTTGGAAACACTCTGTTTGGAAAGTCTGCACGTGGATATTTTGACCTCTTTGAGGCCTTCGTTGGAAACGGGTTTTTTTCATGTAAGGCTAGACAGAAGAAATCTCAGTAACTTCCTTGTGTTGTGTGTATTCAACTGACAGAGTTGAACCTTCCTTTAGACAGAGCAGATTCGAAACACTCTTTTTCTGCAATTTGCAAGTGGAGACTTCAAGCGCTTTGAGGCCAAAGGCAGAAAAGGATATATCTTCGTATAAAAACCCGACAGAATCATTCTCAGAAACTGCTCTGTGATGTGTGCGTTCAACTCACAGAGTTTAACTTTTCTTTTCATTCAGCAGTTTGGAAACACTCTGTTTGTAAAGTCTGCAAGTGGATATCTTGGCCTCTTAGAGGCCTTCGTTGGAAACGGGTTTTTTCATGTAAGGTTAGACAGAGGAATTCCCAGTAACTTCCTTGTGTTGTGTGCATTCAACTCACAGAGTTGAATGATTCTTTACACAGAGCAGATTTGAGACACTCTTTGGGTGGAATTTGTAAGTGGAGAATTCAGCCGCTTTGAGGTCAACGGTAGAAAAGGAAATATCTTCGTATAAAAACTAGACAGAATGATTCTCAGAAACTGTTTTGTGATGTGTGCGTTCAACTCACAGAGTTTAACCTTTCTTTTCAAAGAGCAGTTAGGAAACACTCTGTAAAGTCTGCAAGTGGATATTCAGACCTGTTTGAGGCCTTCGTTGGAAACGGGATTTCTTCATATAATGCTAGAGGGAAGAATTCTTAGTAACTTCTTTGTGTTGTGTGTATTGAACTGACAGAGTTGAACCTTCCTTTAGACAGAGCAGATTTGAAAGTCTCTTTTTGTGGAATTTGCAAGTGGAGATTTCAAGCACTTTGAGGCCAAAAGCAGAAAAGGAAATATTTTCCTATAAAAACTAGAGAGAATCATTCTCAGAAACTGCTCTGTGATGTGTGTGTTCAACTCACAGAGTTTAACTTTCTTTTCATTCAGCAGTTTGGAAACACTCTGTTTGGAAAGTCTGCACGTGGATATTTTGACCTCTTTGAGGCCTTCGTTGGAAACGGGTTTTTTTCATGTAAGGCTAGACAGAAGAAATCTCAGTAACTTCCTTGTGTTGTGTGTATTCAACTGACAGAGTTGAACCTTCCTTTAGACAGAGCAGATTCGAAACGCTCTTTTTCTGCAATTTGCAAGTGGAGACTTCAAGCGCTTTGAGGCCAAAGGCAGAAAAGGAAATATCTTCGTATAAAAACCCGACAGAATCATTCTCAGAAACTGCTCTGTGATGTGTGCGTTCAACTCACAGAGTTTAACTTTTCTTTTCATTCAGCAGTTTGGAAACACTCTGTTTGTAAAGTCTGCAAGTGGATATCTTGGCCTCTTAGAGGCCTTCGTTGGAAACGGGTTTTTTCATGTAAGGTTAGACAGAGGAATTCCCAGTAACTTCCTTGTGTTGTGTGCATTCAACTCACAGAGTTGAATGATTCTTTACACAGAGCAGATTTGAGACACTCTTTTGGTGGAATTTGTAAGTGGAGAATTCAGCCGCTTTGAGGTCAACGGTAGAAAAGGAAATATCTTCGTATAAAAACTAGACAGAATGATTCTCAGAAACTGTTTTGTGATGTGTGCGTTCAACTCACAGAGTTTAACCTTTCTTTTCAAAGAGCAGTTAGGAAACACTCTGTTTGTAAAGTCTGCAAGTGGATATTCAGACCTCTTTGAGGCCTTCGTTGGAAACGGGATTTCTTCATATTATGCTAGACAGATGAATTCTCAGTAACTTCCTTGTGTTGTGTGTATTCAACTCACAGAGTTGAACGATCCTTTACACAGAGCAGATTTGAAACACTGTTTTTCTGGAATTTGCAAGTGGAGATTTCAGCCGCTTTGAGGTCAATGGTAGAAAAGGAAATATCTTCGTATAAAAACTAGACAGAATGATTCTCAGAAACTCCTTTGTGATGTGTGCGTTCAACTCACAGAGTTTAACCTTTCTTTTCACAGAGCAGTTAGGAAACACTCTGTTTGTGAAGCCTGCCAGTGGATATTCGGACCTCTTTGAGGCCTTCGTTGGAAACGGGATTTCTTCATATTATGCTAGACAGAAGATTTCTCAGTAACTTCTTTGTGTTGTGTGTATGCAAGTCACAGAGTTCAACCTTCCTTTAGACAGAGCAGATTTGAAACACTCTTTTTGTGGAATTTGCAAGTGGAGATTTCAAGCGCTTCGATGCCAATGGTAGAAAAGGAAATATCTTCGTATAAAAACAAGACAAACTCGTTCCCAGACACTGCGTAGTGATGTGTGTGTTTAACTCACAGAGTTTAACCTTTCTTTTCATACAGCATTCTGGAAACCCTGTGTTTGTAAAGTCTGCAAGTGGATATTTGGACCTCTTAGATGCCTTCGTTGGAAACGGGATTTCTTCATATAATGCTAGAGGGAAGAATTCTTAGTAACTTCTTTGTGTTGTGTGTATTCAACTGACAGAGTTGAACCTTTCCTTTAGACAGAGCAGATTTGAAAGTCTCTTTTTGTGGAATTTGCAAGTGGAGATTTCAAGCGCTTTGAGGCCAAAAGCAGAAAAGGAAATATTTTCCTATAAAAACTAGACAGAATCTTTCTCAGAAACTGCTCTGGGATGTGTGCGTTCAACTCACAGAGTTTAACTTTTCTTTTCATTCAGCAGTTTGGAAACACTCTGTTTGGAAAGTCTGCACGTGGATATTTTGACCTCTTTGAGGCCTTCGTTGGAAACGGGTTTTTTTCATGTAAGGCTAGACAGAAGAAATCTCAGTAACTTCCTTGTGTTGTGTGTATTCAACTGACAGAGTTGAACCTTCCTTTAGACAGAGCAGATTCGAAACACTCTTTTTCTGCAATTTGCAAGTGGAGACTTCAAGCGCTTTGAGGCCAAAGGCAGAAAAGGAAATATCTTCGTATAAAAACCCGACAGAATCATTCTCAGAAACTGCTCTGTGATGTGTGCGTTCAACTCACAGAGTTTAACTTTTCTTTTCATTCAGCAGTTTGGAAACACTCTGTTTGTAAAGTCTGCAAGTGGATATCTTGGCCTCTTAGAGGCCTTCGTTGGAAACGGGTTTTTTCATGTAAGGTTAGACAGAGGAATTCCCAGTAACTTCCTTGTGTTGTGTGCATTCAACTCACAGAGTTGAATGATTCTTTACACAGAGCAGATTTGAGACACTCTTTTGGTGGAATTTGTAAGTGGAGAATTCAGCCGCTTTGAGGTCAACGGTAGAAAAGGAAATATCTTCGTATAAAAACTAGACAGAATGATTCTCAGAAACTGTTTTGTGATGTGTGCGTTCAACTCACAGAGTTTAACCTTTCTTTTCAAAGAGCAGTTAGGAAACACTCTGTTTGTAAAGTCTGCAAGTGGATATTCAGACCTCTTTGAAGCCTTCGTTGGAAACGGGATTTCATCATATTATGCTAGACAGATGAATTCTCAGTAACTTCCTTGTGTTGTGTGTATTCAACTCACAGAGTTGAACGATCCTTTACACAGAGCAGATTTGAAACACTGTTTTTCTGGAATTTGCAAGTGGAGATTTCAGCCGCTTTGAGGTCAATGGTAGAAAAGGAAATATCTTCGTATAAAAACTAGACAGAATGATTCTCAGAAACTCCTTTGTGATGTGTGCGTTCAACTCACAGCAGTTTAACCTTTCTTTTCACAGTAGCAGTTAGGAAACACTCTGTTTGTGAATCCTGCCAGTGGATATTCGGACCTCTTTGAGGCCTTCGTTGGAAACGGGATTTCTTCATATTATGCTAGACAGAAGATTTCTCAGTAACTTCTTTGTGTTGTGTGTATGCAACTCACAGAGTTCAACCTTCCTTTAGACAGAGCAGATTTGAAACACTCTTTTTGTGGAATTTGCAAGTGGAGATTTCAAGCGCTTCGATGCCAATGGTAGAAAAGGAAATATCTTCGTATAAAAACAAGACAAACTCGTTCCCAGACACTGCGTAGTGATGTGTGTGTTTAACTCACAGAGTTTAACCTTTCTTTTCATACAGCATTCTGGAAACCCTCTGTTTGTAAAGTCTGCAAGTGGATATTTGGACCTCTTAGATGCCTTCGTTGGAAACGGGATTTCTTCATATAATGCTAGAGGGAAGAATTCTTAGTAACTTCTTTGTGTTGTGTGTATTCAACTGACAGAGTTGAACCTTCCTTTAGACAGAGCAGAGTTGAAAGTCTCTTTTTGTGGAATTTGCAAGTGGAGATTTCAAGCGCTTTGAGGGCAAAAGCAGAAAAGGAAATATTTTCCTATAAAAACTCGACAGAATCTTTCTCAGAAACTGCTCTGGGATGTGTGCGTTCAACTCACAGAGTTTAACTTTTCTTTTCATTCAGCAGTTTGGAAACACTCTGTTTGGAAAGTCTGCACGTGGATATTTTGACCTCTTTGAGGCCTTCGTTGGAAACGGGTTTTTTTCATGTAAGGCTAGACAGAAGAAATCTCAGTAACTTCCTTGTGTTGTGTGTATTCAACTGACAGAGTTGAACCTTCCTTTAGACAGAGCAGATTCGAAACACTCTTTTTCTGCAATTTGCAAGTGGAGACTTCAAGCGCTTTGAGGCCAAAGGCAGAAAAGGAAATATCTTCGTATAAAAACCCGACAGAATCATTCTCAGAAACTGCTCTGTGATGTGTGCGTTCAACTCACAGAGTTTAACTTTTCTTTTCATTCAGCAGTTTGGAAACACTCTGTTTGTAAAGTCTGCAAGTGGATATCTTGGCCTCTTAGAGGCCTTCGTTGGAAACGGGTTTTTTCATGTAAGGTTAGACAGAGGAATTCCCAGTAACTTCCTTGTGTTGTGTGCATTCAACTCACAGAGTTGAATGATTCTTTACACAGAGCAGATTTGAGACACTCTTTTGGTGGAATTTGTTAGTGGAGAATTCAGCCGCTTTGAGGTCAGCGGTAGAAAAGGAAATATCTTCGTATAAAAACTAGACAGAATGATTCTCAGAAACTGTTTTGTGATGTGTGCGTTCAACTCACAGAGTTTAACCTTTCTTTTCAAAGAGCAGTTAGGAAACACTCTGTTTGTAAAGTCTGCAAGTGGATATTCAGACCTCTTTGAGGCCTTCGTTGGAAACGGGATTTCTTCATATTATGCTAGACAGATGAATTCTCAGTAACTTCCTTGTGTTGTGTGTATTCAACTCACAGAGTTGAACGATCCTTTACACAGAGCAGATTTGAAACACTGTTTTTCTGGAATTTGCAAGTGGAGATTTCAGCCGCTTTGAGGTCAATGGTAGAAAAGGAAATATCTTCGTATAAAAACTAGACAGAATGATTCTCAGAAACTCCTTTGTGATGTGTGCGTTCAACTCACAGAGTTTAACCTTTCTTTTCACAGAGCAGTTAGGAAACACTCTGTTTGTGAAGCCTGCCAGTGGATATTCGGACCTCTTTGAGGCCTTCGTTGGAAACGGGATTTCTTCATATTATGCTAGACAGAAGATTTCTCAGTAACTTCTTTGTGTTGTGTGTATGCAACTCACAGAGTTCAACCTTCCTTTAGACAGAGCAGATTTGAAACACTCTTTTTGTGGAATTTGCAAGTGGAGATTTCAAGCGCTTCGATGCCAATGGTAGAAAAGGAAATATCTTCGTATAAAAACAAGACAAACTCGTTCCCAGACACTGCGTAGTGATATGTGTGTTTAACTCACAGAGTTTCACCTTTCTTTTCATACAGCATTCTGGAAACCCTGTGTTTGTAAAGTCTGCAAGTGGATATTTGGACCTCTTAGATGCCTTCGTTGGAAACGGGATTTCTTCATATAATGCTAGAGGGAAGAATTCTTAGTAACTTCTTTGTGTTGTGTGTATTCAACTGACAGCAGTTGAACCTTCCTTTAGACAGAGCAGATTTGAAAGTCTCTTTTTGTGGAATTTGCAAGTGGAGATTTCAAGCGCTTTGAGGCCAAAAGCAGAAAAGGAAATATTTTCCTATAAAAACTCGACAGAATCTTTCTCAGAAACTGCTCTGGGATGTGTGCGTTCAACTCACAGAGTTTAACTTTTCTTTTCATTCAGCAGTTTGGAAACACTCTGTTTGGAAAGTCTGCACGTGGATATTTTGACCTCTTTGAGGCCTTCGTTGGAAACGGGTTTTTTTCATGTAAGGCTAGACAGAAGAAATCTCAGTAACTTCCTTGTGTTGTGTGTATTCAACTGACAGAGTTGAACCTTCCTTTAGACAGAGCAGATTCGAAACACTCTTTTTCTGCAATTTGCAAGTGGAGACTTCAAGCGCTTTGAGGCCAAAGGCAGAAAAGGAAATATCTTCGTATAAAAACCCGACAGAATCATTCTCAGAAACTGCTCTGTGATGTGTGCGTTCAACTCACAGAGTTTAACTTTTCTTTTCATTCAGCAGTTTGGAAACACTCTGTTTGTAAAGTCTGCAAGTGGATATCTTGGCCTCTTAGAGGCCTTCGTTGGAAACGGGTTTTTTCATGTAAGGATAGACAGAGGAATTCCCAGTAACTTCCTTGTGTTGTGTGCATTCAACTCACAGAGTTGAATGATTCTTTACACAGAGCAGATTTGAGACACTCTTTTGGTGGAATTTGTAAGTGGAGAATTCAGCCGCTTTGAGGTCAACGGTAGAAAAGGAAATATCTTCGTATAAAAACTAGACAGAATGATTCTCAGAAACTGTTTTGTGATGTGTGCGTTCAACTCACAGAGTTTAACCTTTCTTTTCAGAGAGCAGTTAGGAAACACTCTGTTTGTAAAGTCTGCAAGTGGATATTCAGACCTCTTTGAGGCCTTCGTTGGAAACGGGATTTCTTCATATTATGCTAGACAGATGAATTCTCAGTAACTTCCTTGTGTTGTGTGTATTCAACTCACAGAGTTGAACGATCCTTTACACAGAGCAGATTTGAAACACTGTTTTTCTGGAATTTGCAAGTGGAGATTTCAGCCGATTTGAGGTCAATGGTTGAAAAGGAAATATCTTCGTATAAAAACTAGACAGAATGATTCTCAGAAACTCCTTTGTGATGTGTGCGTTCAACTCACAGAGTTTAACCTTTCTTTTCACAGAGCAGTTAGGAAACACTCTGTTTGTGGAGCCTGCCAGTGGATATTCGGACCTCTTTGAGGCCTTCGTTGGAAACGGGATTTCTTCATATTATGCTAGACAGAAGATTTCTCAGTAACTTCTTTGTGTTGTGTGTATGCAACTCACAGAGTTCAACCTTCCTTTAGACAGAGCAGATTTGAAACACTCTTTTTGTGGAATTTGCAAGTGGAGATTTCAAGCGCTTCGATGCCAATGGTAGAAAAGGAAATATCTTCGTATAAAAACAAGACAAACTCGTTCCCAGACACTGCGTAGTGATGTGTGTGTTTAACTCACAGAGTTTCACCTTTCTTTTCATACAGCATTCTGGAAACCCTGTGTTTGTAAAGTCTGCAAGTGGATATTTGGACCTCTTAGATGCCTTCGTTGGAAACGGGATTTCTTCATATAATGCTAGAGGGAAGAATTCTTAGTAACTTCTTTGTGTTGTGTGTATTCAACTGACAGAGTTGAACCTTCCTTTAGACAGAGCAGATTTGAAAGTCTCTTTTTGTGGAATTTGCAAGTGGAGATTTCAAGCGCTTTGAGGCCAAAAGCAGAAAAGGAAATATTTTCCTATAAAAACTCGACAGAATCTTTCTCAGAAACTGCTCTGGGATGTGTGCGTTCAACTCACAGAGTTTAACTTTTCATTCAGCAGTTTGGAAACACTCTGTTTGGAAAGTCTGCACGTGGATATTTTGACCTCTTTGAGGCCTTCGTTGGAAACGGGTTTTTTTCATGTAAGGCTAGACAGAAGAAATCTCAGTAACTTCCTTGTGTTGTGTGTATTCAACTGACAGAGTTGAACCTTCCTTTAGACAGAGCAGATTCGAAACACTCTTTTTCTGCAATTTGCAAGTGGAGACTTCAAGCGCTTTGAGGCCAAAGGCAGAAAAGGAAATATCTTCGTATAAAAACCCGACAGAATCATTCTCAGAAACTGCTCTGTGATGTGTGCGTTCAACTCACAGAGTTTAACTTTTCTTTTCATTCAGCAGTTTGGAAACACTCTGTTTGTAAAGTCTGCAAGTGGATATCTTGGCCTCTTAGAGGCCTTCGTTGGAAACGGGTTTTTTCATGTAAGGTTAGACAGAGGAATTCCCAGTAACTTCCTTGTGTTGTGTGCATTCAACTCACAGAGTTGAATGATTCTTTACACAGAGCAGATTTGAGACACTCTTTTGGTGGAATTTGTAAGTGGAGAATTCAGCCGCTTTGAGGTCAACGGTAGAAAAGGAAATATCTTCGTATAAAAACTAGACAGAATGATTCTCAGAAACTGTTTTGTGATGTGTGCGTTCAACTCACAGAGTTTAACCTTTCTTTTCAAAGAGCAGTTAGGAAACACTCTGTTTGTAAAGTCTGCAAGTGGATATTCAGACCTCTTTGAGGCCTTCGTTGGAAACGGGATTTCTTCATATTATGCTAGACAGATGAATTCTCAGTAACTTCCTTGTGTTGTGTGTATTCAACTCACAGAGTTGAACGATCCTTTACACAGAGCAGATTTGAAACACTGTTTTTCTGGAATTTGCAAGTGGAGATTTCAGCCGCTTTGAGGTCAATGGTAGAAAAGGAAATATCTTCGTATAAAAACTAGACAGAATGATTCTCAGAAACTCCTTTGTGATGTGTGCGTTCAACTCACAGAGTTTAACCTTTCTTTTCACAGAGCAGTTAGGAAACACTCTGTTTGTGAAGCCTGCCAGTGGATATTCGGACCTCTTTGAGGCCTTCGTTGGAAACGGGATTTCTTCATATTATGCTAGACAGAAGATTTCTCAGTAACTTCTTTGTGTTGTGTGTATGCAACTCACAGAGTTCAACCTTCCTTTAGACAGAGCAGATTTGAAACACTCTTTTTGTGGAATTTGCAAGTGGAGATTTCAAGCGCTTCGATGCCAATGGTAGAAAAGGAAATATCTTCGTATAAAAACAAGACAAACTCGTTCCCAGACACTGCGTAGTGATGTGTGTGTTTAACTCACAGAGTTTCACCTTTCTTTTCATACAGCATTCTGGAAACCCTGTGTTTGTAAAGTCTGCAAGTGGATATTTGGACCTCTTAGATGCCTTCGTTGGAAACGGGATTTCTTCATATAATGCTAGAGGGAAGAATTCTTAGTAACTTCTTTGTGTTGTGTGTATTCAACTGACAGAGTTGAACCTTCCTTTAGACAGAGCAGATTTGAAAGTCTCTTTTTGTGGAATTTGCAAGTGGAGATTTCAAGCGCTTTGAGGCCAAAAGCAGAAAAGGAAATATTTTCCTATAAAAACTCGACAGAATCTTTCTCAGAAAACTGCTCTGGGATGTGTGCGTTCAACTCACAGAGTTTAACTTTTCTTTTCATTCAGCAGTTTGGAAACACTCTGTTTGGAAAGTCTGCACGTGGATATTTTGACCTCTTTGAGGCCTTCGTTGGAAACGGGTTTTTTTCATGTAAGGCTAGACAGAAGAAATCTCAGTAACTTCCTTGTGTTGTGTGTATTCAACTGACAGAGTTGAACCTTCCTTTAGACAGAGCAGATTCGAAACACTCTTTTTCTGCAATTTGCAAGTGGAGACTTCAAGCGCTTTGAGGCCAAAGGCAGAAAAGGAAATATCTTCGTATAAAAACCCGACAGAATCATTCTCAGAAACTGGTCTGTGATGTGTGCGTTCAACTCACAGAGTTTAACTTTTCTTTTCATTCAGCAGTTTGGAAACACTCTGTTTGTAAAGTCTGCAAGTGGATATCTTGGCCTCTTAGAGGCCTTCGTTGGAAACGGGTTTTTTCATGTAAGGATAGACAGAGGAATTCCCAGTAACTTCCTTGTGTTGTGTGCATTCAACTCACAGAGTTGAATGATTCTTTACACAGAGCAGATTTGAGACACTCTTTTGGTGGAATTTGTAAGTGGAGAATTCAGCCGCTTTGAGGTCAACGGTAGAAAAGGAAATATCTTCGTATAAAAACTAGACAGAATGATTCTCAGAAACTGTTTTGTGATGTGTGCGTTCAACTCACAGAGTTTAACCTTTCTTTTCAAAGAGCAGTTAGGAAGCACTCTGTTTGTAAAGTCTGCAAGTGGATATTCAGACCTCTTTGAGGCCTTCGTTGGAAACGGGATTTCTTCATATTATGCTAGACAGATGAATTCTCAGTAACTTCCTTGTGTTGTGTGTATTCAACTCACAGAGTTGAACGATCCTTTACACAGAGCAGATTTGAAACACTGTTTTTCTGGAATTTGCAAGTGGAGATTTCAGCCGCTTTGAGGTCAATGGTAGAAAAGGAAATATCTTCGTATAAAAACTAGACAGAATGATTCTCAGAAACTCCTTTGTGATGTGTGCGTTCAACTCACAGAGTTTAACCTTTCTTTTCACAGAGCAGTTAGGAAACACTCTGTTTGTGAAGCCTGCCAGTGGATATTCGGACCTCTTTGAGGCCTTCGTTGGAAACGGGATTTCTTCATATTATGCTAGACAGAAGATTTCTCAGTAACTTCTTTGTGTTGTGTGTATGCAACTCACAGAGTTCAACCTTCCTTTAGACAGAGCAGATTTGAAACACTCTTTTTGTGGAATTTGCAAGTGGAGATTTCAAGCGCTTCGATGCCAATGGTAGAAAAGGAAATATCTTCGTATAAAAACAAGACAAACTCGTTCCCAGACACTGCGTAGTGATGTGTGTGTTTAACTCACAGTAGTTTCACCTTTCTTTTCATACAGCATTCTGGAAACCCTGTGTTTGTAAAGTCTGCAAGTGGATATTTGGACCTCTTAGATGCCTTCGTTGGAAACGGGATTTCTTCATATAATGCTAGAGGGAAGAATTCTTAGTAACTTCTTTGTGTTGTGTGTATTCAACTGACAGAGTTGAACCTTCCTTTAGACAGAGCAGATTTGAAAGTCTCTTTTTGTGGAATTTGCAAGTGGAGATTTCAAGCGCTTTGAGGCCGAAAGCAGAAAAGGAAATATTTTCCTATAAAAACTCGACAGAATCTTTCTCAGAAACTGCTCTGGGATGTGTGCGTTCAACTCACAGAGTTTAACTTTTCTTTTCATTCAGCAGTTTGGAAACACTCTGTTTGGAAAGTCTGCACGTGGATATTTTGACCTCTTTGAGGCCTTCGTTGGAAACGGGTTTTTTTCATGTAAGGCTAGACAGAAGAAATCTCAGTAACTTCCTTGTGTTGTGTGTATTCAACTGACAGAGTTGAACCTTCCTTTAGACAGAGCAGATTCGAAACACTCTTTTTCTGCAATTTGCAAGTGGAGACTTCAAGCGCTTTGAGGCCAAAGGCAGAAAAGGAAATATCTTCGTATAAAAACCCGACAGAATCATTCTCAGAAACTGCTCTGTGATGTGTGCGTTCAACTCACAGAGTTTAACTTTTCTTTTCATTCAGCAGTTTGGAAACACTCTGTTTGTAAAGTCTGCAAGTGGATATCTTGGCCTCTTAGAGGCCTTCGTTGGAAACGGGTTTTTTCATGTAAGGATAGACAGAGGAATTCCCAGTAACTTCCTTGTGTTGTGTGCATTCAACTCACAGAGTTGAATGATTCTTTACACAGAGCAGATTTGAGACACTCTTTGGGTGGAATTTGTAAGTGGAGAATTCAGCCGCTTTGAGGTCAACGGTAGAAAAGGAAATATCTTCGTATAAAATCTAGACAGAATGATTCTCAGAAACTGTTTTTTGATGTGTGCGTTCAACTCACAGAGTTTAACCTTTCTTTTCAGAGAGCAGTTAGGAAACACTCTGTTTGTAAAGTCTGCAAGTGGATATTCAGACCTCTTTGAGGCCTTCGTTGGAAACGGGATTTCTTCATATTATGCTAGACAGATGAATTCTCAGTAACTTCCTTGTGTTGTGTGTATTCAACTCACAGAGTTGAACGATCCTTTACACAGAGCAGATTTGAAACACTGTTTTTCTGGAATTTGCAAGTGGAGATTTCAGCCGCTTTGAGGTCAATGGTAGAAAAGGAAATATCTTCGTATAAAAACTAGACAGAATGATTCTCAGAAACTCCTTTGTGATGTGTGCGTTCAACTCACAGAGTTTAACCTTTCTTTTCACAGAGCAGTTAGGAAACACTCTGTTTGTGAAGCCTGCCAGTGGATAATCGGACCTCTTTGAGGCCTTCGTTGGAAACGGGATTTCTTCATATTATGCTAGACAGAAGATTTCTCAGTAACTTCTTTGTGTTGTGTGTATGCAACTCACAGAGTTCAACCTTCCTTTAGAGAGAGCATATTTGAAACACTCTTTTTGTGGAATTTGCAAGTGGAGATTTCAAGCGCTTCGATGCCAATGGTAGAAAAGGAAATATCTTCGTATAAAAACAAGACAAACTCGTTCCCAGACACTGCGTAGTGATGTGTGTGTTTAACTCACAGAGTTTAACCTTTCTTTTCATACAGCATTTTGGAAACCCTGTGTTTGTAAAGTCTGCAAGTGGATATTTGGACCTCTTAGATGCCTTCGTTGGAAACGGGATTTCTTCATATAATGCTAGAGGGAAGAATTCTTAGTAACTTCTTTGTGTTGTGTGTATTCAACTGACAGAGTTGAACCTTCCTTTAGACAGAGCAGATTTGAAAGTCTCTTTCTGTGGAATTTGCAAGTGGAGATTTCAAGCGCTTTGAGGCCAAAAGCAGAAAAGGAAATATTTTCCTATAAAAACTCGACAGAATCTTTCTCAGAAACTGCTCTGGGATGTGTGCGTTCAACTCACAGAGTTTAACTTTACTTTTCATTCAGCAGTTTGGAAACACTCTGTTTGGAAAGTCTGCACGTGGATATTTTGACCTCTTTGAGGCCTTCGTTGGAAACGGGTTTTTTTCATGTAAGGCTAGACAGAAGAAATCTCAGTAACTTCCTTGTGTTGTGTGTATTCAACTGACAGAGTTGAACCTTCCTTTAGACAGAGCAGATTCGAAACACTCTTTTTCTGCAATTTGCAAGTGGAAACTTCAAGCGCTTTGAGGCCAAAGGCAGAAAAGGAAATATCTTCGTATAAAAACCCGACAGAATCACTCTCAGAAACTGCTCTGTGATGTGTGCGTTCAACTCACAGAGTTTAACTTTTCTTTTCATTCAGCAGTTTGGAAACACTCTGTTTGTAAAGTCTGCAAGTGGATATCTTGGCCTCTTAGAGGCCTTCGTTGGAAACGGGTTTTTTCATGTAAGGTTAGACAGAGGAATTCCCAGTAACTTCCTTGTGTTGTGTGCATTCAACTCACAGAGTTGAATGATTCTTTACACAGAGCAGATTTGAGACACTCTTTTGGTGGAATTTGTAAGTGGAGAATTCAGCCGCTTTGAGGTCAACGGTAGAAAAGGAAATATCTTCGTATAAAAACTAGACAGAATGATTCTCAGAAACTGTTTTGTGATGTGTGAGTTCAACTCACAGAGTTTAACCTTTCTTTTCAAAGAGCAGTTAGGAAACACTCTGTTTGTAAAGTCTGCAAGTGGATATTCAGACCTCTTTGAGGCCTTCGTTGGAAACGGGATGTCTTCATATTATGCTAGACAGATGAATTCTCAGTAACTTCCTTGTGTTGTGTGTATTCAACTCACAGAGTTGAACGATCCTTTACACAGAGCAGATTTGAAACACTGTTTTTCTGGAATTTGCAAGTGGAGATTTCAGCCGCTTTGAGGTCAATGGTAGAAAAGGAAATATCTTCGTATAAAAACTAGACAGAATGATTCTCAGAAACTCCTTTGTGATGTGTGCGTTCAACTCACAGAGTTTAACCTTTCTTTTCACAGAGCAGTTAGGAAACACTCTGTTTGTGAAGCCTGCCAGTGGATAATCGGACCTCTTTGAGGCCTTCGTTGGAAACGGGATTTCTTCATATTATGCTAGACAGAAGATTTCTCAGTAACTTCTTTGTGTTGTGTGTATGCAACTCACAGAGTTCAACCTTCCTTTAGAGAGAGCATATTTGAAACACTCTTTTTGTGGAATTTGCAAGTGGAGATTTCAAGCGCTTCGATGCCAATGGTAGAAAAGGAAATATCTTCGTATAAAAACAAGACAAACTCGTTCCCAGACACTGCGTAGTGATGTGTGTGTTTAACTCACAGAGTTTAACCTTTCTTTTCATACAGCATTCTGGAAACCCTGTGTTTGTAAAGTCTGCAAGTGGATATTTGGACCTCTTAGATGCCTTCGTTGGAAACGGGATTTCTTCATATAATGCTAGAGGGAAGAATTCTTAGTAACTTCTTTGTGTTGTGTGTATTCAACTGACAGAGTTGAACCTTCCTTTAGACAGAGCAGATTTGAAAGTCTCTTTTTGTGGAATTTGCAAGTGGAGATTTCAAGCGCTTTGAGGCCAAAAGCAGAAAAGGAAATATTTTCCTATAAAAACTCGACAGAATCGTTCTCAGAAACTGCTCTGGGATGTGTGCGTTCAACTCACAGAGTTTAACTTTTCTTTTCATTCAGCAGTTTGGAAACACTCTGTTTGGAAAGTCTGCACGTGGATATTTTGACCTCTTTGAGGCCTTCGTTGGAAACGGGTTTTTTTCATGTAAGGCTAGACAGAAGAAATCTCAGTAAATTCCCTTGTGTTGTGTGTATTCAACTGACAGAGTTGAACCTTCCTTTAGACAGAGCAGATTCGAAACACTCTTTTTCTGCAATTTGCAAGTGGAGACTTCAAGCGCTTTGAGGCCAAAGGCAGAAAAGGAAATATCTTCGTATAAAAACCCGACAGAATCATTCTCAGAAACTGCTCTGTGATGTGTGCGTTCAACTCACAGAGTTTAACTTTTCTTTTCATTCAGCAGTTTGGAAACACTCTGTTTGTAAAGTCTGCAAGTGGATATCTTGGCCTCTTAGAGGCCTTCGTTGGAAACGGGTTTTTTCATGTAAGGATAGACAGAGGAATTCCCAGTAACTTCCTTGTGTTGTGTGCATTCAACTCACAGAGTTGAATGATTCTTTACACAGAGCAGATTTGAGACACTCTTTGGGTGGAATTTGTAAGTGGAGAATTCAGCCGCTTTGAGGTCAACGGTAGAAAAGGAAATATCTTCGTATAAAAACTAGACAGAATGATTCTCAGAAACTGTTTTGTGATGTGTGCGTTCAACTCACAGAGTTTAACCTTTCTTTTCAGAGAGCAGTTAGGAAACACTCTGTTTGTAAAGTCTGCAAGCGGATATTCAGACCTCTTTGAGGCCTTCGTTGGAAACGGGATTTCTTCATATTATGCTAGACAGATGAATTCTCAGTAACTTCCTTGTGTTGTGTGTATTCAACTCACAGAGTTGAACGATCCTTTACACAGAGCAGATTTGAAACACTGTTTTTCTGGAATTTGCAAGTGGAGATTTCAGCCGCTTTGAGGTCAATGGTAGAAAAGGAAATATCTTCGTATAAAACCTAGACAGAATGATTCTCAGAAACTCCTTTGTGATGTGTGCGTTCAACTCACAGAGTTTAACCTTTCTTTTCACAGAGCAGTTAGGAAACACTCTGTTTGTGAAGCCTGCCAGGGGATATTCGGACCTCTTTGAGGCCTTCGTTGGAAACGGGATTTCTTCATATTATGCTAGACAGAAGATTTCTCAGTAACTTCTTTGTGTTGTGTGTATGCAACTCACAGAGTTCAACCTTCCTTTAGACAGAGCAGATTTGAAACACTGTTTTTGTGGAATTTGCAAGTGGAGATTTCAAGCGCTTCGATGCCAATGGTAGAAAAGGAAATATCTTCGTATAAAAACAAGACAAACTCGTTCCCAGACACTGCGTAGTGATGTGTGTGTTTAACTCACAGAGTTTAACCTTTCTTTTCATACAGCATTCTGGAAACCCTGTGTTTGTAAAGTCTGCAAGTGGATATTTGGACCTCTTAGATGCCTTCGTTGGAAACGGGATTTCTTCATATAATGCTAGAGGGAAGAATTCTTAGTAACTTCTTTGTGTTGTGTGTATTCAACTGACAGAGTTGAACCTTCCTTTAGACAGAGCAGATTTGAAAGTCTCTTTTTGTGGAATTTGCAAGTGGAGATTTCAAGCGCTTTGAGGCCAAAAGCAGAAAAGGAAATATTTTCCTATAAAAACTAGACAGAATCATTCTCAGAAACTGCTCTGTGATGTGTGCGTTCAACTCACACAGTTTAACTTTTCTTTTCATTCAGCAGTTTGGAAACACTCTGTTTGGAAAGTCTGCACGTGGATATTTTGACCTCTTTGAGGCCTTCGTTGGAAACGGGTTTTGTCATGTAAGGCTAGACAGAAGAAATCTCAGTAACTTCCTTGTGTTGTGTGTATTCAACTGACAGAGTTGAACCTTCCTTTAGACAGAGCAGATTCGAAACACTCTTTTTCTGCAATTTGCAAGTGGAGACTTCAAGCGCTTTGAGGCCAAAGGCAGAAAAGGAAATATCTTCGTATAAAAACCCGACAGAATCATTCTCAGAAACTGCTCTGTGATGTGTGCGTTCAACTCACAGAGTTTAACTTTTCTTTTCATTCAGCAGTTTGGAAACACTCTGTTTGTAAAGTCTGCAAGTGGATATCTTGGCCTCTTAGAGGCCTTCGTTGGAAACGGGTTTTTTCATGTAAGGTTAGACAGAGGAATTCCCAGTAACTTCCTTGTGTTGTGTGCATTCAACTCACAGAGTTGAATGATTCTTTACACAGAGCAGATTTGAGACACTCTTTTGGTGGAATTTGTAAGTGGAGAATTCAGCCGCTTTGAGGTCAACGGTAGAAAAGGAAATATCTTCGTATAAAAACTAGACAGAATGATTCTCAGAAACTGTTTTGTGATGTGTGCGTTCAACTCACAGAGTTTAACCTTTCTTTTCAAAGAGCAGTTAGGAAACACTCTGTAAAGTCTGCAAGTGGATATTCAGACCTCTTTGAGGCCTTCGTTGGAAACGGGATTTCTTCATATAATGCTAGAGGGAAGAATTCTTAGTAACTTCTTTGTGTTGTGTGTATTCAACTGACAGAGTTGAACCTTCCTTTAGACAGAGCAGATTTGAAAGTCTCTTTTTGTGGAATTTGCAAGTGGAGATTTCAAGCGCTTTGAGGCCAAAAGCAGAAAAGGAAATATTTTCCTATAAAAACTAGACAGAATCATTCTCAGAAACTGCTCTGTGATGTGTGTGTTCAACTCACAGAGTTTAACTTTCTTTTCATTCAGCAGTTTGGAAACACTCTGTTTGGAAAGTCTGCACGTGGATATTTTGACCTCTTTGAGGCCTTCGTTGGAAACGGGTTTTTTTCATGTAAGGCTAGACAGAAGAAATCTCAGTAACTTCCCTTGTGTTGTGTGTATTCAACTGACAGAGTTGAACCTTCCTTTAGACAGAGCAGATTCGAAACGCTCTTTTTCTGCAATTTGCAAGTGGAGACTTCAAGCGCTTTGAGGCCAAAGGCAGAAAAGGAAATATCTTCGTATAAAAACCCGACAGAATCATTCTCAGAAACTGCTCTGTGATGTGTGCGTTCAACTCACAGAGTTTAACTTTTCTTTTCATTCAGCAGTTTGGAAACACTCTGTTTGTAAAGTCTGCAAGTGGATATCTTGGCCTCTTAGAGGCCTTCGTTGGAAACGGGTTTTTTTCATGTAAGGCTAGACAGAAGAAATCTCAGTAACTTCCTTGTGTTGTGTGTATTCAACTGACAGAGTTGAACCTTCCTTTAGACAGAGCAGATTCGAAACGCTCTTTTTCTGCAATTTGCAAGTGGAGACTTCAAGCGCTTTGAGGCCAAAGGCAGAAAAGGAAATATCTTCGTATAAAAACCCGACAGAATCATTCTCAGAAACTGCTCTGTGATGTGTGCGTTCAACTCACAGAGTTTAACTTTTCTTTTCATTCAGCAGTTTGGAAACACTCTGTTTGTAAAGTCTGCAAGTGGATATCTTGGACTCTTAGAGGCCTTCGTTGGAAACGCGTTTTTTCATGTAAGGTTAGACAGAGGAATTCCCAGTAACTTCCTTGTGTTGTGTGCATTCAACTCACAGAGTTGAATGATTCTTTACACAGAGCAGATTTGAGACACACTTTTGGTGGAATTTGTAAGTGGAGAATTCAGCCGCTTTGAGGTCAACGGTAGAAAAGGAAATATCTTCGTATAAAAACTAGAAAGAATGATTCTCAGAAACTGTTTTGTGATGTGTGCGTTCAACTCACAGAGTTTAACCTTTCTTTTCAAAGAGCAGTTAGGAAACACTCTGTTTGTAAAGTCTGCAAGTGGATATTCAGACCTCTTTGAAGCCTTCGTTGGAAACGGGATTTCATCATATTATGCTAGACAGATGAATTCTCAGTAACTTCCTTGTGTTGTGTGTATTCAACTCACAGAGTTGAACGATCCTTTACACAGAGCAGATTTGAAACACTGTTTTTCTGGAATTTGCAAGTGGAGATTTCAGCCGCTTTGAGGTCAATGGTAGAAAAGGAAATATCTTCGTATAAAAACTGGACAGAATGATTCTCAGAAACTCCTTTGTGATGTGTGCGTTCAACTCACAGAGTTTAACCTTTCTTTTCACAGAGCAGTTAGGAAACACTCTGTTTGTGAAGCCTGCCAGTGGATATTCGGACCTCTTTGAGGCCTTCGTTGGAAACGGGATTTCTTCATATTATGCTAGACAGAAGATTTCTCAGTAACTTCTTTGTGTTGTGTGTATGCAACTCACAGAGTTCAACCTTCCTTTAGACAGAGCAGATTTGAAACACTCTTTTTGTGGAATTTGCAAGTGGAGATTTCAAGCGCTTCGATGCCAATGGTAGAAAAGGAAATATCTTCGTATAAAAACAAGACAAACTCGTTCCCAGACACTGCGTAGTGATGTGTGTGTTTAACTCACAGAGTTTAACCTTTCTTTTCATACAGCATTCTGGAAACCCTCTGTTTGTAAAGTCTGCAAGTGGATATTTGGACCTCTTAGATGCCTTCGTTGGAAACGGGATTTCTTCATATAATGCTAGAGGGAAGAATTCTTAGTAACTTCTTTGTGTTGTGTGTATTCAACTGACAGAGTTGAACCTTCCTTTAGACAGAGCAGATTTGAAAGTCTCTTTTTGTGGAATTTGCAAGTGGAGATTTCAAGCGCTTTGAGGCCAAAAGCAGAAAAGGAAATATTTTCCTATAAAAACTAGACAGAATCTTTCTCAGAAACTGCTCTGGGATGTGTGCGTTCAACTCACAGAGTTTAACTTTTCTTTTCATTCAGCAGTTTGGAAACACTCTGTTTGGAAAGTCTGCACGTGGATATTTTGACCTCTTTGAGGCCTTCGTTGGAAACGGGTTTTTTTCATGTAAGGCTAGACAGAAGAAATCTCAGTAACTTCCTTGTGTTGTGTGTATTCAACTGACAGAGTTGAACCTTCCTTTAGACAGAGCAGATTCGAAACACTCTTTTTCTGCAATTTGCAAGTGGAGACTTCAAGCGCTTTGAGGCCAAAGGCAGAAAAGGAAATATCTTCGTATAAAAACCCGACAGAATCATTCTCAGAAACTGCTCTGTGATGTGTGCGTTCAACTCACAGAGTTTAACTTTTCTTTTCATTCAGCAGTTTGGAAACACTCTGTTTGTAAAGTCTGCAAGTGGATATCTTGGCCTCTTAGAGGCCTTCGTTGGAAACGGGTTTTTTCATGTAAGGATAGACAGAGGAATTCCCAGTAACTTCCTTGTGTTGTGTGCATTCAACTCACAGAGTTGAATGATTCTTTACACAGAGCAGATTTGAGACACTCTTTTGGTGGAATTTGTAAGTGGAGAATTCAGCCGCTTTGAGGTCAACGGTAGAAAAGGAAATATCTTCCTATAAAAACTAGGCAGAATGATTCTCAGAAACTGTTTTGTGATGTGTGCGTTCAACTCACAGAGTTTAACCTTTCTTTTCAAAGAGCAGTTAGGAAACACTCTGTTTGTAAAGTCTGCAAGTGGATATTCAGACCTCTTTGAGGCCTTCGTTGGAAACGGGATTTCTTCATATTATGCTAGACAGATGAATTCTCAGTAACTTCCTTGTGTTGTGTGTATTCAACTCACAGAGTTGAACGATCCTTTACACAGAGCAGATTTGAAACACTGTTTTTCTGGAATTTGCAAGTGGAGATTTCAGCCGCTTTGAGGTCAATGGTAGAAAAGGAAATATCTTCGTATAAAAACTAGACAGAATGATTCTCAGAAACTCCTTTGTGATGTGTGCGTTCAACTCACAGGGTTTAACCTTTCTTTTCACAGAGCAGTTAGGAAACACTCTGTTTGTGAAGCCTGCCAGTGGATATTCGGACCTCTTTGAGGCCTTCGTTGGAAACGGGATTTCTTCATATTATGCTAGACAGAAGATTTCTCAGTAACTTCTTTGTGTTGTGTGTATGCAACTCACAGAGTTCAACCTTCCTTTAGACAGAGCAGATTTGAAACACTCTTTTTGTGGAATTTGCAAGTGGAGATTTCAAGCGCTTCGATGCCAATGGTAGAAAAGGAAATATCTTCGTATAAAAACAAGACAAAATCATTCTCAAAACTGCTCTGTGATGTGTGCGTTCAACTCACAGAGTTTAACTTTTCTTTTCATTCAGCAGTTTGGATACGCTCTGTTTGTATAGTCTGCAAGTGGATATATTGACCTCTTTGAGGCCTTCGTTGGAAACGGGTTTTTTTCATGTAAGGCTAGACAGAAGAATTCTTAGTAACTTCTTTGTGTTGTGTGTATTCAACTGACAGAGTTGAACCTTCCTTTAGACAGAGCAGATTTGAAAGTCTCTTTTTGTGGAATTTGCAAGTGGAGATTTCAAGCGCTTTGAGGCCAAAAGCAGAAAAGGAAATATTTTCCTATAAAACCTCGACAGGATAATGATTCTCAGAAACTCCTTTGTGATGTGTGCGTTCAACTCACAGAGTTTAACCTTTCTTTTCACAGAGCAGTTAGGAAACACTCTGTTTGTGAAGCCTGCCAGTGGATATTCAGACCTCTTTGAGGCCTTCGTTGGAAACGGGATTTCTTCATATTATGCTAGACAGAAGATTTCTCAGTAACTTCTTTGTGTTGTGTGTATGCAACTCACAGAGTTCAACCTTCCTTTAGACAGAGCAGATTTGAAACACTCTTTTTGTGGAATTTGCAAGTGGAGATTTCAAGCGCTTCGATGCCAATGGTAGAAAAGGAAATATCTTCGTATAAAAACAAGACAAACTCGTTCCCAGACACTGCGTAGTGATGTGTGTGTTTAACTCACAGAGTTTAACCTTTCTTTTCATACAGCATTCTGGAAACCCTCTGTTTGTAAAGTCTGCAAGTGGATATTTGGACCTCTTAGATGCCTTCGTTGCAAACGGGATTTCTTCATATAATGCTAGAGGGAAGAATTCTTAGTAACTTCTTTGTGTTGTGTGTATTCAACTGACAGAGTTGAACCTTCCTTTAGACAGAGCAGATTTGAAAGTCTCTTTTTGTGGAATTTGCAAGTGGAGATTTCAAGCGCTTTGAGGCCAAAAGCAGAAAAGGAAATATTTTCCTATAAAAACTCGACAGACTCGTTCCCAGAAACTGCGTAGTGATGTGTGTGTTTAACTCACAGAGTTTAACCTTTCTTTTCATACAGAAGTCTGGAAACCCTGTGTTTGTAAAGTCTGCAAGTGGATATTTGGACCTCTTAGATGCCTTCGTTGGAAACGGGATTTCTCCACATACTGTTAGAGGGAAGAATTCTTAGTAAATTCTTTGTGTTGTGTGTATTCAACTGACAGAGTTGAACCTTCCTTTAGACAGAGCAGATTTGAAAGTCTCTTTTTGTGGAATTTGCAAGTGGAGATTTCAAGCGCTTTGAGGCCAAAAGCAGAAAAGGAAATATTTTCCTATAAAAACTCGACAGAATCATTCTCAGAAACTGCTCTGTGATGTGTGCGTTCAACTCACAGAGTTTAACTTTTCTTTTCATTCAGCAGTTTGGAAACACTCTGTTTGTAAAGTCTGCAAGTGGATATATTGGCCTCTTAGAGGCCTTCGTTGGAAACGGTTTTTTTTCATGTAAGGCTAGACAGAAGAATTCCCGGTAACTTCTTTGTGTTGTGTGCATTCAACTCACAGAGTTGAACGTTCCTTTAGACAGAGCAGATTTGAAACACTCTTTTTGTGCAATTTGCAAGTGGAGATTTCAAGCGCTTTAAGGTCAATGGCAGAAAAGGAAATAACTTCGTTTCAAAACTAGACAGTATCATTCCCAGAAACTGCGTTGTGATGTGTGCGTTCAACTCACAGTGTTTAACCTTTCTTTTCATAGAGCCGTTTGTAAGCGCTCTGTTTGTCAAGTCTGCAAGTGGATATTCTGACCTCTTTGAGGACTTCTTTGGAAACAGGATTTCGTCCTATAATACTAGACAGAAGAATTCTCAGTAACTTCCTTGTGTTGTGTGTATTCAACTCACAGAGTTGAACCATCTTTCACACAGAGCAGATCTGAAACACTCTTTTTGTGGAATTTGCAAGTGGAGATTTCAGCCACCTTGAGGTCAATGGTAGAAAAGGAAATATCTTCGTATAAAAACTAGACAGAATGATTCTCAGAAACTCCTTTGTGATGTGTGCGTTCAACTCACTGAGTTCAACCATTCTTTTCATACAGCATTCTGGAAACACTCTGTTTGTAAAGTCTGCAAGTGGATATCTGGACCTCTTAGATGCCTTCGTTGGAAACGGGATTTCTCCATATAATGCTAGAGGGAAGAATTCTTAGTAACTTCTTTGTGTTGTGTGTATTCAACTGACAGAGTTGAACCTTCCTTTAGACAGAGCAGATTTGAAACAATCTTTTTGTGGAATTTGCAAGTGGAGATTTCAAGCGCTTTGAGGCCAAAGGCAGAAAAGGAAATATTTTCCTATAAAAACTAGACAGAATCATTCTCAGAAACTGCTCTGTGATGTGTGCGTTCAACTCACAGAGTTTAACTTTTCTTTTCATTTAGCAGTTTGGAAACACTCTGTTTGTAAAGTCTGCAAGTGGATATATTGGCCTACTTAGAGGCCTTCGTTGGAAACGGGTTTTTTTCATGTAAGGTTAGACAGAAGAAATCTCAGTAACTTCCTTGTGTTGTGGGTATTCAACTGACAGAGTTGAACCTTCCTTTAGACAGAGCAGATTCGAAACACTCTTTTTGTGCAATTTGCAAGTGGAGACATCAAGCGCCTTGAGGTCAAAGGCAGAAAAGGAAATATCTTCGTATAAAAACCAGACAGAATCATTCTCAGAAACTGCTCTGTGATGTGTGCGTTCAACTCACAGAGTTTAACTTTTCATTTCATTCAGCAGTTTGGAAACACCCTGTTTGTATGGTCTGCAAGTGGATATATTGCCCTCTTAGAGGACTTCGTTGGAAACGGGTTTTTTTTCATGTAAGGTTAGACAGAGGAATTCCCAGTAAATTCCTTGTGTTGTGTGCATTCAACTCACAGAGTTGAATGATTCTTTACACAGAGCAGATTTGAGACACTCTTTTCGTGGAATTTGTAAGTGGAGAATTCAGCTGCTTTGAAGTCAACAGTAGAAAAGGAAATATCTTCGTATAAAAACTAGACAGAATGATTCTCAGAAACTCTTTTGTGATGTGTGCTTTCAACTCACAGAGTTTAACCTTTCTTTTCATAGAGCAGTTACGAAACACTCGGTTTGTGAAATCTGCCAGTGGATATTCGGACCTCTTTGAGGCCTTCGTTGGAAACGGGATTTCTTCATATTATGCTAGACAGAAGATTTCTCAGTAACTTCTTTGTGTTGTGTGTATGAAACTCACAGAGTTCAACCTTCCTTTAGACAGAGCAGATTTGAAACACTCTTTTTGTGGAATTTGCAAGTGGAGATTTCAAGCGCTTCGATGCCATTAGTAGAAAAGGAAATATCTTCGTGTAAAAACAAGACAAACTCGTTCCCAGACACTGCGTAGTGATGTGTGTGTTTAACTCACAGAGTTTAACCTTTCTTTTCATACAGCATTCTGGAAACCCTGTGTTTGTAAAGTCTGCAAGTGGATATTTGGACCTCTTAGATGCCTTCTTTGGAAACGGGATTTCTTCATATAATGCTAGAGGGAAGAATTCTTAGTAACTTCTTTGTGTTGTGTGTATTCAACTGACAGAGTTGAACCTTCCTTTAGATAGAGCAGATTTGAAAGTCTCTTTTTGTGGAATTTGCAAGTGGAGATTTCAAGCGCTTTGAGGCCAAAAGCAGAAAAGGAAATATTTTCCTATAAAAACTAGACAGAATCTTTCTCAGAAACTGCTCTGGGATGTGTGCGTTCAACTCACAGAGTTTAACTTTTCTTTTCATTCAGCAGTTTGGAAACACTCTGTTTGGAAAGTCTGCACGTGGATATTTTGACCTCTTTGAGGCCTTCGTTGGAAACGGGTTTTTTTCATGTAACGCTAGACAGAAGAAATCTCAGTAACTTCCTTGTGTTATGTGTATTCAACTGACAGAGTTGAACCTTCCTTTAGACAGAGCAGATTCGAAACACTCTTTTTCTGCAATTTGCAAGTGGAGACTTCAAGCGCTTTGAGGCCAAAGGCAGAAAAGGAAATATCTTCGTATAAAAACCCGACAGAATCATTCTCAGAAACTGCTCTGTGATGTGTGCGTTCAACTCACAGAGTTTAACTTTTCTTTTCATTCAGCAGTTTGGAAACACTCTGTTTGTAAAGTCTGCAAGTGGATATCTTGGCCTCTTAGAGGCCTTCGTTGGAAAAGGGTTTTTTCATGTAAGTTAGACAGAGGAATTCCCAGTAACTTCCTTGTGTTGTGTGCATTCAACTCACAGAGTTGAATGATTCTTTACACAGAGCAGATTTGAGACACTCTTTTGGTGGAATTTGTAAGTGGAGAATTCAGCCGCTTTGAGGTCAACGGTAGAAAAGGAAATATCTTCGTATAAAAACTAGACAGAATGATTCTCAGAAACTGTTTTGTGATGTGTGCGTTCAACTCACAGAGTTTAACCTTTCTTTTCAAAGAGCAGTTAGGAAACACTCTGTTTGTAAAGTCTGCAAGTGGATATTCAGACCTCTTTGAGGCCTTCGTTGGAAACGGGATTTCTTCATATTATGCTAGACAGATGAATTCTCAGTAACTTTCCTTGTGTTGTGTGTATTCAACTCACAGAGTTAAACGATCCTTTACACAGAGCAGATTTGAAACACTGTTTTTCTGGAATTTGCAAGTGGAGATTTCAGCCGCTTTGAGGTCAATGGTAGAAAAGGAAATATCTTCGTATAAAAACTAGACAGAATGATTCTCAGAAACTCCTTTGTGATGTGTGCGTTCAACTCACAGAGTTTAACCTTTCTTTTCACAGAGCAGTTAGGAAACACTCTGTTTGTGAAGCCTGCCAGTGGATATTCGGACCTCTTTGAGGCCTTCGTTGGAAACGGGATTTCTTCATATTATGCTAGACAGAAGATTTCTCAGTAAATTCTTTGTGTTGTGTGTATGCAACTCACAGAGTTCAACCTTCCTTTAGACAGAGCAGATTTGAAACACTCTTTTTGTGGAATTTGCAAGTGGAGATTTCAAGCGCTTCGATGCCAATGGTAGAAAAGGAAATATCTTCGTATAAAAACAAGACAAACTCGTTCCCAGAAACTGCGTAGTGATGTGTGTGTTTAACTCACAGAGTTTAACCTTTCTTTTCATACAGAAGTCTGGAAACCCTCTGTTTGTAAAGTCTGCAAGTGGATATTTGGACCTCTTAGATGCCTTCGTTGGAAACGGGATTTCTCCACATACTGCTAGAGGGAAGAATTCTTAGTAACTTCTTTGTGTTGTGTGTATTCAACTGACAGAGTTGAACCTTCCTTTAGACAGAGCAGATTTGAAAGTCTCTTTTTGTGGAATTTGCAAGTGGAGATTTCAAGCGCTTTGAGGCCAAAAGCAGAAAAGGAAATATTTTCCTATAAAAACTCGACAGAATCATTCTCAGAAACTGCTCTGGGATGTGTGCGTTCAACTCACAGAGTTTAACTTTTCTTTTCATTCAGCAGTTTGGAAACACTCTGTTTGTAAAGTCTGCAAGTGGATATATTGGCCTCTTAGAGGCCTTCGTTGGAAACGGGTTTTTTTCATGTAAGGCTAGACAGAAGAAATCTCAGTAACTTCCTTGTGTTGTGTGTATTCAACTGACAGAGTTGAACCTTCCTTTAGACAGAGGAGATTCGAAACACTCTTTTTCTGCAATTTGCAAGTGGAGACTTCAAGCGCTTTGAGGCCAAAGGCAGAAAAGGAAATATCTTCGTATAAAAACCCGACAGAATCATTCTCAGAAACTGCTCTGTGATGTGTGCGTTCAACTTACAGAGTTTAACTTTTCTTTTCATTCAGCAGTTTGGAAACACTCTGTTTGTAAAGTCTGCAAGTGGATATCTTGGCCTCTTAGAGGCCTTCGTTGGAAACGGGTTTTTTCATTTAAGGTTAGACAGAGGAATTCCCAGTAACTTCCTTGTGTTGTGTGCATTCAACTCACAGAGTTGAATGATTCTTTACACAGAGCAGATTTGAGACACTCTTTTGGTGGAATTTGTAAGTGGAGAATTCAGCCGCTTTGAGGTCAACGGTAGAAAAGGAAATATCTTCGTATAAAAACTAGACAGAATGATTCTCAGAAACTGTTTTGTGATGTGTGCGTTCAACTCACAGAGTTTAACCTTTCTTTTCAAAGAGCAGTTAGGAAACACTCTGTTTGTAAAGTCTGCAAGTGGATATTCAGACCTCTTTGAGGCCTTCGTTGGAAACGGGATTTCTTCATATTATGCTAGACAGATGAATTCTCAGTAACTTCCTTGTGTTGTGTGTATTCAACTCACAGAGTTGAACGATCCTTTACACAGAGCAGATTTGAAACACTGTTTTTCTGGAATTTGCAAGTGGAGATTTCAGCCGCTTTGAGGTCAATGGTAGAAAAGGAAATATCTTCGTATAAAAACTAGACAGAATGATTCTCAGAAACTCCTTTGTGATGTGTGCGTTCAACTCACAGAGTTTAACCTTTCTTTTCACAGAGCAGTTAGGAAACACTCTGTTTGTGAAGCCTGCCAGTGGATATTCGGACCTCTTTGAGGCCTTCGTTGGAAACGGGATTTCTTCATATTATGCTAGACAGAAGATTTCTCAGTAACTTCTTTGTGTTGTGTGTATGCAACTCACAGAGTTCAACCTTCCTTTAGACAGAGCAGATTTGAAACACTCTTTTTGTGGAATTTGCAAGTGGAGATTTCAAGCGCTTCGATGCCAATGGTAGAAAAGGAAATATCTTCGTATAAAAACAAGACAAACTCGTTCCCAGACACTGCGTAGTGATGTGTGTGTTTAACTCACAGAGTTTAACCTTTCTTTTCATACAGCATTCTGGAAACCCTGTGTTTGTAAAGTCTGCAAGTGGATATTTGGACCTCTTAGATGCCTTCGTTGGAAACGGGATTTCTTCATATAATGCTAGAGGGAAGAATTCTTAGTAACTTCTTTGTGTTGTGTGTATTCAACTGACAGAGTTGAACCTTCCTTTAGACAGAGCAGATTTGAAAGTCTCTTTTTGTGGAATTTGCAAGTGGAGATTTCAAGCGCTTTGAGGCCAAAAGCAGAAAAGGAAATATTTTCCTATAAAAACTCGACAGAATCTTTCTCAGAAACTGCTCTGGGATGTGTGCGTTCAACTCACAGAGTTTAACTTTTCTTTTCATTCAGCAGTTTGGAAACACTCTGTTTGGAAAGTCTGCACGTGGATATTTTGACCTCTTTGAGGCCTTCGTTGGAAACGGGTTTTTTTCATGTAAGGCTAGACAGAAGAAATCTCAGTAACTTCCTTGTGTTGTGTGTATTCAACTGACAGAGTTGAACCTTCCTTTAGACAGAGCAGATTCGAAACACTCTTTTTCTGCAATTTGCAAGTGGAGACTTCAAGCGCTTTGAGGCCAAAGGCAGAAAAGGAAATATCTTCGTATAAAAACCCGACAGAATCATTCTCAGAAACTGCTCTGTGATGTGTGCGTTCAACTCACAGAGTTTAACTTTTCTTTTCATTCAGCAGTTTGGAAACACTCTGTTTGTAAAGTCTGCAAGTGGATATCTTGGCCTCTTAGAGGCCTTCGTTGGAAACGGGTTTTTTCATGTAAGGTTAGACAGAGGAATTCCCAGTAACTTCCTTGTGTTGTGTGCATTCAACTCACAGAGTTGAATGATTCTTTACACAGAGCAGATTTGAGACACTCTTTTGGTGGAATTTGTAAGTGGAGAATTCAGCCGCTTTGAGGTCAACGGTAGAAAAGGAAATATCTTCGTATAAAAACTAGACAGAATGATTCTCAGAAACTGTTTTGTGATGTGTGCGTTCAACTCACAGAGTTTAACCTTTCTTTTCAAAGAGCAGTTAGGAAACACTCTGTTTGTAAAGTCTGCAAGTGGATATTCAGACCTCTTTGAGGCCTTCGTTGGAAACGGGATTTCTTCATATTATGCTAGACAGATGAATTCTCAGTAACTTCCTTGTGTTGTGTGTATTCAACTCACAGAGTTGAACGATCCTTTACACAGAGCAGATTTGAAACACTGTTTTTCTGGAATTTGCAAGTGGAGATTTCAGCCGCTTTGAGGTCAATGGTAGAAAAGGAAATATCTTCGTATAAAAACTAGACAGAATGATTCTCAGAAACTCCTTTGTGATGTGTGCGTTCAACTCACAGGGTTTAACCTTTCTTTTCACAGAGCAGTTAGGAAACACTCTGTTTGTGAAGCCTGCCAGTGGATATTCGGACCTCTTTGAGGCCTTCGTTGGAAACGGGATTTCTTCATATTATGCTAGACAGAAGATTTCTCAGTAACTTCTTTGTGTTGTGTGTATGCAACTCACAGAGTTCAACCTTCCTTTAGACAGAGCAGATTTGAAACACTCTTTTTGTGGAATTTGCAAGTGGAGATTTCAAGCGCTTCGATGCCAATGGTAGAAAAGGAAATATCTTCGTATAAAAACAAGACAAACTCGTTCCCAGACACTGCGTAGTGATGTGTGTGTTTAACTCACAGAGTTTCACCTTTCTTTTCATACAGCATTCTGGAAACCCTCTGTTTGTAAAGTCTGCAAGTGGATATTTGGACCTCTTAGATGCCTTCGTTGGAAACGGGATTTCTTCATATAATGCTAGAGGGAAGAATTCTTAGTAACTTCTTTGTGTTGTGTGTATTCAACTGACAGAGTTGAACCTTCCTTTAGACAGAGCAGATTTGAAAGTCTCTTTTTGTGGAATTTGCAAGTGGAGATTTCAAGCGCTTTGAGGCCAAAAGCAGAAAAGGAAATATTTTCCTATAAAAACTCGACAGAATCTTTCTCAGAAACTGCTCTGGGATGTGTGCGTTCAACTCACAGAGTTTAACTTTTCTTTTCATTCAGCAGTTTGGAAACACTCTGTTTGGAAAGTCTGCACGTGGATATTTTGACCTCTTTGAGGCCTTCGTTGGAAACGGGTTTTTTTTCATGTAAGGCTAGACAGAAGAAATCTCAGTAACTTCCTTGTGTTGTGTGTATTCAACTGACAGAGTTGAACCTTCCTTTAGACAGAGCAGATTCGAAACACTCTTTTTCTGCAATTTGCAAGTGGAGACTTCAAGCGCTTTGAGGCCAAAGGCAGAAAAGGAAATATCTTCGTATAAAAACCCGACAGAATCATTCTCAGAAACTGCTCTGTGATGTGTGCGTTCAACTCACAGAGTTTAACTTTTCTTTTCATTCAGCAGTTTGGAAACACTCTGTTTGTAAAGTCTGCAAGTGGATATCTTGGCCTCTTAGAGGCCTTCGTTGGAAACGGGTTTTTTCATTTAAGGTTAGACAGAGGAATTCCCAGTAAATTCCTTGTGTTGTGTGCATTCAACTCACAGAGTTGAATGATTCTTTACACAGAGCAGATTTGAGACACTCTTTGGGTGGAATTTGTAAGTGGAGAATTCAGCCGCTTTGAGGTCAACGGTAGAAAAGGAAATATCTTCGTATAAAAACTAGACAGAATGATTCTCAGAAACTGTTTTTTGATGTGTGCGTTCAACTCACAGAGTTTAACCTTTCTTTTCAAAGAGCAGTTAGGAAACACTCTGTTTGTAAAGTCTGCAAGTGGATATTGAGACCTCTTTGAGGCCTTCGTTGGAAACGGGATTTCTTCATATTATGCTAGACAGATGAATTCTCAGTAACTTCCTTGTGTTGTGTGTATTCAACTCACAGAGTTGAACGATCCTTTACACAGAGCAGATTTGAAACACTGTTTTTCTGGAATTTGCAAGTGGAGATTTCAGCCGCTTTGAGGTCAATGGTAGAAAAGGAAATATCTTCGTATAAAAACTAGACAGAATGATTCTCAGAAACTCCTTTGTGATGTGTGCGTTCAACTCACAGAGTTTAACCTTTCTTTTCACAGAGCAGTTAGGAAACACTCTGTTTGTGAAGCCTGCCAGTGGATATTCGGACCTCTTTCAGGCCTTCGTTGGAAACGGGATTTCTTCATATTATGCTAGACAGAAGATTTCTCAGTAACTTCTTTGTGTTGTGTGTATGCAACTCACAGAGTTCAACCTTCCTTTAGACAGAGCAGATTTGAAACACTCTTTTTGTGGAATTTGCAAGTGGAGATTTCAAGCGCTTCGATGCCAATGGTAGAAAAGGAAATATCTTCGTATAAAAACAAGACAAACTCGTTCCCAGACACTGCGTAGTGATGTGTGTGTTTAACTCACAGAGTTTAACCTTTCTTTTCATACAGCATTCTGGAAACCCTCTGTTTGTAAAGTCTGCAAGTGGATATTTGGACCTCTTAGATGCCTTCGTTGGGAACGGGATTTCTTCATATAATGCTAGAGGGAAGAATTCTTAGTAACTTCTTTGTGTTGTGTGTATTCAACTGACAGAGTTGAACCTTCCTTTAGACAGAGCAGATTTGAAAGTCTCTTTTTGTGGAATTTGCAAGTGGAGATTTCAAGCGCTTTGAGGCCAAAAGCAGAAAAGGAAATATTTTCCTATAAAAACTAGACAGAATCATTCTCAGAAACTGCTCTGTGATGTGTGTGTTCAACTCACAGAGTTTAACTTTCTTTTCATTCAGCAGTTTGGAAACACTCTGTTTGGAAAGTCTGCACGTGGATATTTTGACCTCTTTGAGGCCTTCGTTGGAAACGGGTTTTTTTCATGTAAGGCTAGACAGAAGAAATCTCAGTAACTTCCTTGTGTTGTGTGTATTCAACTGACAGAGTTGAACCTTCCTTTAGACAGAGCAGATTCGAAACACTCTTTTTCTGCAATTTGCAAGTGGAGACTTCAAGCGCTTTGAGGCCAAAGGCAGAAAAGGAAATATCTTCGTATAAAAACCCGACAGAATCATTCTCAGAAACTGCTCTGTGATGTGTGCGTTCAACTCACAGAGTTTAACTTTTCTTTTCATTCAGCAGTTTGGAAACACTCTGTTTCTAAAGTCTGCAAGTGGATATCTTGGCCTCTTAGAGGCCTTCGTTGGAAACGGGTTTTTTCATGTAAGGTTAGACAGAGGAATTCCCAGTAACTTCCTTGTGTTGTGTGCATTCAACTCACAGAGTTGAATGATTCTTTACACAGAGCAGATTTGAGACACTCTTTTGGTGGAATTTGTTAGTGGAGAATTCAGCCGCTTTGAGGTCAACGGTAGAAAAGGAAATATCTTCGTATAAAAACTAGACAGAATGATTCTCAGAAACTGTTTTGTGATGTGTGCGTTCAACTCACAGAGTTTAACCTTTCTTTTCAAAGAGCAGTTAGGAAACACTCTGTTTGTAAAGTCTGCAAGTGGATATTCAGACCTCTTTGAGGCCTTCGTTGGAAACGGGATTTCTTCATATTATGCTAGACAGATGAATTCTCAGTAACTTCCTTGTGTTGTGTGTATTCAACTCACAGAGTTGAACGATCCTTTACACAGAGCAGATTTGAAACACTGTTTTTCTGGAATTTGCAAGTGGAGATTTCAGCCGCTTTGAGGTCAATGGTAGAAAAGGAAATATCTTCTGTATAAAAACTAGACAGAATGATTCTCAGAAACTCCTTTGTGATGTGTGCGTTCAACTCACAGAGTTTAACCTTTCTTTTCACAGAGCAGTTAGGAAACACTCTGTTTGTGAAGCCTGCCAGTGGATATTCGGACCTCTTTGAGGCCTTCGTTGGAAACGGGATTTCTTCATATTATGCTAGACAGAAGATTTCTCAGTAACTTCTTTGTGTTGTGTGTATGCAACTCACAGAGTTCAACCTTCCTTTAGACAGAGCAGATTTGAAACACTCTTTTTGTGGAATTTGCAAGTGGAGATTTCAAGCGCTTCGATGCCAATGGTAGAAAAGGAAATATCTTCGTATAAAAACAAGACAAACTCGTTCCCAGACACTGCGTAGTGATGTGTGTGTTTAACTCACAGAGTTTCACCTTTCTTTTCATACAGCATTCTGGAAACCCTCTGTTTGTAAAGTCTGCAAGTGGATATTTGGACCTCTTAGATGCCTTCGTTGGAAACGGGATTTCTTCATATAATGCTAGAGGGAAGAATTCTTAGTAACTTCTTTGTGTTGTGTGTATTCAACTGACAGAGTTGAACCTTCCTTTAGACAGAGCAGATTTGAAAGTCTCTTTTTGTGGAATTTGCAAGTGGAGATTTCAAGCGCTTTGAGGCCAAAAGCAGAAAAGGAAATATTTTCCTATAAAAACTCGACAGAATCTTTCTCAGAAACTGCTCTGGGATGTGTGCGTTCAACTCACAGAGTTTAACTTTTCTTTTCATTCAGCAGTTTGGAAACACTCTGTTTGGAAAGTCTGCACGTGGATATTTTGACCTCTTTGAGGCCTTCGTTGGAAACGGGTTTTTTTCATGTAAGGCTAGACAGAAGAAATCTCAGTAACTTCCTTGTGTTGTGTGTATTCAACTGACAGAGTTGAACCTTCCTTTAGACAGAGCAGATTCGAAACACTCTTTTTCTGCAATTTGCAAGTGGAGACTTCAAGCGCTTTGAGGCCAAAGGCAGAAAAGGAAATATCTTCGTATAAAAACCCGACAGAATCATTCTCAGAAACTGCTCTGTGATGTGTGCGTTCAACTCACAGAGTTTAACTTTTCTTTTCATTCAGCAGTTTGGAAACACTCTGTTTGTAAAGTCTGCAAGTGGATATCTTGGCCTCTTAGAGGCCTTCGTTGGAAACGGGTTTTTTCATGTAAGGTTAGACAGAGGAATTCCCAGTAACTTCCTTGTGTTGTGTGCATTCAACTCACAGAGTTGAATGATTCTTTACACAGAGCAGATTTGAGACACTCTTTTGGTGGAATTTGTAAGTGGAGAATTCAGCTGCTTTGAGGTCAACGGTAGAAAAGGAAATATCTTCGTATAAAAACTAGACAGAATGATTCTCAGAAACTGTTTTGTGATGTGTGCGTTCAACTCACAGAGTTTAACCTTTCTTTTCAAAGAGCAGTTAGGAAACACTCTGTTTGTAAAGTCTGCAAGTGGATATTCAGACCTCTTTGAGGCCTTCGTTGGAAACGGGATTTCTTCATATTATGCTAGACAGATGAATTCTCAGTAACTTCCTTGTGTTGTGTGTATTCAACTCACAGAGTTGAACGATCCTTTACACAGAGCAGATTTGAAACACTGTTTTTCTGGAATTTGCAAGTGGAGATTTCAGCTGCTTTGAGGTCAATGGTAGAAAAGGAAATATCTTCGTATAAAAACTAGACAGAATGATTCTCAGAAACTCCTTTGTGATGTGTGCGTTCAACTCACAGAGTTTAACCTTTCTTTTCACAGAGCAGTTAGGAAACACTCTGTTTGTGAAGCCTGCCAGTGGATATTCGGACCTCCTTTGAGGCCTTCGTTGGAAACGGGATTTCTTCATATTATGCTAGACAGAAGATTTCTCAGTAACTTCTTTGTGTTGTGTGTATGCAACTCACAGAGTTCAACCTTCCTTTAGACAGAGCAGATTTGAAACACTCTTTTTGTGGAATTTGCAAGTGGAGATTTCAAGCGCTTCGATGCCAATGGTAGAAAAGGAAATATCTTCGTATAAAAACAAGACAAACTCGTTCCCAGACACTGCGTAGTGATGTGTGTGTTTAACTCACAGAGTTTAACCTTTCTTTTCATACAGCATTCTGGAAACCCTCTGTTTGTAAAGTCTGCAAGTGGATATTTGGACCTCTTAGATGCCTTCGTTGGAAACGGGATTTCTTCATATAATGCTAGAGGGAAGAATTCTTAGTAACTTCTTTGTGTTGTGTGTATTCAACTGACAGAGTTGAACCTTCCTTTAGACAGAGCAGATTTGAAAGTCTCTTTTTGTGGAATTTGCAAGTGGAGATTTCAAGCGCTTTGAGGCCAAAAGCAGAAAAGGAAATATTTTCCTATAAAAACTAGACAGAATCTTTCTCAGAAACTGCTCTGGGATGTGTGCGTTCAACTCACAGAGTTTAACTTTTCTTTTCATTCAGCAGTTTGGAAACACTCTGTTTGGAAAGTCTGCACGTGGATATTTTGACCTCTTTGAGGCCTTCGTTGGAAACGGGTTTTTTTCATGTAACGCTAGACAGAAGAAATCTCAGTAACTTCCTTGTGTTATGTGTATTCAACTGACAGAGTTGAACCTTCCTTTAGACAGAGCAGATTCGAAACACACTTTTTCTGCAATTTGCAAGTGGAGACTTCAAGCGCTTTGAGGCCAAAGGCAGAAAAGGAAATATCTTCGTATAAAAACCCGACAGAATCATTCTCAGAAACTGCTCTGTGATGTGTGCGTTCAACTCACAGAGTTTAACTTTTCTTTTCATTCAGCAGTTTGGAAACACTCTGTTTGTAAAGTCTGCAAGTGGATATCTTGGCCTCTTAGAGGCCTTCGTTGGAAACGGGTTTTTTCATGTAAGGTTAGACAGAGGAATTCCCAGTAACTTCCTTGTGTTGTGTGCATTCAACTCACAGAGTTGAATGATTCTTTACACAGAGCAGATTTGAGACACTCTTTTGGTGGAATTTGTTAGTGGAGAATTCAGCCGCTTTGAGGTCAACGGTAGAAAAGGAAATATCTTCGTATAAAAACTAGACAGAATGATTCTCAGAAACTGTTTTGTGATGTGTGCGTTCAACTCACAGAGTTTAACCTTTCTTTTCAAAGAGCAGTTAGGAAACACTCTGTTTGTAAAGTCTGCAAGTGGATATTCAGACCTCTTTGAGGCCTTCGTTGGAAACGGGATTTCTTCATATTATGCTAGACAGATGAATTCTCAGTAACTTCCTTGTGTTGTGTGTATTCAACTCACAGAGTTGAACGATCCTTTACACAGAGCAGATTTGAAACACTGTTTTTCTGGAATTTGCAAGTGGAGATTTCAGCCGCTTTGAGGTCAATGGTAGAAAAAGAAATATCTTCGTATAAAAACTAGACAGAATGATTCTCAGAAACTCCTTTGTGATGTGTGCGTTCAACTCACAGAGTTTAACTTTTCTTTTCACAGAGCAGTTAGGAAACACTCTGTTTGTGAAGCCTGCCAGTGGATATTCGGACCTCTTTGAGGCCTTCGTTGGAAACGGGATTTCTTCATATTATGCTAGACAGAAGATTTCTCAGTAACTTCTTTGTGTTGTGTGTATACAACTCACAGAGTTCAACCTTCCTTTAGACAGAGCAGATTTGAAACACTCTTTTTCTGGAATTTGCAAGTGGAGATTTCAAGCGCTTCGATGCCAATGGTAGAAAAGGAAATATCTTCGTATAAAAACAAGACAAACTCGTTCCCAGACACTGCGTAGTGATGTGTGTGTTTAACTCACAGAGTTTAACCTTTCTTTTCATACAGCATTCTGGAAACCCTCTGTTTGTAAAGTCTGCAAGTGGATATTTGGACCTCTTAGATGCCTTCGTTGGAAACGGGATTTCTTCATATAATGCTAGAGGGAAGAATTCTTAGTAACTTCTTTGTGTTGTGTGTATTCAACTGACAGAGTTGAACCTTCCTTTAGACAGAGCAGATTTGAAAGTCTCTTTTTGTGGAATTTGCAAGTGGAGATTTCAAGCGCTTTGAGGCCAAAAGCAGAAAAGGAAATATTTTCCTATAAAAACTAGACAGAATCATTCTCAGAAACTGCTCTGTGATGTGTGTGTTCAACTCACAGAGTTTAACTTTCTTTTCATTCAGCAGTTTGGAAACACTCTGTTTGGAAAGTCTGCACGTGGATATTTTGACCTCTTTGAGGCCTTCGTTGGAAACGGGTTTTTTCATGTAAGGCTAGACAGAAGAAATCTCAGTAACTTCCTTGTGTTGTGTGTATTCAACTGACAGAGTTGAACCTTCCTTTAGACAGAGCAGATTCGAAACACTCTTTTTCTGCAATTTCCAAGTGGAGACTTCAAGCGCTTTGAGGCCAAAGGCAGAAAAGGAAATATCTTCGTATAAAAACCCGACAGAATCATTCTCAGAAACTGCTCTGTGATGTGTGCGTTCAACTCACAGAGTTTAACTTTTCTTTTCATTCAGCAGTTTGGAAACACTCTGTTTGTAAAGTCTGCAAGTGGATATCTTGGCCTCTTAGATGCCTTCGTTGGAAACGGTTTTTTTCATGTAAGGTTAGACAGAGGAATTCCCAGTAACTTCCTTGTGTTGTGTGCATTCAACTCACAGAGTTGAATGATTCTTTACACAGAGCAGATTTGAGACACTCTTTTGGTGGAATTTGTAAGTGGAGAATTCAGCCGCTTTGAGGTCAACGGTAGAAAAGGAAATATCTTCGTATAAAAACTAGACAGAATGATTCTCAGAAACTGTTTTGTGATGTGTGCGTTCAACTCACAGAGTTTAACCTTTCTTTTCAAAGAGCAGTTAGGAAACACTCTGTTTGTAAAGTCTGCAAGCGGATATTCAGACCTCTTTGAGGCCTTCGTTGGAAACGGGATTTCTTCATATTATGCTAGACAGATGAATTCTCAGTAACTTCCTTGTGTTGTGTGTATTCAACTCACAGAGTTGAACGATCCTTTACACAGAGCAGATTTGAAACACTGTTTTTCTGGAATTTGCAAGTGGAGATTTCAGCCGCTTTGAGGTCAATGGTAGAAAAGGAAATATCTTCGTATAAAAACTAGACAGAATGATTCTCAGAAACTCCTTTGTGATGTGTGCGTTCAACTCACAGAGTTTAACCTTTCTTTTCACAGAGCAGTTAGGAAACACTCTGTTTGTGAAGCCTGCCAGTGGATATTCGGACCTCTTTGAGGCCTTCGTTGGAAACGGGATTTCTTCATATTATGCTAGACAGAAGATTTCTCAGTAACTTCTTTGTGTTGTGTGTATGCAACTCACAGAGTTCAACCTTCCTTTAGACAGAGCAGATTTGAAACACTCTTTTTGTGGAATTTGCAAGTGGAGATTTCAAGCGCTTCGATGCCAATGGTAGAAAAGGAAATATCTTCGTATAAAAACAAGACAAACTCGTTCCCAGACACTGCGTAGTGATGTGTGTGTTTAACTCACAGAGTTTCACCTTTCTTTTCATACAGCATTCTGGAAACCCTCTGTTTGTAAAGTCTGCAAGTGGATATTTGGACCTCTTAGATGCCTTCGTTGGAAACGGGATTTCTTCATATAATGCTAGAGGGAAGAATTCTTAGTAACTTCTTTGTGTTGTGTGTATTCAACTGACAGAGTTGAACCTTTCCTTTAGACAGAGCAGATTTGAAAGTCTCTTTTTGTGGAATTTGCAAGTGGAGATTTCAAGCGCTTTGAGGCCAAAAGCAGAAAAGGAAATATTTTCCTATAAAAACTAGACAGAATCATTCTCAGAAACTGCTCTGTGATGTGTGTGTTCAACTCACAGAGTTTAACTTTCTTTTCATTCAGCAGTTTGGAAACACTCTGTTTGGAAAGTCTGCACGTGGATATTTTGACCTCTTTGAGGCCTTCGTTGGAAACGGGTTTTTTTCATGTAAGGCTAGACAGAAGAAATCTCAGTAACTTCCTTGTGTTGTGTGTATTCAACTGACAGAGTTGAACCTTCCTTTAGACAGAGCAGATTCGAAACGCTCTTTTTCTGCAATTTGCAAGTGGAGACTTCAAGCGCTTTGAGGCCAAAGGCAGAAAAGGAAATATCTTCGTATAAAAACCCGACAGAATCATTCTCAGAAACTGCTCTGTGATGTGTGCGTTCAACTCACAGATTTTAACTTTTCTTTTCATTCAGCAGTTTGGAAACACTCTGTTTGTAAAGTCTGCAAGTGGATATCTTGGCCTCTTAGAGGCCTTCGTTGGAAACGCGTTTTTTCATGTAAGGTTAGACAGAGGAATTCCCAGTAACTTCCTTGTGTTGTGTGCATTCAACTCACAGAGTTGAATGATTCTTTACACAGAGCAGATTTGAGACACACTTTTGGTGGAATTTGTAAGTGGAGAATTCAGCCGCTTTGAGGTCAACGGTAGAAAAGGAAATATCTTCGTATAAAAACTAGAAAGAATGATTCTCAGAAACTGTTTTGTGATGTGTGCGTTCAACTCACAGAGTTTAACCTTTCTTTTCAAAGAGCAGTTAGGAAACACTCTGTTTGTAAAGTCTGCAAGTGGATATTCAGACCTCTTTGAAGCCTTCGTTGGAAACGGGATTTCATCATATTATGCTAGACAGATGAATTCTCAGTAACTTCCTTGTGTTGTGTGTATTCAACTCACAGAGTTGAACGATCCTTTACACAGAGCAGATTTGAAACACTGTTTTTCTGGAATTTGCAAGTGGAGATTTCAGCCGCTTTGAGGTCAATGGTAGAAAAGGAAATATCTTCGTATAAAAACTAGACAGAATGATTCTCAGAAACTCCTTTGTGATGTGTGCGTTCAACTCACAGAGTTTAACCTTTCTTTTCACAGAGCAGTTAGGAAACACTCTGTTTGTGAAGCCTGCCAGTGGATATTCGGACCTCTTTCAGGCCTTCGTTGGAAACGGGATTTCTTCATATTATGCTAGACAGAAGATTTCTCAGTAACTTCTTTGTGTTGTGTGTATGCAACTCACAGAGTTCAACCTTCCTTTAGACAGAGCAGATTTGAAACACTCTTTTTGTGGAATTTGCAAGTGGAGATTTCAAGCGCTTCGATGCCAATGGTAGAAAAGGAAATATCTTCATATAAAAACAAGACAAACTCGTTCCCAGACACTGCGTAGTGATGTGTGTGTTTCACTCACAGAGTTTAACCTTTCTTTTCATACAGCATTCTGGAAACCCTCTGTTTGTAAAGTCTGCAAGTCGATATTTAGACCTCTTAGATGCCTTCGTTGGAAACGGGATTTCTTCATATAATGCTAGAGGGAAGAATTCTTAGTAACTTCTTTGTGTTGTGTGTATTCAACTGACAGAGTTGAACCTTCCTTTAGACAGAGCAGATTTGAAAGTCTCTTTTTGTGGAATTTGCAAGTGGAGATTTCAAGCGCTTTGAGGCCAAAAGCAGAAAAGGAAATATTTTCCTATAAAACCTCGACAGAATCTTTCTCAGAAACTGCTCTGGGATGTGTGCGTTCAACTCACAGAGTTTAACTTTTCTTTTCATTCAGCGTTTGGAAACACTCTGTTTGGAAAGTCTGCCTTGGATATTTTGACCTCTTTGAGGCCTTCGTTGGAAACGGGTTTTTTTCATGTAAGGCTAGACAGAAGAAATCTCAGTAACTTCCTTGTGTTGTGTGTATTCAACTGACAGAGTTGAACCTTCCTTTAGACAGAGCAGATTCGAAACGCTCTTTTTCTGCAATTTGCAAGTGGAGACTTCAAGCGCTTTGAGGCCAAAGGCAGAAAAGGAAATATCTTCGTATAAAAACCCGACAGAATCATTCTCAGAAACTGCTCTGTGATGTGTGCGTTCAACTCACAGAGTTTAACTTTTCTTTTCATTCAGCAGTTTGGAAACACTCTGTTTGTAAAGTCTGCAAGTGGATATCTTGGCCTCTTAGAGGCCTTCGTTGGAAACGCGTTTTTTCATGTAAGGTTAGACAGAGGAATTCCCAGTAACTTCCTTGTGTTGTGTGCATTCAACTCACAGAGTTGAATGATTCTTTACACAGAGCAGATTTGAGACACTCTTTTGGTGGAATTTGTAAGTGGAGAATTCAGCCGCTTTGAGGTCAACGGTAGAAAAGGAAATATCTTCGTATAAAAACTAGACAGAATGATTCTCAGAAACTGTTTTGTGATGTGTGCGTTCAACTCACAGAGTTTAACCTTTCTTTTCAAAGAGCAGTTAGGAAACACTCTGTTTGTAAAGTCTGCAAGTGGATATTCAGACCTCTTTGAGGCCTTCGTTGGAAACGGGATTTCTTCATATTATGCTAGACAGATGAATTCTCAGTAACTTCCTTGTGTTGTGTGTATTCAACTCACAGAGTTGAACGATCCTTTACACAGAGCAGATTTGAAACACTGTTTTTCTGGAATTTGCAAGTGGAGATTTCAGCCGCTTTGAGGTCAATGGTAGAAAAGGAAATATCTTCGTATAAAAACTGGACAGAATGATTCTCAGAAACTCCTTTGTGATGTGTGCGTTCAACTCACAGAGTTTAACCTTTCTTTTCACAGAGCAGTTAGGAAACACTCTGTTTGTGAAGCCTGCCAGTGGATATTCGGACCTCTTTGAGGCCTTCGTTGGAAACGGGATTTCTTCATATTTTGCTAGACAGAAGATTTCTCAGTAACTTCTTTGTGTTGTGTGTATGCAACTCACAGAGTTCAACCTTCCTTTAGACAGAGCAGATTTGAAACACTCTTTTTGTGGAATTTGCAAGTGGAGATTTCAAGCGCTTCGATGCCAATGGTAGAAAAGGAAATATCTTCGTATAAAAACAAGACAAACTCGTTCCCAGACACTGCGTAGTGATGTGTGTGTTTAACTCACAGAGTTTAACCTTTCTTTTCATACAGCATTCTGGAAACCCTCTGTTTGTAAAGTCTGCAAGTGGATATTTGGACCTCTTAGATGCCTTCGTTGGAAACGGGATTTCCTCATATAATGCTAGAGGGAAGAATTCTTAGTAACTTCTTTGTGTTGTGTGTATTCAACTGACAGAGTTGAACCTTCCTTTAGACAGAGCAGATTTGAAAGTCTCTTTTTGTGGAATTTGCAAGTGGAGATTTCAAGCGCTTTGAGGCCAAAGGCAGAAAAGGAAATATTTTCCTATAAAAACTAGACAGAATCTTTCTCAGAAACTGCTCTGGGATGTGTGCGTTCAACTCACAGAGTTTAACTTTTCTTTTCATTCAGCAGTTTGGAAACACTCTGTTTGGAAAGTCTGCACGTGGATATTTTGACCTCTTTGAGGCCTTCGTTGGAAACGGGTGTTTTTCATGTAAGGCTAGACAGAAGAAATCTCAGTAACTTCCCTTGTGTTGTGTGTATTCAACTGACAGAGTTGAACCTTCCTTTAGACAGAGCAGATTCGAAACGCTCTTTTTCTGCAATTTGCAAGTGGAGACTTCAAGCGCTTTGAGGCCAAAGGCAGAAAAGGAAATATCTTCGTATAAAAACCCGACAGAATCATTCTCAGAAACTGCTCTGTGATGTGTGCGTTCAACTCACAGAGTTTAACTTTTCTTTTCATTCAGCAGTTTGGAAACACTCTGTTTGTAAAGTCTGCAAGTGGATATCTTGGCCTCTTAGAGGCCTTCGTTGGAAACGGGTTTTTTCATGTAAGGTTAGACAGAGGAATTCCCAGTAACTTCCTTGTGTTGTGTGCATTCAACTCACAGAGTTGAATGATTCTTTACACAGAGCAGATTTGAGACACTCTTTTGGTGGAATTTGTAAGTGGAGAATTCAGCCGCTTTGAGGTCAACGGTAGAAAAGGAAATATCTTCGTATAAAAACTAGACAGAATGATTCTCAGAAACTGTTTTGTGATGTGTGCGTTCAACTCACAGAGTTTAACCTTTCTTTTCAAAGAGCAGTTAGGAAACACTCTGTTTGTAAAGTCTGCAAGTGGATATTCAGACCTCTTTGAGGCCTTCGTTGGAAACGGGATTTCTTCATATTATGCTAGACAGATGAATTCTCAGTAACTTCCTTGTGTTGTGTGTATTCAACTCACAGAGTTGAACGATCCTTTACACAGAGCAGATTTGAAACACTGTTTTTCTGGAATTTGCAAGTGGAGATTTCAGCCGCTTTGAGGTCAATGGTAGAAAAGGAAATATCTTCGTATAAAAACTAGACAGAATGATTCTCAGAAACTCCTTTGTGATGTGTGCGTTCAACTCACAGAGTTTAACCTTTCTTTTCACAGAGCAGTTAGGAAACACTCTGTTTGTGAAGCCTGCCAGTGGATATTCGGACCTCTTTGAGGCCTTCGTTGGAAACGGGATTTCTTCATATTATGCTAGACAGAAGATTTCTCAGTAACTTCTTTGTGTTGTGTGTATGCAACTCACAGAGTTCAACCTTCCTTTAGACAGAGCAGATTTGAAACACTCTTTTTGTGGAATTTGCAAGTGGAGATTTCAAGCGCTTCGATGCCAATGGTAGAAAAGGAAATATCTTCGTATAAAAACAAGACAAACTCGTTCCCAGACACTGCGTAGTGATGTGTGTGTTTAACTCACAGAGTTTCACCTTTCTTTTCATACAGCATTCTGGAAACCCTCTGTTTGTAAAGTCTGCAAGTGGATATTTGGACCTCTTAGATGCCTTCGTTGGAAACGGTATTTCTTCATATAATGCTAGAGGGAAGAATTCTTAGTAACTTCTTTGTGTTGTGTGTATTCAACTGACAGAGTTGAACCTTCCTTTAGACAGAGCAGATTTGAAAGTCTCTTTTTGTGGAATTTGCAAGTGGAGATTTCAAGAGCTTTGAGGCCAAAAGCAGAAAAGGAAATATTTTCCTATAAAAACTCGACAGAATATCTTTCTCAGAAACTGCTCTGGGATGTGTGCGTTCAACTCACAGAGTTTAACTTTTCTTTTCATTCAGCAGTTTGGAAACACTCTGTTTGGAAAGTCTGCACGTGGATATTTTGACCTCTTTGAGGCCTTCGTTGGAAACGGGTTATTTTTATGTAAGGCTAGACAGAAGAATTCTCAGTAACTTCCTTGTGTTGTGTGTATTCATCTCACAGAGTGGAACCTTCCTTTAGACAGAGGAGATTCGAAACAGTCTTTTTGTACAATTTGCAAGTGGAGATTTCAAGCGCTATGAGGCCAAAGGCAGAAAAGGAAATATCTTCGTATAAAAACTGGACAGAATCATTCTCAGAAACTGCTCAGTGATTTGTGCGTTCTACTCACAGAGTTTAACTTTTCTTTTCATTCAGAAGTTTGGAAACACTCTGTTTGTAAAGTCTGCAAGTGGATATATTGACCTCTTTGAGACCTTCGTTGGAAACGGGTTTTTTTCATGTAAGGCTAGACAGAGAGGATTCCCAGTAACTTCCTTGTGTTGTGTGCATTCAACTCACAGAGTTGAATGATTCTTTACACAGAGCAGATTTGAGACACTCTTTTGGTGGAATTTGTAAGTGGAGAATTCAGCCGCTTTGAGGTCAACGGTAGAAAAGGAAATATCTTCGTATAAAAACTAGACAGATGATTCTCAGAAACTGTTTTGTGATGTGTGCGTTCAACTCACAGAGTTTAACCTTTCTTTTCAAAGAGCAGTTAGGAAACACTCTGTTTGTAAAGTCTGCAAGTGGATATTCAGACCTCTTTGAAGCCTTCGTTGGAAACGGGATTTCATCATATTATGCTAGACAGATGAATTCTCAGTAACTTCCTTGTGTTGTGTGTATTCAACTCACAGAGTTGAACGATCCTTTACACAGAGCAGATTTGAAACACTGTTTTTCTGGAATTTGCAAGTGGAGATTTCAGCCGCTTTGAGGTCAATGGTAGAAAAGGAAATATCTTCGTATAAAAACTGGACAGAATGATTCTCAGAAACTCCTTTGGGATGTGTGCGTTCAACTCACAGAGTTTAACCTTTCTTTTCACAGAGCAGTTAGGAAACACTCTGTTTGTGAAGCCTGCCAGGGGATATTCGGACCTCTTTGAGGCCTTCGTTGGAAACGGGATTTCTTCATATTTTGCTAGACAGAAGATTTCTCAGTAACTTCTTTGTGTTGTGTGTATACAGCTCACAGAGTTCAACCTTCCTTTAGACAGAGCAGATTTGAAACACTCTTTTTGTGGAATTTGCAAGTGGAAATTTCAAGCGCATCGATGCCAATGGTAGAAAAGGAAATATCTTCGTATAAAAACAAGACAAACTCGTTCCCAGACACTGCGTAGTGATGTGTGTGTTTAACTCACAGAGTTTAACCTTTCTTTTCATACAGCATTCTGGAAACCCTGTGTTTGTAAAGTCTGCAAGTGGATATTTGGACCTCTTAGATGCCTTCGTTGGAAACGGGATTTCTTCATATAATGCTAGAGGGAAGAATTCTTAGTAACTTCTTTGTGTTGTGTGTATTCAACTGACAGAGTTGAACCTTCCTTTAGACAGAGCAGATTTGAAAGTCTCTTTTTGTGGAATTTGCAAGTGGAGATTTCAAGCGCTTTGAGGCCAAAAGCAGAAAAGGAAATATTTTCCTATAAAAACTCGACAGAATCTTTCTCAGAAACTGCTCTGGGATGTGTGCGTTCAACTCACAGAGTTTAACTTTTCTTTTCATTCAGCAGTTTGGAAACACTCTGTTTGGAAAGTCTGCACGTGGATATTTTGACCTCTTTGAGGCCTTCGTTGGAAACGGGTTTTTTTCATGTAAGGCTAGACAGAAGAAATCTCAGTAACTTCCTTGTGTTGTGTGTATTCAACTGACAGAGTTGAACCTTCCTTTAGACAGAGCAGATTCGAAACACTCTTTTTCTGCAATTTGCAAGTGGAGACTTCAAGCGCTTTGAGGCCAAAGGCAGAAAAGGAAATATCTTCGTATAAAAACCCGACAGAATCATTCTCAGAAACTGCTCTGTGATGTGTGCGTTCAACTCACAGAGTTTAACTTTTCTTTTCATTCAGCAGTTTGGAAACACTCTGTTTGTAAAGTCTGCAAGTGGATATCTTGGCCTCTTACAGGCCTTCGTTGGAAACGGGTTTTATCATGTAAGGTTAGACAGAGGAATTCCCAGTAACTTCCTTGTGTTGTGTGCATTCAACTCACAGAGTTGAATGATTCTTTACACAGAGCAGATTTGAGACACTCTTTTGGTGGAATTTGTAAGTGGAGAATTCAGCCGCTTTGAGGTCAACGGTAGAAAAGGAAATATCTTCGTATAAAAACTAGACAGAATGATTCTCAGAAACTGTTTTGTGATGTGTGCGTTCAACTCACAGAGTTTAACCTTTCTTTTCAAAGAGCAGTTAGGAAACACTCTGTTTGTAAAGTCTGCAAGTGGATATTCAGACCTCTTTGAGGCCTTCGTTGGAAACGGGATTTCTTCATATTATGCTAGACAGATGAATTCTCAGTAACTTCCTTGTGTTGTGTGTATTCAACTCACAGAGTTGAACGATCCTTTACACAGAGCAGATTTGAAACACTGTTTTTCTGGAATTTGCAAGTGGAGATTTCAGCCGCTTTGAGGTCAATGGTAGAAAAGGAAATATCTTCGTATAAAAACTAGACAGAATGATTCTCAGAAACTCCTTTGTGATGTGTGCGTTCAACTCACAGGGTTTAACCTTTCTTTTCACAGAGCAGTTAGGAAACACTCTGTTTGTGAAGCCTGCCAGTGGATATTCGGACCTCTTTGAGGCCTTCGTTGGAAACGGGATTTCTTCATATTATGCTAGACAGAAGATTTCTCAGTAACTTCTTTGTGTTGTGTGTATGCAACTCACAGAGTTCAACCTTCCTTTAGACAGAGCAGATTTGAAACACTCTTTTTGTGGAATTTGCAAGTGGAGATTTCAAGCGCTTCGATGCCAATGGTAGAAAAGGAAATATCTTCGTATAAAAACAAGACAAACTCGTTCCCAGACACTGCGTAGTGATGTGTGTGTTTAACTCACAGAGTTTAACCTTTCTTTTCATACAGCATTCTGGAAACCCTGTGTTTGTAAAGTCTGCAAGTGGATATTTGGACCTCTTAGATGCCTTCGTTGGAAACGGGATTTCTTCATATAATGCTAGAGGGAAGAATTCTTAGTAACTTCTTTGTGTTGTGTGTATTCAACTGACAGAGTTGAACCTTCCTTTAGACAGAGCAGATTTGAAAGTCTCTTTCTGTGGAATTTGCAAGTGGAGATATCAAGCGCTTTGAGGCCAAAAGCAGAAAAGGAAATATTTTCCTATAAAAACTAGACAGAATCTTTCTCAGAAACTGCTCTGGGATGTGTGCGTTCAACTCACAGAGTTTAACTTTTCTTTTCATTCAGCAGTTTGGAAACACTCTGTTTGGAAAGTCTGCACGTGGATATTTTGACCTCTTTGAGGCCTTCGTTGGAAACGGGTTTTTTTCATGTAAGGCTAGACAGAAGAAATCTCAGTAACTTCCTTGTGTTGTGTGTATTCAACTGACAGAGTTGAACCTTCCTTTAGACAGAGCAGATTCGAAACACTCTTTTTCTGCAATTTGCAAGTGGAGACTTCAAGCGCTTTGAGGCCAAAGGCAGAAAAGGAAATATCTTCGTATAAAAACCCGACAGAATCATTCTCAGAAACTACTCTGTGATGTGTGCGTTCAACTCACAGAGTTTAACTTTTCTTTTCATTCAGCAGTTTGGAAACACTCTGTTTGTAAAGTCTGCAAGTGGATATCTTGGCCTCTTAGAGGCCTTCGTTGGAAACGGGTTTTTTCATGTAAGGTTAGACAGAGGAATTCCCAGTAACTTCCTTGTGTTGTGTGCATTCAACTCACAGAGTTGAATGATTCTTTACACAGAGCAGATTTGAGACACTCTTTTGGTGGAATTTGTAAGTGGAGAATTCAGCCGCTTTGAGGTCAACGGTAGAAAAGGAAATATCTTCGTATAAAAACTAGACAGAATGATTCTCAGAAACTGTTTTGTGATGTGTGCGTTCAACTCACAGAGTTTAACCTTTCTTTTCAAAGAGCAGTTAGGAAACACTCTGTTTGTAAAGTCTGCAAGTGGATATTCAGACCTCTTTGAGGCCTTCGTTGGAAACGGGATTTCTTCATATTATGCTAGACAGATGAATTCTCAGTAACTTCCTTGTGTTGTGTGTATTCAACTCACAGAGTTGAACGATCCTTTACACAGAGCAGATTTGAAACACTGTTTTTCTTGAATTTGCAAGTGGAGATTTCAGCTGCTTTGAGGTCAATGGTAGAAAAGGAAATATCTTCGTATAAAAACTAGACAGAATGATTCTCAGAAACTGTTTTGTGATGTGTGCGTTCAACTCACAGAGTTTAACCTTTCTTTTCACAGAGCAGTTAGGAAACACTCTGTTTGTGAAGCCTGCCAGTGGATATTCGGACCTCTTTGAGGCCTTCGTTGGAAACGGGATTTCTTCATATTATGCTAGACAGAAGATTTCTCAGTAACTTCTTTGTGTTGTGTGTATGCAACTCACAGAGTTCAACCTTCCTTTAGACAGAGCAGATTTGAAACACTCTTTTTGTGGAATTTGCAAGTGGAGATTTCAAGCGCTTCGATGCCAATGGTAGAAAAGGAAATATCTTCGTATAAAAACAAGACAAACTCGTTCCCAGACACTGCGTAGTGATGTGTGTGTTTAACTCACAGAGTTTCACCTTTCTTTTCATACAGCATTCTGGAAACCCTGTGTTTGTAAAGTCTGCAAGTGGATATTTGGACCTCTTAGATGCCTTCGTTGGAAACGGGATTTCTTCATATAATGCTAGAGGGAAGAATTCTTAGTAACTTCTTTGTGTTGTGTGTATTCAACTGACAGAGTTGAACCTTCCTTTAGACAGAGCAGATTTGAAAGTCTCTTTTTGTGGAATTTGCAAGTGGAGATTTCAAGCGCTTTGAGGCCAAAAGCAGAAAAGGAAGTATTTTCCTATAAAAACTCGACAGAATCTTTCTCAGAAACTGCTCTGGGATGTGTGCGTTCAACTCACAGAGTTTAACTTTTCTTTTCATTCAGCAGTTTGGAAACACTCTGTTTGGAAAGTCTGCACGTGGATATTTTGACCTCTTTGAGGCCTTTGTTGGAAACGGGTTTTTTTCATGTAAGGCTAGACAGAAGAAATCTCAGTAACTTCCTTGTGTTGTGTGTATTCAACTGACAGAGTTGAACCTTCCTTTAGACAGAGCAGATTCGAAACACTCTTTTTCTGCAATTTGCAAGTGGAGACTTCAAGCGCTTTGAGGCCAAAGGCAGAAAAGGAAATATCTTCGTATAAAAACCCGACAGAATCATTCTCAGAAACTGCTCTGTGATGTGTGCATTCAACTCACAGAGTTTAACTTTTCTTTTCATTCAGCAGTTTGGAAACACTCTGTTTGTAAAGTCTGCAAGTGGATATCTTGGCCTCTTAGAGGCCTTCGTTGGAAACGGGTTTTGTCATGTAAGGTTAGACAGAGGAATTCCCAGTAACTTCCTTGTGTTGTGTGCATTCAACTCACAGAGTTGAATGATTCTTTACACAGAGCAGATTTGAGACACTCTTTTGGTGGAATTTGTTAGTGGAGAATTCAGCCGCTTTGAGGTCAACGGTAGAAAAGGAAATATCTTCGTATAAAAACTAGACAGAATGATTCTCAGAAACTGTTTTGTGATGTGTGCGTTCAACTCACAGAGTTTAACCTTTCTTTTCAAAGAGCAGTTAGGAAACACTCTGTTTGTAAAGTCTGCAAGTGGATATTCAGACCTCTTTGAGGCCTTCGTTGGAAACGGGATTTCTTCATATTATGCTAGACAGATGAATTCTCAGTAACTTCCTTGTGTTGTGTGTATTCAACTCACAGAGTTGAACGATCCTTTACACAGAGCAGATTTGAAACACTGTTTTTCTGGAATTTGCAAGTGGAGATGTCAGCCGCTTTGAGGTCAATGGTAGAAAAGGAAATATCTTCGTATAAAAACTAGACAGAATGATTCTCAGAAACTCCTTTGTGATGTGTGCGTTCAACTCACAGAGTTTAACCTTTCTTTTCACAGAGCAGTTAGGAAACACTCTGTTTGTGAAGCCTGCCAGTGGATAATCGGACCTCTTTGAGGCCTTCGTTGGAAACGGGATTTCTTCATATTATGCTAGACAGAAGATTTCTCAGTAACTTCTTTGGGTTGTGTGTATGCAACTCACAGAGTTCAACCTTCCTTTAGACAGAGCAGATTTGAAACACTCTTTTTGTGGAATTTGCAAGTGGAGATTTCAAGCGCTTCGATGCCAATGGTAGAAAAGGAAATATCTTCGTATAAAAACAAGACAAACTCGTTCCCAGACACTGCGTAGTGATGTGTGTGTTTAACTCACAGAGTTTAACCTTTCTTTTCATACAGCATTCTGGAAACCCTCTGTTTGTAAAGTCTGCAAGTGGATATTTGGACCTCTTAGATGCCTTCGTTGGAAACGGGATTTCTTCATATAATGCTAGAGGGAAGAATTCTTAGTAACTTCTTTGTGTTGTGTGTATTCAACTGACAGAGTTGAACCTTCCTTTAGACAGAGCAGATTTGAAAGTCTCTTTCTGTGGAATTTGCAAGTGGAGATTTCAAGCGCTTTGAGGCCAAAAGCAGAAAAGGAAATATTTTCCTATAAAAACTCGACAGAATCTTTCTCAGAAACTGCTCTGGGATGTGTGCGTTCAACTCACAGAGTTTAACTTTTCTTTTCATTCAGCAGTTTGGAAACACTGTGTTTGGAAAGTCTGCACGTGGATATTTTGACCTCTTTGAGGCCTTCGTTGGAAACGGGTTTTTTTCATGTAAGGCTAGACAGAAGAAATCTCAGTAACTTCCTTGTGTTGTGTGTATTCAACTGACAGAGTTGAACCTTCCTTTAGACAGAGCAGATTCGAAACACTCTTTTTCTGCAATTTGCAAGTGGAGACTTCAAGCGCTTTGAGGCCAAAGGCAGAAAAGGAAATATCTTCGTATAAAAACCCGACAGAATCATTCTCAGAAACTGCTCTGTGATGTGTGCGTTCAACTCACAGAGTTTAACTTTTCTTTTCATTCAGCAGTTTGGAAACACTCTGTTTGTAAAGTCTGCAAGTGGATATCTTGGCCTCTTAGAGGCCTTCGTTGGAAACGGGTTTTTTCATGTAAGGTTAGACAGAGGAATTCCCAGTAACTTCCTTGTGTTGTGTGCATTCAACTCACAGAGTTGAATGATTCTTTACACAGAGCAGATTTGAGACACTCTTTTGGTGGAATTTGTAAGTGGAGAATTCAGCCGCTTTGAGGTCAACGGTAGAAAAGGAAATATCTTCGTATAAAAACTAGACAGAATGATTCTCAGAAACTGTTTTGTGATGTGTGCGTTCAACTCACAGAGTTTAACCTTTCTTTTCAAAGAGCAGTTAGGAAACACTCTGTAAAGTCTGCAAGTGGATATTCAGACCTCTTTGAGGCCTTCGTTGGAAACGGGATTTCTTCATATTATGCTAGACAGATGAATTCTCAGTAACTTCCTTGTGTTGTGTGTATTCAACTCACAGAGTTGAACGATCCTTTACACAGAGCAGATTTGAAACACTGTTTTTCTGGAATTTGCAAGTGGAGATGTCAGCCGCTTTGAGGTCAATGGTAGAAAAGGAAATATCTTCGTATAAAAACTAGACAGAATGATTCTCAGAAACTCCTTTGTGATGTGTGCGTTCAACTCACAGAGTTTAACCTTTCTTTTCACAGAGCAGTTAGGAAACACTCTGTTTGTGAAGCCTGCCAGTGGATATTCGGACCTCTTTGAGGCCTTCGTTGGAAACGGGATTTCTTCATATTATGCTAGACAGAAGATTTCTCAGTAACTTCTTTGTGTTGTGTGTATGCAACTCACAGAGTTCAACCTTCCTTTAGACAGAGCAGATTTGAAACACTCTTTTTGTGGAATTTGCAAGTGGAGATTTCAAGCGCTTCGATGCCAATGGTAGAAAAGGAAATATCTTCGTATAAAAACAAGACAAACTCGTTCCCAGACACTGCGTAGTGATGTGTGTGTTTAACTCACAGAGTTTAACCTTTCTTTTCATACAGCATTCTGGAAACCCTGTGTTTGTAAAGTCTGCAAGTGGATATTTGGACCTCTTAGATGCCTTCGTTGGAAACGGGATTTCTTCATATAATGCTAGAGGGAAGAATTCTTAGTAACTTCTTTGTGTTGTGTGTATTCAACTGACAGAGTTGAACCTTCCTTTAGACAGAGCAGATTTGAAAGTCTCTTTTTGTGGAATTTGCAAGTGGAGATTTCAAGCGCTTTGAGGCCAAAAGCAGAAAAGGAAATATTTTCCTATAAAAACTAGACAGAATCTTTCTCAGAAACTGCTCTGGGATGTGTGCGTTCAACTCACAGAGTTTAACTTTTCTTTTCATTCAGCAGTTTGGAAACACTCTGTTTGGAAAGTCTGCACGTGGATATTTTGACCTCTTTGAGGCCTTCGTTGGAAACGGGTTTTTTTCATGTAACGCTAGACAGAAGAAATCTCAGTAACTTCCTTGTGTTGTGTGTATTCAACTGACAGAGTTGAACCTTCCTTTAGACAGAGCAGATTCGAAACACTCTTTTTCTGCAATTTGCAAGTGGAGACTTCAAGCGCTTTGAGGCCAAAGGCAGAAAAGGAAATATCTTCGTATAAAAACCCGACAGAATCATTCTCAGAAACTGCTCTGTGATGTGTGCGTTCAACTCACAGAGTTTAACTTTTCTTTTCATTCAGCAGTTTGGAAACACTCTGTTTGTAAAGTCTGCAAGTGGATATCTTGGCCTCTTAGAGGCCTTCGTTGGAAATGGGTTTTTTCATGTAAGGTTAGACAGAGGAATTCCCAGTAACTTCCTTGTGTTGTGTGCATTCAACTCACAGAGTTGAATGATTCTTTACACAGAGCAGATTTGAGACACTCTTTTGGTGGAATTTGTAAGTGGAGAATTCAGCCGCTTTGAGGTCAACGGTAGAAAAGGAAATATCTTCGTATAAAAACTAGACAGAATGATTCTCAGAAACTGTTTTGTGATGTGTGCGTTCAACTCACAGAGTTTAACCTTTCTTTTCAAAGAGCAGTTAGGAAACACTCTGTTTGTAAAGTCTGCAAGTGGATATTCAGACCTCTTTGAGGCCTTCGTTGGAAACGGGATTTCTTCATATTATGCTAGACAGATGAATTCTCAGTAACTTCCTTGTGTTGTGTGTATTCAACTCACAGAGTTGAACGATCCTTTACACAGAGCAGATTTGAAACACTGTTTTTCTGGAATTTGCAAGTGGAGATTTCAGCCGCTTTGAGGTCAATGGTAGAAAAGGAAATATCTTCGTATAAAACCTAGACAGAATGATTCTCAGAAACTCCTTTGTGATGTGTGCGTTCAACTCACAGAGTTTAACCTTTCTTTTCACAGAGCAGTTAGGAAACACTCTGTTTGTGAAGCCTGCCAGGGGATATTCGGACCTCTTTGAGGCCTTCGTTGGAAACGGGATTTCTTCATATTATGCTAGACAGAAGATTTCTCAGTAACTTCTTTGTGTTGTGTGTATGCAACTCACAGAGTTCAACCTTCCTTTAGACAGAGCAGATTTGAAACACTCTTTTTGTGGAATTTGCAAGTGGAGATTTCAAGCGCTTCGATGCCAATGGTAGAAAAGGAAATATCTTCGTATAAAAACAAGACAAACTCGTTCCCAGACACTGCGTAGTGATGTGTGTGTTTAACTCACAGAGTTTAACCTTTCTTTTCATACAGCATTCTGGAAACCCTGTGTTTGTAAAGTCTGCAAGTGGATATTTGGACCTCTTAGATGCCTTCGTTGGAAACGGGATTTCTTCATATAATGCTAGAGGGAAGAATTCTTAGTAACTTCTTTGTGTTGTGTGTATTCAACTGACAGAGTTGAACCTTCCTTTAGACAGAGCAGATTTGAAAGTCTCTTTTTGTGGAATTTGCAAGTGGAGATTTCAAGCGCTTTGAGGCCAAAAGCAGAAAAGGAAATATTTTCCTATAAAAACTCGACAGAATCTTTCTCAGAAACTGCTCTGGGATGTGTGCGTTCAACTCACAGAGTTTAACTTTTCTTTTCATTCAGCAGTTTGGAAACACTCTGTTTGGAAAGTCTGCACGTGGATATTTTGACCTCTTTGAGGCCTTCGTTGGAAACGGGTTTTTTTCATGTAAGGCTAGACAGAAGAAATCTCAGTAACTTCCTTGTGTTGTGTGTATTCAACTGACAGAGTTGAACCTTCCTTTAGACAGAGCAGATTCGAAACACTCTTTTTCTGCAATTTGCAAGTGGAGACTTCAAGCGCTTTGAGGCCAAAGGCAGAAAAGGAAATATCTTCGTATAAAAACCCGACAGAATCATTCTCAGAAACTGCTCTGTGATATGTGCGTTCAACTCACAGAGTTTAACTTTTCTTTTCATTCAGCAGTTTGGAAACACTCTGTTTGTAAAGTCTGCAAGTGGATATCTTGGCCTCTTAGAGGCCTTCATTGGAAACGGGTTTTTTCATGTAAGGTTAGACAGAGGAATTCCCAGTAACTTCCTTGTGTTGTGTGCATTCAACTCACAGAGTTGAATGATTCTTTACACAGAGCAGATTTGAGACACTCTTTTGGTGGAATTTGTTAGTGGAGAATTCAGCCGCTTTGAGGTCAACGGTAGAAAAGGAAATATCTTCGTATAAAAACTAGACAGAATGATTCTCAGAAACTGTTTTGTGATGTGTGCGTTCAACTCACAGAGTTTAACCTTTCTTTTCAAAGAGCAGTTAGGAAACACTCTGTTTGTAAAGTCTGCAAGTGGATATTCAGACCTCTTTGAGGCCTTCGTTGGCAACGGGATTTCTTCATATTATGATAGACAGATGAATTCTCAGTAACTTCCTTGTGTTGTGTGTATTCAACTCACAGAGTTGAACGATCCTTTACACAGAGCAGATTTGAAACACTGTTTTTCTGGAATTTGCAAGTGGAGATTTCAGCCGCTTTGAGGTCAATGGTAGAAAAAGAAATATCTTCGTATAAAAACTAGACAGAATGATTCTCAGAAACTCCTTTGTGATGTGTGCGTTCAACTCACAGAGTTTAACCTTTCTTTTCACAGAGCAGTTAGGAAACACTCTGTTTGTGAAGCCTGCCAGTGGATATTCGGACCTCTTTGAGGCCTTCGTTGGAAACGGGATTTCTTCATATTATGCTAGACAGAAGATTTCTCAGTAACTTCTTTGTGTTGTGTGTATGCAACTCACAGAGTTCAACCTTCCTTTAGACAGAGCAGATTTGAAACACTCTTTTTGTGGAATTTGCAAGTGGAGATTTCAAGCGCTTCGATGCCAATGGTAGAAAAGGAAATATCTTCGTATAAAAACAAGACAAACTCGTTCCCAGACACTGCGTAGTGATGTGTGTGTTTAACTCACAGAGTTTCACCTTTCTTTTCATACAGCATTCTGGAAACCCTCTGTTTGTAAAGTCTGCAAGTGGATATTTGGACCTCTTAGATGCCTTCGTTGGAAACGGGATTTCTTCATATAATGCTAGAGGGAAGAATTCTTAGTAACTTCTTTGTGTTGTGTGTATTCAACTGACAGAGTTGAACCTTCCTTTAGACAGAGCAGATTTGAAAGTCTCTTTTTGTGGAATTTGCAAGTGGAGATTTCAAGCGCTTTGAGGCCAAAAGCAGAAAAGGAAGTATTTTCCTATAAAAACTCGACAGAATCTTTCTCAGAAACTGCTCTGGGACGTGTGCGTTCAACTCACAGAGTTTAACTTTTCTTTTCATTCAGCAGTTTGGAAACACTCTGTTTGGAAAGTCTGCACGTGGATATTTTGACCTCTTTGAGGCCTTTGTTGGAAACGGGTTTTTTTCATGTAAGGCTAGACAGAAGAAATCTCAGTAACTTCCTTGTGTTGTGTGTATTCAACTGACAGAGTTGAACCTTCCTTTAGACAGAGCAGATTCGAAACACTCTTTTTCTGCAATTTGCAAGTGGAGACTTCAAGCGCTTTGAGGCCAAAGGCAGAAAAGGAAATATCTTCGTATAAAAACCCGACAGAATCATTCTCAGAAACTGCTCTGTGATGTGTGCGTTCAACTCACAGAGTTTAACTTTTCTTTTCATTCAGCAGTTTGGAAACACTCTGTTTGTAAAGTCTGCAAGTGGATATCTTGGCCTCTTAGAGGCCTTCGTTGGAAACGGGTTTTTTCATGTAAGGTTAGACAGAGGAATTCCCAGTAACTTCCTTGTGTTGTGTGCATTCAACTCACAGAGTTGAATGATTCTTTACACAGAGCAGATTTGAGACACTCTTTTGGTGGAATTTGTAAGTGGAGAATTCAGCCGCTTTGAGGTCAACGGTAGAAAAGGAAATATCTTCGTATAAAAACTAGACAGAATGATTCTCAGAAACTGTTTTGTGATGTGTGCGTTCAACTCACAGAGTTTAACCTTTCTTTTCAAAGAGCAGTTAGGAAACACTCTGTTTGTAAAGTCTGCAAGTGGATATTCAGACCTCTTTGAGGCCTTCGTTGGAAACGGGATTTCTTCATATTATGCTAGACAGATGAATTCTCAGTAACTTCCTTGTGTTGTGTGTATTCAACTCACAGAGTTGAACGATCCTTTACACAGAGCAGATTTGAAACACTGTTTTTCTGGAATTTGCAAGTGGAGATTTCAGCCGCTTTGAGGTCAATGGTAGAAAAGGAAATATCTTCGTATAAAAACTAGACAGAATGATTCTCAGAAACTCCTTTGTGATGTGTGCGTTCAACTCACAGAGTTTAACCTTTCTTTTCACAGAGCAGTTAGGAAACACTCTGTTTGTGAAGCCTGCCAGTGGATATTCGGACCTCTTTGAGGCCTTCGTTGGAAACGGGATTTCTTCATATTATGCTAGACAGAAGATTTCTCAGTAACTTCTTTGTGTTGTGTGTATGCAACTCACAGAGTTCAACCTTCCTTTAGACAGAGCAGATTTGAAACACTCTTTTTGTGGAATTTGCAAGTGGAGATTTCAAGCGCTTCGATGCCAATGGTAGAAAAGGAAATATCTTCGTATAAAAACAAGACAAACTCGTTCCCAGACACTGCGTAGTGATGTGTGTGTTTAACTCACAGAGTTTAACCTTTCTTTTCATACAGCATTCTGGAAACCCTCTGTTTGTAAAGTCTGCAAGTGGATATTTGGACCTCTTAGATGCCTTCGTTGGAAACGGGATTTCTTCATATAATGCTAGAGGGAAGAATTCTTAGTAACTTCTTTGTGTTGTGTGTATTCAACTGACAGAGTTGAACCTTCCTTTAGACAGAGCAGATTTGAAAGTCTCTTTTTGTGGAATTTGCAAGTGGAGATTTCAAGCGCTTTGAGGCCAAAAGCAGAAAAGGAAATATTTTCCTATAAAAACTAGACAGAATCTTTCTCAGAAACTGCTCTGGGATGTGTGCGTTCAACTCACAGAGTTTAACTTTTCTTTTCATTCAGCAGTTTGGAAACACTCTGTTTGGAAAGTCTGCACGTGGATATTTTGACCTCTTTGAGGCCTTCGTTGGAAACGGGTGTTTTTCATGTAAGGCTAGACAGAAGAAATCTCAGTAACTTCCTTGTGTTGTGTGTATTCAACTGACAGAGTTGAACCTTCCTTTAGACAGAGCAGATTCGAAACACTCTTTTTCTGCAATTTGCAAGTGGAGACTTCAAGCGCTTTGAGGCCAAAGGCAGAAAAGGATATATCTTCGTATAAAAACCCGACAGAATCATTCTCAGAAACTGCTCTGTGATGTGTGCGTTCAACTCACAGAGTTTAACTTTTCTTTTCATTCAGCAGTTTGGAAACACTCTGTTTGTAAAGTCTGCAAGTGGATATCTTGGCCTCTTAGAGGCCTTCGTTGGAAACGGGTTTTTTCATGTAAGGTTAGACAGAGGAATTCCCAGTAACTTCCTTGTGTTGTGTGCATTCAACTCACAGAGTTGAATGATTCTTTACACAGAGCAGATTTGAGACACTCTTTGGGTGGAATTTGTAAGTGGAGAATTCAGCCGCTTTGAGGGCAACGGTAGAAAAGGAAATATCTTCGTATAAAAACTAGACAGAATGATTCTCAGAAACTGTTTTGTGATGTGTGCGTTCAACTCACAGAGTTTAACCTTTCTTTTCAAAGAGCAGTTAGGAAACACTCTGTAAAATCTGCAAGTGGATATTCAGACCTCTTTGAGGCCTTCGTTGGAAACGGGATTTCTTCATATAATGCTAGAGGGAAGAATTCTTAGTAACTTCTTTGTGTTGTGTGTATTGAACTGACAGAGTTGAACCTTCCTTTAGACAGAGCAGATTTGAAAGTCTCTTTTTGTGGAATTTGCAAGTGGAGATTTCAAGCGCTTTGAGGCCAAAAGCAGAAAGGGAAATATTTTCTTATAAAAACTAGAGAGAATCATTCTCAGAAACTGCTCTGTGATGTGTGTGTTCAACTCACAGAGTTTAACTTTCTTTTCATTCAGCAGTTTGGAAACACTCTGTTTGGAAAGTCTGCACGTGGATATTTTGACCTCTTTGAGGCCTTCGTTGGAAACGGGTTTTTTTCATGTAAGGCTAGACAGAAGAAATCTCAGTAACTTCCTTGTGTTGTGTGTATTCAACTGACAGAGTTGAACCTTCCTTTAGACAGAGCAGATTCGAAACGCTCTTTTTCTGCAATTTGCAAGTGGAGACTTCAAGCGCTTTGAGGCCAAAGGCAGAAAAGGAAATATCTTCGTATAAAAACCCGACAGAATCATTCTCAGAAACTGCTCTGTGATGTGTGCGTTCAACTCACAGAGTTTAACTTTTCTTTTCATTCAGCAGTTTGGAAACACTCTGTTTGTAAAGTCTGCAAGTGGATATCTTGGCCTCTTAGAGGCCTTCGTTGGAAACGCGTTTTTTCATGTAAGGTTAGACAGAGGAATTCCCAGTAACTTCCTTGTGTTGTGTGCATTCAACTCACAGAGTTGAATGATTCTTTACACAGAGCAGATTTGAGACACACTTTTGGTGGAATTTGTAAGTGGAGAATTCAGCCGCTTTGAGGTCAACGGTAGAAAAGGAAATATCTTCGTATAAAAACTAGAAAGAATGATTCTCAGAAACTGTTTTGTGATGTGTGCGTTCAACTCACAGAGTTTAACCTTTCTTTTCAAAGAGCAGTTAGGAAACACTCTGTTTGTAAAGTCTGCAAGTGGATATTCAGACCTCTTTGAAGCCTTCGTTGGAAACGGGATTTCATCATATTATGCTAGACAGATGAATTCTCAGTAACTTCCTTGTGTTGTGTGTATTCAACTCACAGAGTTGAACGATCCTTTACACAGAGCAGATTTGAAACACTGTTTTTCTGGAATTTGCAAGTGGAGATGTCAGCCGCTTTGAGGTCAATGGTAGAAAAGGAAATATCTTCGTATAAAAACTAGACAGAATGATTCTCAGAAACTCCTTTGTGATGTGTGCGTTCAACTCACAGAGTTTAACCTTTCTTTTCACAGAGCAGTTAGGAAACACTCTGTTTGTGAAGCCTGCCAGTGGATATTCGGACCTCCTTTGAGGCCTTCGTTGGAAACGGGATTTCTTCATATTATGCTAGACAGAAGATTTCTCAGTAACTTCTTTGGGTTGTGTGTATGCAACTCACAGAGTTCAACCTTCCTTTAGAGAGAGCATATTTGAAACACTCTTTTTGTGGAATTTGCAAGTGGAGATTTCAAGCGCTTCGATGCCAATGGTAGAAAAGGAAATATCTTCGTATAAAAACAAGACAAACTCGTTCCCAGACACTGCGTAGTGATGTGTGTGTTTAACTCACAGAGTTTCACCTTTCTTTTCATACAGCATTCTGGAAACCCTCTGTTTGTAAAGTCTGCAAGTGGATATTTAGACCTCTTAGATGCCTTCGTTGGAAACGGGATTTCTTCATATAATGCTAGAGGGAAGAATTCTTAGTAACTTCTTTGTGTTGTGTGTATTCAACTGACAGAGTTGAACCTTCCTTTAGACAGAGCAGATTTGAAAGTCTCTTTTTGTGGAATTTGCAAGTGGAGATTTCAAGCGCTTTGAGGCCAAAAGCAGAAAAGGAAATATTTTCCTATAAAAACTAGACAGAATCTTTCTCAGAAACTGCTCTGGGATGTGTGCGTTCAACTCACAGAGTTTAACTTTTCATTCAGCAGTTTGGAAACACTCTGTTTGGAAAGTCTGCACGTGGATATTTTGACCTCTTTGAGGCCTTCGTTGGAAACGGGTTTTTTTCATGTAAGGCTAGACAGAAGAAATCTCAGTAACTTCCTTGTGTTGTGTGTATTCAACTGACAGAGTTGAACCTTCCTTTAGACAGAGCAGATTCGAAACACTCTTTTTCTGCAATTTGCAAGTGGAGACTTCAAGCGCTTTGAGGCCAAAGGCAGAAAAGGAAATATCTTCGTATAAAAACCCGACAGAATCATTCTCAGAAACTGCTCTGTGATGTGTGCGTTCAACTCACAGAGTTTAACTTTTCTTTTCATTCAGCAGTTTGGAAACACTCTGTTTGTAAAGTCTGCAAGTGGATATCTTGGCCTCTTAGAGGCCTTCGTTGGAAACGGGTTTTTTCATGTAAGGTTAGACAGAGGAATTCCCAGTAACTTCCTTGTGTTGTGTGCATTCAACTCACAGAGTTGAATGATTCTTTACACAGAGCAGATTTGAGACACTCTTTGGGTGGAATTTGTAAGTGGAGAATTCAGCCGCTTTGAGGTCAACGGTAGAAAAGGAAATATCTTCGTATAAAAACTAGACAGAATGATTCTCAGAAACTGTTTTGTGATGTGTGCGTTCAACTCACAGAGTTTAACCTTTCTTTTCAAAGAGCAGTTAGGAAACACTCTGTAAAGTCTGCAAGTGGATATTCAGACCTCTTTGAGGCCTTCGTTGGAAACGGGATTTCTTCATATAATGCTAGAGGGAAGAATTCTTAGTAACTTCTTTGTGTTGTGTGTATTCAACTGACAGAGTTGAACCTTCCTTTTGACAGAGCAGATTTGAAAGTCTCTTTTTGTGGAATTTGCAAGTGGAGATTTCAAGCGCTTTGAGGCCAAAAGCAGAAAAGGAAGTATTTTCCTATAAAAACTAGAGAGAATCATTCTCAGAAACTGCTCTGTGATGTGTGTGTTCAACTCACAGAGTTTAACTTTCTTTTCATTCAGCAGTTTGGAAACACTCTGTTTGGAAACTCTGCACGTGGATATTTTGACCTCTTTGAGGCCTTCGTTGGAAACGGGTTTTTTTCATGTAAGGCTAGACAGAAGAAATCTCAGTAACTTCCTTGTGTTGTGTGTATTCAACTGACAGAGTTGAACCTTCCTTTAGACAGAGCAGATTCGAAACGCTCTTTTTCTGCAATTTGCAAGTGGAGACTTCAAGCGCTTTGAGGCCAAAGGCAGAAAAGGAAATATCTTCGTATAAAAACCCGACAGAATCATTCTCAGAAACTGCTCTGTGATGTGTGCGTTCAACTCACAGAGTTTAACTTTTCTTTTCATTCAGCAGTTTGGAAACACTCTGTTTGTAAAGTCTGCAAGTGGATATCTTGGCCTCTTAGAGGCCTTCGTTGGAAACGCGTTTTTTCATGTAAGGTTAGACAGAGGAATTCCCAGTAACTTCCTTGTGTTGTGTGCATTCAACTCACAGAGTTGAATGATTCTTTACACAGAGCAGATTTGAGACACTCTTTTGGTGGAATTTGTAAGTGGAGAATTCAGCCACTTTGAGGTCAACGGTAGAAAAGGAAATATCTTCGTATAAAAACTAGAAAGAATGATTCTCAGAAACTGTTTTGTGATGTGTGCGTTCAACTCACAGAGTTTAACCTTTCTTTTCAAAGAGCAGTTAGGAAACACTCTGTTTGTAAAGTCTGCAAGTGGATATTCAGACCTCTTTGAAGCCTTCGTTGGAAACGGGATTTCTTCATATTATGCTAGACAGATGAATTCTCAGTAACTTCCTTGTGTTGTGTGTATTCAACTCACAGAGTTGAACGATCCTTTACACAGAGCAGATTTGAAACACTGTTTTTCTGGAATTTGCAAGTGGAGATTTCAGCCGCTTTGAGGTCAATGGTAGAAAAGGAAATATCTTCGTATAAAAACTGGACAGAATGATTCTCAGAAACTCCTTTGTGATGTGTGCGTTCAACTCACAGAGTTTAACCTTTCTTTTCACAGAGCAGTTAGGAAACACTCTGTTTGTGAAGCCTGCCAGTGGATATTCGGACCTCTTTGAGGCCTTCGTTGGAAACGGGATTTCTTCATATTTTGCTAGACAGAAGATTTCTCAGTAACTTCTTTGTGTTGTGTGTATGCAACTCACAGAGTTCAACCTTCCTTTAGACAGAGCAGATTTGAAACACTCTTTTTGTGGAATTTGCAAGTGGAAATTTCAAGCGCATCGATGCCAATGGTAGAAAAGGAAATTTCTTCGTATAAAAACCAGACAAACTCGTTCCCAGACACTGCGTAGTGATGTGTGTGTTTAACTCACAGAGTTTAACCTTTCTTTTCATACAGCATTCTGGAAACCCTCTGTTTGTAAAGTCTGCAAGTGGATATTTGGACCTCTTAGATGCCTTCGTTGGAAACGGGATTTCTTCATATAATGCTAGAGGGAAGAATTCTTAGTAACTTCTTTGTGTTGTGTGTATTCAACTGACAGAGTTGAACCTTCCTTTAGACAGAGCAGATTTGAAAGTCTCTTTTTGTGGAATTTGCAAGTGGAGATTTCAAGCGCTTTGAGGCCAAAGGCAGAAAAGGAAATATCTTCGTATAAAAACCCGACAGAATCATTCTCAGAAACTGCTCTGTGATGTGTGCGTTCAACTCACAGAGTTTAACTTTTCTTTTCATTCAGCAGTTTGGAAACACTGTTTGGAAAGTCTGCACGTGGATATTTTGACCTCTTTGAGGCCTTCGTTGGAAACGGGTTTTTTTCATGTAAGGCTAGACAGAAGAAATCTCAGTAACTTCCTTGTGTTGTGTGTATTCAACTGACAGAGTTGAACCTTCCTTTAGACAGAGCAGATTCGAAACGCTCTTTTTCTGCAATTTGCAAGTGGAGACTTCAAGCGCTTTGAGGCCAAAGGCAGAAAAGGAAATATCTTCGTATAAAAACCCGACAGAATCATTCTCAGAAACTGCTCTGTGATGTGTGCGTTCAACTCACAGAGTTTAACTTTTCTTTTCATTCAGCAGTTTGGAAACACTCTGTTTGTAAAGTCTGCAAGTGGATATCTTGGCCTCTTAGAGGCCTTCGTTGGAAACGCGTTTTTTCATGTAAGGTTAGACAGAGGAATTCCCAGTAACTTCCTTGTGTTGTGTGCATTCAACCTCACAGAGTTGAATGATTCTTTACACAGAGCAGATTTGAGACACACTTTTGGTGGAATTTGTAAGTGGAGAATTCAGCCGCTTTGAGGTCAACGGTAGAAAAGGAAATATCTTCGTATAAAAACTAGAAAGAAAGATTCTCAGAAACTGTTTTGTGATGTGTGCGTTCAACTCACAGAGTTTAACCTTTCTTTTCAAAGAGCAGTTAAGAAACACTCTGTTTGTAAAGTCTGCAAGTGGATATTCATACCTCTTTGAGGCGTTCTTTGGAAACGGGATTTCTTCATATTATGCTAGACAGAAGAATTCTCAGTAACTTCCTTGTGTTGTGTGTATTCAACTCACAGAGTTGAACGATCTTTTACACAGAGCAGATTTGAAACACTCTTTTTCTGGAATTTGCAAGTGGATATTTCAGCCGCTTTGAGGTCAACGGTAGAAAAGGAAATATCTTCCTATAAAAACTAGACAGAATGATTCTCAGAAACTCCTTTGTGATGTGTGCGTTCAACTCACAGGAGTTTAACCTTTCTTTTCACAGAGCAGTTAGGAAACACTCTGTTTGTGAAGCCTGCCAGTGGATATGCGGACCTCTTTGAGGCCTTCGTTGGAAACGGGATTTCTTCATATTATGCTAGACAGATTTCTCAGTAACTACTTTGTGTTGTGTGTATGCAACTCACAGAGTTCATCCTTCCTTTAGACAGAGCAGATTTGAAACACTCTTTTTGTGGAATTTGCAAGTGGAGATTTCAAGCGCTTCGACGCCAATGGTCGAAAAGGAAATATATTCGTATAAAAACAAGACAAACTCGTTCCCAGACACTGCGTAGTGATGTGTGTGTTTAACTCACAGAGTTTCACCTTTCTTTTCATACAGCATTCTGGAAACCCTCTGTTTGTAAAGTCTGCAAGTGGATATTTGGACCTCTTAGATGCCTTCGTTGGAAACGGGATTTCTTCATATAATGCTAGAGGGAAGAATTCTTAGTAACTTCTTTGTGTTGTGTGTATTCAACTGACAGAGTTGAACCTTCCTTTAGACAGAGCAGATTTGAAAGTCTCTTTTTGTGGAATTTGCAAGTGGAGATTTCAAGCGCTTTGAGGCCAAAAGCAGAAAAGGAAATATTTTCCTATAAAAACTAGACAGAATCTTTCTCAGAAACTGCTCTGGGATGTGTGCGTTCAACTCACAGAGTTTAACTTTTCATTCAGCAGTTTGGAAACACTCTGTTTGGAAAGTCTGCACGTGGATATTTTGACCTCTTTGAGGCCTTCGTTGGAAACGGGTTTTTTTCATGTAAGGCTAGACAGAAGAAATCTCAGTAACTTCCTTGTGTTGTGTGTATTCAACTGACAGAGTTGAACCTTCCTTTAGACAGAGCAGATTCGAAACACTCTTTTTCTGCAATTTGCAAGTGGAGACTTCAAGCGCTTTGAGGCCAAAGGCAGAAAAGGAAATATCTTCGTATAAAAACCCGACAGAATCATTCTCAGAAACTGCTCTGTGATGTGTGCGTTCAACTCACAGAGTTTAACTTTTCTTTTCATTCAGCAGTTTGGAAACACTCTGTTTGTAAAGTCTGCAAGTGGATATCTTGGCCTCTTAGAGGCCTTCGTTGGAAACGGGTTTTTTCATGTAAGGTTAGACAGAGGAATTCCCAGTAACTTCCTTGTGTTGTGTGCATTCAACTCACAGAGTTGAATGATTCTTTACACAGAGCAGATTTGAGACACTCTTTTGGTGGAATTTATAAGTGGAGAATTCAGCCGCTTTGAGGTCAACGGTAGAAAAGGAAATATCTTCGTATAAAAACTAGACAGAATGATTCTCAGAAACTGTTTTGTGATGTGTGCGTTCAACTCACAGAGTTTAACCTTTCTTTTCAAAGAGCAGTTAGGAAACACTCTGTTTGTAAAGTCTGCAAGTGGATATTCAGACCTCTTTGAGGCCTTCGTTGGAAACGGGATTTCTTCATATTATGCTAGACAGATGAATTCTCAGTAACTTCCTTGTGTTGTGTGTATTCAACTCACAGAGTTGAACGATCCTTTACACAGAGCAGATTTGAAACACTGTTTTTCTGGAATTTGCAAGTGGAGATTTCAGCCGCTTTGAGGTCAATGGTAGAAAAAGAAATATCTTCGTATAAAAACTAGACAGAATGATTCTCAGAAACTCCTTTGTGATGTGTGCGTTCAACTCACAGAGTTTAACCTTTCTTTTCACAGAGCAGTTAGGAAACACTCTGTTTGTGAAGCCTGCCAGTGGATATTCGGACCTCTTTGAGGCCTTCGTTGGAAACGGGATTTCTTCATATTATGCTAGACAGAAGATTTCTCAGTAACTTCTTTGTGTTGTGTGTATGCAACTCACAGAGTTCAACCTTCCTTTAGACAGAGCAGATTTGAAACACTCTTTTTGTGGAATTTGCAAGTGGAGATTTCAAGCGCTTCGATGCCAATGGTAGAAAAGGAAATATCTTCGTATAAAAACAAGACAAACTCGTTCCCAGACACTGCGTAGTGATGTGTGTGTTTAACTCACAGAGTTTAACCTTTCTTTTCATACAGCATTCTGGAAACCCTGTGTTTGTAAAGTCTGCAAGTGGATATTTGGACCTCTTAGATGCCTTCGTTGGAAACGGGATTTCTTCATATAATGCTAGAGGGAAGAATTCTTAGTAACTTCTTTGTGTTGTGTGTATTCAACTGACAGAGTTGAACCTTCCTTTAGACAGAGCAGATTTGAAAGTCTCTTTTTGTGGAATTTGCAAGTGGAGATTTCAAGCGCTTTGAGGCCAAAAGCAGAAAAGGAAATATTTTCCTATAAAAACTCGACAGAATCTTTCTCAGAAACTGCTCTGGGATGTGTGCGTTCAACTCACAGAGTTTAACTTTTCTTTTCATTCAGCAGTTTGGAAACACTCTGTTTGGAAAGTCTGCACGTGGATATTTTGACCTCTTTGAGGCCTTCGTTGGAAACGGGTGTTTTTCATGTAAGGCTAGACAGAAGAAATCTCAGTAACTTCCTTGTGTTGTGTGTATTCAACTGACAGAGTTGAACCTTCCTTTAGACAGAGCAGATTCGAAACACTCTTTTTCTGCAATTTGCAAGTGGAGACTTCAAGCGCTTTGAGGCCAAAGGCAGAAAAGGATATATCTTCGTATAAAAACCCGACAGAATCATTCTCAGAAACTGCTCTGTGATGTGTGCGTTCAACTCACAGAGTTTAACTTTTCTTTTCATTCAGCAGTTTGGAAACACTCTGTTTGTAAAGTCTGCAAGTGGATATCTTGGCCTCTTAGAGGCCTTCATTGGAAACGGGTTTTTTCATGTAAGGTTAGACAGAGGAATTCCCAGTAACTTCCTTGTGTTGTGTGCATTCAACTCACAGAGTTGAATGATTCTTTACACAGAGCAGATTTGAGACACTCTTTGGGTGGAATTTGTAAGTGGAGAATTCAGCCGCTTTGAGGGCAACGGTAGAAAAGGAAATAACTTCGTATAAAAACTAGACAGAATGATTCTCAGAAACTGTTTTGTGATGTGTGCGTTCAACTCACAGAGTTTAAACTTTCTTTTCAAAGAGCAGTTAGGAAACACTCTGTTTGTAAAGTCTGCAAGTGGATATTCAGACCTCTTTGAGGCCTTCGTTGGAAACGGGATTTCTTCATATTATGCTAGACAGATGAATTCTCAGTAACTTCCTTGTGTTGTGTGTATTCAACTCACAGAGTTAAACGATCCTTTACACACAGCAGATTTGAAACACTGTTTTTCTGGAATTTGCAAGTGGAGATTTCAGCCGATTTGAGGTCAATGGTAGAAAAGGAAATATCTTCGTATAAAAACTAGACAGAATGATTCTCAGAAACTCCTTTGTGATGTGTGCGTTCAACTCACAGAGTTTAACCTTTCTTTTCACAGAGCAGTTAGGAAACACTCTGTTTGTGAAGCCTGCCAGTGGATATTCGGACCTCTTTTAGGCCTTCGTTGGAAACGGGATTTCTTCATATTATGCTATTCAGAAGATTTCTCAGTAACTTCTTTGTGTTGTGTGTATGCAACTCACAGAGTTCAACCTTCCTTTAGACAGAGCAGATTTGAAACACTCTTTTTGTGGAATTTGCAAGTGGAGATTTCAAGCGCTTCGATGCCAATGGTAGAAAAGGAAATATCTTCGTATAAAAACAAGACAAACTCGTTCCCAGACACTGCGTAGTGATGTGTGTGTTTAACTCACAGAGTTTAACCTTTCTTTTCATACAGCATTCTGGAAACCCTGTGTTTGTAAAGTCTGCAAGTGGATATTTGGACCTCTTAGATGCCTTCGTTGGAAACGGGATTTCTTCATATAATGCTAGAGGGAAGAATTCTTAGTAACTTCTTTGTGTTGTGTGTATTCAACTGACAGAGTTGAACCTTCCTTTAGACAGAGCAGATTTGAAAGTCTCTTTTTGTGGAATTTGCAAGTGGAGATTTCAAGCGCTTTGAGGCCAAAAGCAGAAAAGGAAATATTTTCCTATAAAAACTCGACAGAATCTTTCTCAGAAACTGCTCTGGGATGTGTGCGTTCAACTCACAGAGTTTAACTTTTCTTTTCATTCAGCAGTTTGGAAACACTCTGTTTGGAAAGTCTGCACGTGGATATTTTGACCTCTTTGAGGCCTTCGTTGGAAACGGGTTTTTTTCATGTAAGGCTAGACAGAAGAAATCTCAGTAACTTCCTTGTGTTGTGTGTATTCAACTGACAGAGTTGAACCTTCCTTTAGACAGAGCAGATTCGAAACACTCTTTTTCTGCAATTTGCAAGTGGAGACTTCAAGCGCTTTGAGGCCAAAGGCAGAAAAGGAAATATCTTTGTATAAAAACCCGACAGAATCATTCTCAGAAACTGCTCTGTGATGTGTGCGTTCAACTCACAGAGTTTAACTTTTCTTTTCATTCAGCAGTTTGGAAACACTCTGTTTGTAAAGTCTGCAAGTGGATATCTTGGCCTCTTAGAGGCCTTCGTTGGAAACGGGTTTTTTCATGTAAGGTTAGACAGAGGAATTCCCAGTAACTTCCTTGTGTTGTGTGCATTCAACTCACAGAGTTGAATGATTCTTTACACAGAGCAGATTTGAGACACTCTTTTGGTGGAATTTGTAAGTGGAGAATTCAGCCGCTTTGAGGTCAACGGTAGAAAAGGAAATATCTTCGTATAAAAACTAGACAGAATGATTCTCAGAAACTGTTTTGTGATGTGTGCGTTCAACTCACAGAGTTTAACCTTTCTTTTCAAAGAGCAGTTAGGAAACACTCTGTTTGTAAAGTCTGCAAGTGGATATTCAGACCTCTTTGAGGCCTTCGTTGGAAACGGGATTTCTTCATATTATGCTAGACAGAAGAATTCTCAGTAACTTCCTTGTGTTGTGTGTATTCAACTCACAGAGTTGAACGATCCTTTACACAGAGCAGATTTGAAACACTCTTTTTCTGGAATTTGCAAGTGGAGATTTCAGCCGTTTTGGGGTCAATGGTAGAAAAGGAAATATCTTCGTATAAAAACTAGACAGAATGATTCTCAGAAACTCCTTTGTGATGTGTGCGTTCAACTCACAGAGTTTAACCTTTCTATTCACAGAGCAGTTAGGAAACACTCTGTTTGTGAAGTCTGCCAGTGGATATTCGGACCTCTTTGAGGCCTTCGTTGGAAACGGGATTTCTTCATATTATGCTAGACAGATTTCTCAGTAACTACTTTGTGTTGTGTGTATGCAACTCACAGAGTTCATCCTTCCCTTAGACAGAGCAGATTTGAAACACTCTTTTTGTGGAATTTGCAAGTGGAGATTTCAAGCGCTTCGACGCCAATGGTAGAAAAGGAAATATCTTCGTATAAAAACAAGACAAAATCATTCCCAGAAACTGCGCAGTGATGTGTGTGTTTAACTCACAGAGTTAAAACTTTCTTTTCATACAGAATTCTGGAAACCCTCTGTTTGTAAAGTCTGCAAGTGGATATTTGGACCTCTTAGATGCCTTCGTTGGAAATGGGAAGTCGTCATATAATGGTAGAGGGAAGAATTCTCAGTAACTTCTTTGTCTTGTGTGTATTCAACTGACAGAGTTGAACCTTCCTTTAGACAGAGCAGATTTGAAAGTCTCTTTTTGTGGAATTTGCAAGTGGAGACTTCAAGCGCTTTGAGGCCAAAGGCAGAAAAGGAAATATCTTCGTATAAAAACCCGACAGAATCATTCTCAGAAACTGCTCTGTGATGTGTGCGTTCAACTCACAGAGTTTAACTTTTCTTTTCATTCAGCAGTTTGGAAACACTCTGTTTGTAAAGTCTGCAAGTGGATATCTTGGCCTCTTAGAGGCCTTCGTTGGAAACGGGTTTTTTCATGTAAGGTTAGACAGAGGAATTCCCAGTATCTTCCTTGTGTTGTGTGCATTCAACTCACAGAGTTGAATGATTCTTTACACAGAGCAGATTTGAGACACTCTTTGGGTGGAATTTGTAAGTGGAGAATTCAGCCGCTTTGAGGTCAACGGTAGAAAAGGAAATATCTTCGTATAAAAACTAGACAGAATGATTCTCAGAAACTGTTTTGTGATGTGTGCGTTCAACTCACAGAGTTTAACCTTTCTTTTCAAAGAGCAGTTAGGAAACACTCTGTAAAGTCTGCAAGTGGATATTCAGACCTCTTTGAGGCCTTCTTTGGAAACGGGATTTCTTCATATAATGCTAGAGGGAAGAATTCTTAGTAACTTCTTTGTGTTGTGTGTATTGAACTGACAGAGTTGAACCTTCCTTTAGACAGAGCAGATTTGAAAGTCTCTTTTTGTGGAATTTGCAAGTGGAGATTTCAAGCACTTTGAGGCCAAAAGCAGAAAAGGAAATATTTTCCTATAAAAACTAGAGAGAATCATTCTCAGAAACTGCTCTGTGATGTGTGTGTTCAACTCACAGAGTTTAACTTTCTTTTCATTCAGCAGTTTGGAAACACTCTGTTTGGAAAGTCTGCACGTGGATATTTTGACCTCTTTGAGGCCTTCGTTGGAAACGGGTTTTTTTCATGTAAGGCTAGACAGAAGAAATCTCAGTAACTTCCTTGTGTTGTGTGTATTCAACTGACAGAGTTGAACCTTCCTTTAGACAGAGCAGATTCGAAACGCTCTTTTTCTGCAATTTGCAAGTGGAGACTTCAAGCGCTTTGCGGCCAAAGGCAGAAAAGGAAATATCTTCGTATAAAAACCCGACAGAATCATTCTCAGAAACTGCTCTGTGATGTGTGCGTTCAACTCACAGAGTTTAACTTTTCTTTTCATTCAGCAGTTTGGAAACACTCTGTTTGTAAAGTCTGCAAGTGGATATCTTGGCCTCTTAGAGGCCTTCGTTGGAAACGCGTTTTTTCATGTAAGGTTAGACAGAGGAATTCCCAGTAACTTCCTTGTGTTGTGTGCATTCAACTCACAGAGTTGAATGATTCTTTACACAGAGCAGATTTGAGACACTCTTTTGGTGGAATTTGTAAGTGGAGAATTCAGCCGCTTTGAGGTCAACGGTAGAAAAGGAAATATCTTCGTATAAAAACTAGACAGAATGATTCTCAGAAACTGTTTTGTGATGTGTGCGTTCAACTCACAGAGTTTAACCTTTCTTTTCAAAGAGCAGTTAGGAAACACTCTGTTTGTAAAGTCTGCAAGTGGATATTCAGACCTCTTTGAGGCCTTCGTTGGAAACGGGATTTCTTCATATTATGCTAGACAGATGAATTCTCAGTAACTTCCTTGTGTTGTGTGTATTCAACTCACAGAGTTGAACGATCCTTTACACAGAGCAGATTTGAAACACTGTTTTTCTGGAATTTGCAAGTGGAGATTTCAGCCGCTTTGAGGTCAATGGTAGAAAAGGAAATATCTTCGTATAAAAACTAGACGAGAATGATTCCTCAGAAACTCCTTTGTGATGTGTGCGTTCAACTCACAGAGTTTAACCTTTCTTTTCACAGAGCAGTTAGGAAACACTCTGTTTGTGAAGCCTGCCAGTGGATATTCGGACCTCTTTGAGGCCTTCGTTGGAAACGGGATTTCTTCATATTATGCTAGACAGAAGATTTCTCAGTAACTTCTTTGTGTTGTGTGTATGCAACTCACAGAGTTCAACCTTCCTTTAGACAGAGCAGATTTGAAACACTCTTTTTGTGGAATTTGCAAGTGGAGATTTCAAGCGCTTCGATGCCAATGGTAGAAAAGGAAATATCTTCGTATAAAAACAAGACAAACTCGTTCCCAGACACTGCGTAGTGATGTGTGTGTTTAACTCACAGAGTTTAACCTTTCTTTTCATACAGCATTCTGGAAACCCTGTGTTTGTAAAGTCTGCAAGTGGATATTTGGACCTCTTAGATGCCTTCGTTGGAAACGGGATTTCTTCATATAATGCTAGAGGGAAGAATTCTTAGTAACTTCTTTGTGTTGTGTGTATTCAACTGACAGAGTTGAACCTTCCTTTAGACAGAGCAGATTTGAAAGTCTCTTTTTGTGGAATTTGCAAGTGGAGATTTCAAGCGCTTTGAGGCCAAAAGCAGAAAAGGAAATATTTTCCTATAAAAACTAGACAGAATCTTTCTCAGAAACTGCTCTGGGATGTGTGCGTTCAACTCACAGAGTTTAACTTTTCTTTTCATTCAGCAGTTTGGAAACACTCTGTTTGGAAAGTCTGCACGTGGATATTTTGACATCTTTGAGGCCTTCGTTGGAAACGGGTTTTTTTCATGTAAGGCTAGACAGAAGAAATCTCAGTAACTTCCTTGTGTTGTGTGTATTCAACTGACAGAGTTGAACCTTCCTTTAGACAGAGCAGATTCGAAACACTCTTTTTCTGCAATTTGCAAGTGGAGACTTCAAGCGCTTTGAGGCCAAAGGCAGAAAAGGAAATATCTTCGTATAAAAACCCGACAGAATCATTCTCAGAAACTGCTCTGTGATGTGTGCGTTCAACTCACAGAGTTTAACTTTTCTTTTCATTCAGCAGTTTGGAAACACTCTGTTTGTAAAGTCTGCAAGTGGATATCTTGGCCTCTTAGAGGCCTTCGTTGGAAACGGGTTTTTTCATGTAAGGTTAGACAGAGGAATTCCCAGTAACTTCCTTGTGTTGTGTGCATTCAACTCACAGAGTTGAATGATTCTTTACACAGAGCAGTTTTGAGACACTCTTTTGGTGGAATTTGTAAGTGGAGAATTCAGCCGCTTTGAGGTCAACGGTAGAAAAGGAAATATCTTCGTATAAAAACTAGACAGAATGATTCTCAGAAACTGTTTTGTGATGTGTGCGTTCAACTCACAGAGTTTAACCTTTCTTTTCAAAGAGCAGTTAGGAAACACTCTGTAAAGTCTGCAAGTGGATATTCAGACCTCTTTGAGGCCTTCGTTGGAAACGGGATTTCTTCATATTATGCTAGACAGATGAATTCTCAGTAACTTCCTTGTGTTGTGTGTATTCAACTCACAGAGTTGAACGATCCTTTACACAGAGCAGATTTGAAACACTGTTTTTCTGGAATTTGCAAGTGGAGATTTCAGCCGCTTTGAGGTCAATGGTAGAAAAGGAAATATCTTCGTATAAAAACTAGACAGAATGATTCTCAGAAACTCCTTTGTGATGTGTGCGTTCAACTCACAGAGTTTAACCTTTCTTTTCACAGAGCAGTTAGGAAACACTCTGTTTGTGAAGCCTGCCAGTGGATAATCGGACCTCTTTGAGGCCTTCGTTGGAAACGGGATTTCTTCATATTATGCTAGACAGAAGATTTCTCAGTAACTTCTTTGTGTTGTGTGTATGCAACTTACAGAGTTCAACCTTCCTTTAGAGAGAGCATATTTGAAACACTCTTTTTGTGGAATTTGCAAGTGGAGATTTCAAGCGCTTCGATGCAAATGGTAGAAAAGGAAATATCCTTCGTATAAAAACAAGACAAACTCGTTCCCAGACACTGAGTAGTGATGTGTGTGTTTAACTCACAGAGTTTAACCTTTCTTTTCATACAGCATTCTGGAAACCCTCTGTTTGTAAAGTCTGCAAGTGGATATTTGGACCTCTTAGATGCCTTCTTTGGAAACGGGATTTCTTCATATAATGCTAGAGGGAAGAATTCTTAGTAACTTCTTTGTGTTGTGTGTATTCAACTGACAGAGTTGAACCTTCCTTTAGACAGAGCAGATTTGAAAGTCTCTTTTTCTGGAATTTGCAAGTGGAGATTTGAAGCGCTTTGAGGCCAAAAGCAGAAAAGGAAATATTTTCCTATAAAAACTAGACAGAATCTTTCTCAGAAACTGCTCTGGGATGTGTGCGTTCAACTCACAGAGTTTAACTTTTCTTTTCATTCAGCAGTTTGGAAACACTCTGTTTGGAAAGTCTGCACGTGGATATTTTGACCTCTTTGAGGCCTTCGTTGGAAACGGGTTTTTTTCATGTAAGGCTAGACAGAAGAAATCTCAGTAACTTCCTTGTGTTGTGTGTATTCAACTGACAGAGTTGAACCTTCCTTTAGACAGAGCAGATTCGAAACACTCTTTTTCTGCAATTTGCACGTGGAAACTTCAAGCGCTTTGAGGCCAAAGGCAGAAAAGGAAATATCTTCGTATAAAAACCCGACAGAATCACTCTCAGAAACTGCTCTGTGATGTGTGCGTTCAACTCACAGAGTTTAACTTTTCTTTTCATTCAGCAGTTTGGAAACACTCTGTTTGTAAAGTCTGCAAGTGGATATCTTGGCCTCTTAGAGGCCTTCGTTGGAAACGGGTTTTTTCATGTAAGGATAGACAGAGGAATTCCCAGTAACTTCCTTGTGTTGTGTGCATTCAACTCACAGAGTTGAATGATTCTTTACACAGAGCAGATTTGAGACACTCTTTTGGTGGAATTTGTAAGTGGAGAATTCAGCCGCTTTGAGGTCAACGGTAGAAAAGGAAATATCTTCGTATAAAAACTAGACAGAATGATTCTCAGAAACTGTTTTGTGATGTGTGCGTTCAACTCACAGAGTTTAACCTTTCTTTTCAAAGAGCAGTTAGGAAACACTCTGTTTGTAAAGTCTGCAAGTGGATATTCAGACCTCTTTGAGGCCTTCGTTGGAAACGGGATTTCTTCATATTATGCTAGACAGATGAATTCTCAGTAACTTCCTTGTGTTGTGTGTATTCAACTCACAGAGTTGAACGATCCTTTACACAGAGCAGATTTGAAACACTGTTTTTCTGGAATTTGCAAGTGGAGATTTCAGCCGCTTTGAGGTCAATGGTAGAAAAGGAAATATCTTCGTATAAAAACTAGACAGAATGATTCTCAGAAACTCCTTTGTGATGTGTGCGTTCAACTCACAGAGTTTAACCTTTCTTTTCACAGAGCAGTTAGGAAACACTCTGTTTGTGAAGCCTGCCAGTGGATATTCGGACCTCTTTGAGGCCTTCGTTGGAAACGGGATTTCTTCATATTATGCTAGACAGAAGATTTCTCAGTAACTTCTTTGGGTTGTGTGTATGCAACTCACAGAGTTCAACCTTCCTTTAGACAGAGCAGATTTGAAACACTCTTTTTGTGGAATTTGCAAGTGGAGATTTCAAACGCTTCGATGCCAATGGTAGAAAAGGAAATATCTTCGTATAAAAACAAGACAAACTCGTTCCCAGACACTGCGTAGTGATGTGTGTGTTTAACTCACAGAGTTTCACCTTTCTTTTCATACAGCATTCTGGAAACCGTGTGTTTGTAAAGTCTGCAAGTGGATATTTGGACCTCTTAGATGCCTTCGTTGGAAACGGGATTTCTTCATATAATGCTAGAGGGAAGAATTCTTAGTAACTTCTTTGTGTTGTGTGTATTCAACTGACAGAGTTGAACCTTCCTTTAGACAGAGCAGATTTGAAAGTCTCTTTTTGTGGAATTTGCAAGTGGAGATTTCAAGCGCTTTGAGGCCAAAAGCAGAAAAGGAAATATTTTCCTATAAAAACTCGACAGAATCTTTCTCAGAAACTGCTCTGGGATGTGTGCGTTCAACTCACAGAGTTTAACTTTTCTTTTCATTCAGCAGTTTGGAAACACTCTGTTTGGAAAGTCTGCACGTGGATATTTTGACCTCTTTGAGGCCTTCGTTGGAAACGGGTTTTTTTCATGTAAGGCTAGACAGAAGAAATCTCAGTAACTTCCTTGTGTTGTGTGTATTCAACTGACAGAGTTGAACCTTCCTTTAGACAGAGCAGATTCGAAACACTCTTTTTCTGCAATTTGCAAGTGGAGACTTCAAGCGCTTTGAGGCCAAAGGCAGAAAAGGAAATATCTTCGTATAAAAACCCGACAGAATCATTCTCAGAAACTGCTCTGTGATGTGTGCGTTCAACTCACAGAGTTTAACTTTTCTTTTCATTCAGCAGTTTGGAAACACTCTGTTTGTAAAGTCTGCAAGTGGATATCTTGGCCTCTTAGAGGCCTTCGTTGGAAACGTGTTTTTTCATGTAAGGTTAGACAGAGGAATTCCCAGTAACTTCCTTGTGTTGTGTGCATTCAACTCACAGAGTTGAATGATTCTTTACACAGAGCAGATTTGAGACACTCTTTTGGTGGAATTTGTAAGTGGAGAATTCAGCCGCTTTGAGGTCAACGGTAGAAAAGGAAATATCTTCGTATAAAAACTAGACAGAATGATTCTCAGAAACTGTTTTGTGATGTGTGCGTTCAACTCACAGAGTTTAACCTTTCTTTTCAAAGAGCAGTTAGGAAACACTCTGTTTGTAAAGTCTGCAAGTGGATATTCAGACCTCTTTGAGGCCTTCGTTGGAAACGGGATTTCTTCATATTATGCTAGACAGATGAATTCTCAGTAACTTCCTTGTGTTGTGTGTATTCAACTCACAGAGTTGAACGATCCTTTACACAGAGCAGATTTGAAACACTGTTTTTCTGGAATTTGCAAGTGGAGATTTCAGCCGCTTTGAGGTCAATGGTAGAAAAGGAAATATCTTCGTATAAAAACTAGACAGAATGATTCTCAGAAACTCCTTTGTGATGTGTGCGTTCAACTCACAGAGTTTAACCTTTCTTTTCACAGAGCAGTTAGGAAACACTCTGTTTGTGAAGCCTGCCAGTGGATATTCGGACCTCTTTGAGGCCTTCGTTGGAAACGGGATTTCTTCATATTATGCTAGACAGAAGATTTCTCAGTAACTTCTTTGTGTTGTGTGTATGCAACTCACAGAGTTCAACCTTCCTTTAGACAGAGCAGATTTGAAACACTCTTTTTGTGGAATTTGCAAGTGGAGATTTCAAGCGCTTCGATGCCAATGGTAGAAAAGGAAATATCTTCGTATAAAAACAAGACAAACTCGTTCCCAGACACTGCGTAGTGATGTGTGTGTTTAACTCACAGAGTTTCACCTTTCTTTTCATACAGCATTCTGGAAACCCTCTGTTTGTAAAGTCTGCAAGTGGATATTTGGACCTCTTAGATGCCTTCGTTGCAAACGGGATTTCTTCATATAATGCTAGAGGGAAGAATTCTTAGTAACTTCTTTGTGTTGTGTGTATTCAACTGACAGAGTTGAACCTTCCTTTAGACAGAGCAGATTTGAAAGTCTCTTTTTGTGGAATTTGCAAGTGGAGATTTCAAGCGCTTTGAGGCCAAAAGCAGAAAAGGAAATATTTTCCTATAAAAACTCGACAGAATCTTTCTCAGAAACTGCTCTGGGATGTGTGCGTTCAACTCACAGAGTTTAACTTTTCTTTTCATTCAGCAGTTTGGAAACACTCTGTTTGGAAAGTCTGCACGTGGATATTTTGACCTCTTTGAGGCCTTCGTTGGAAACGGGTTTTTTTCATGTAAGGCTAGACAGAAGAAATCTCAGTAACTTCCTTGTGTTGTGTGTATTCAACTGACAGAGTTGAACCTTCCTTTAGACAGAGCAGATTCGAAACACTCTTTTTCTGCAATTTGCAAGTGGAGACTTCAAGCGCTTTGAGGCCAAAGGCAGAAAAGGAAATATCTTCGTATAAAAACCCGACAGAATCATTCTCAGAAACTGCTCTGTGATGTGTGCGTTCAACTCACAGAGTTTAACTTTTCTTTTCATTCAGCAGTTTGGAAACACTCTGTTTGTAAAGTCTGCAAGTGGATATCTTGGCCTCTTAGAGGCCTTCGTTGGAAACGGGTTTTTTCATGTAAGGATACACACAGGAATTCCCAGTAACTTCCTTGTGTTGTGTGCATTCAACTCACAGAGTTGAATGATTCTTTACACAGAGCAGTTTTGAGACACTCTTTTGGTGGAATTTGTAAGTGGAGAATTCAGCCGCTTTGAGGTCAACGGTAGAAAAGGAAATATCTTCGTATAAAAACTAGACAGAATGATTCTCAGAAACTGTTTTGTGATGTGTGCGTTCAACTCACAGAGTTTAACCTTTCTTTTCAAAGAGCAGTTAGGAAACACTCTGTTTGTAAAGTCTGCAAGAGGATATTCAGACCTCTTTGAGGCCTTCGTTGGAAACGGGATTTCTTCATATTATGCTAGACAGATGAATTCTCAGTAACTTCCTTGTGTTGTGTGTATTCAACTCACAGAGTTGAACGATCCTTTACACAGAGCAGATTTGAAACACTGTTTTTCTGGAATTTGCAAGTGGAGATTTCAGCCGCTTTGAGGTCAATGGTAGAAAAGGAAATATCTTCGTATAAAAACTAGACAGAATGATTCTCAGAAACTCCTTTGTGATGTGTGCGTTCAACTCACAGAGTTTAACCTTTCTTTTCACAGAGCAGTTAGGAAACACTCTGTTTGTGAAGCCTGCCAGTGGATATTCGGACCTCTTTGAGGCCTTCGTTGGAAACGGGATTTCTTCATATTATGCTAGACAGAAGATTTCTCAGTAACTTCTTTGGGTTGTGTGTATGCAACTCACAGAGTTCAACCTTCCTTTAGACAGAGCAGATTTGAAACACTCTTTTTGTGGAATTTGCAAGTGGAGATTTCAAGCGCTTCGATGCCAATGGTAGAAAAGGAAATATCTTCGTATAAAAACAAGACAAACTCGTTCCCAGACACTGCGTAGTGATGTGTGTGTTTAACTCACAGAGTTTAACCTTTCTTTTCATACAGCATTCTGGAAACCCTGTGTTTGTAAAGTCTGCAAGTGGATATTTGGACCTCTTAGATGCCTTCGTTGGAAACGGGATTTCTTCATATAATGCTAGAGGGAAGAATTCTTAGTAACTTCTTTGTGTTGTGTGTATTCAACTGACAGAGTTGAACCTTCCTTTAGACAGAGCAGATTTGAAAGTCTCTTTCTGTGGAATTTGCAAGTGGAGATTTCAAGCGCTTTGAGGCCAAAAGCAGAAAAGGAAATATTTTCCTATAAAAACTCGACAGAATCTTTCTCAGAAACTGCTCTGGGATGTGTGCGTTCAACTCACAGAGTTTAACTTTTCTTTTCATTCAGCAGTTTGGAAACACTCTGTTTGGAAAGTCTGCACGTGGATATTTTGACCTCTTTGAGGCCTTCGTTGGAAACGGGTTTTTTTCATGTAAGGCTAGACAGAAGAAATCTCAGTAACTTCCTTGTGTTGTGTGTATTCAACTGACAGAGTTGAACCTTCCTTTAGACAGAGCAGATTCGAAACACTCTTTTTCTGCAATTTGCAAGTGGAGACTTCAAGCGCTTTGAGGTCAAAGGCAGAAAAGGAAATATCTTCGTATAAAAACCCGACAGAATCATTCTCAGAAACTGCTCTGTGATGTGTGCGTTCAACTCACAGAGTTTAACTTTTCTTTTCATTCAGCAGTTTGGAAACACTCTGTTTGTAAAGTCTGCAAGTGGATATCTTGGCCTCTTAGAGGCCTTCGTTGGAAACGGGTTTTTTCATGTAAGGTTAGACAGAGGAATTCCCAGTAACTTCCTTGTGTTGTGTGCATTCAACTCACAGAGTTGAATGATTCTTTACACAGAGCAGATTTGAGACACTCTTTTGGTGGAATTTGTAAGTGGAGAATTCAGCCGCTTTGAGGTCAACGGTAGAAAAGGAAATATCTTCGTATAAAAACTAGACAGAATGATTCTCAGAAACTGTTTTGTGATGTGTGCGTTCAACTCACAGAGTTTAACCTTTCTTTTCAAAGAGCAGTTAGGAAACACTCTGTTTGTAAAGTCTGCAAGTGGATATTCAGACCTCTTTGAGGCCTTCGTTGGAAACGGGATTTCTTCATATTATGCTAGACAGATGAATTCTCAGTAACTTCCTTGTGTTGTGTGTATTCAACTCACAGAGTTGAACGATCCTTTACACAGAGCAGATTTGAAACACTGTTTTTCTGGAATTTGCAAGTGGAGATTTCAGCCGCTTTGAGGTCAATGGTAGAAAAAGAAATATCTTCGTATAAAAACTAGACAGAATGATTCTCAGAAACTCCTTTGTGATGTGTGCGTTCAACTCACAGAGTTTAACCTTTCTTTTCACAGAGCAGTTAGGAAACACTCTGTTTGTGAAGCCTGCCAGTGGATATTCGGACCTCTTTGAGGCCTTCGTTGGAAACGGGATTTCTTCATATTATGCTAGACAGAAGATTTCTCAGTAACTTCTTTGTGTTGTGTGTATGCAACTCACAGAGTTCAACCTTCCTTTAGACAGAGCAGATTTGAAACACTCTTTTTGTGGAATTTGCAAGTGGAGATTTCAAGCGCTTCGATGCCAATGGTAGAAAAGGAAATATTCTTCGTATAAAAACAAGACAAACTCGTTCTCCAGACACTGCGTAGTGATGTGTGTGTTTAACTCACAGAGTTTCACCTTTCTTTTCATACAGCATTCTGGAAACCCTGTGTTTGTAAAGTCTGCAAGTGGATATTTGGACCTCTTAGATGCCTTCGTTGGAAACGGGATTTCTTCATATAATGCTAGAGGGAAGAATTCTTAGTAACTTCTTTGTGTTGTGTGTATTCAACTGACAGAGTTGAACCTTCCTTTAGACAGAGCAGATTTGAAAGTCTCTTTTTGTGGAATTTGCAAGTGGAGATTTCAAGCGCTTTGAGGCCAAAAGCAGAAAAGGAAATATTTTCCTATAAAAACTCGACAGAATCTTTCTCAGAAACTGCTCTGGGATGTGTGCGTTCAACTCACAGAGTTTAACTTTTCTTTTCATTCAGCAGTTTGGAAACACTCTGTTTGGAAAGTCTGCACGTGGATATTTTGACCTCTTTGAGGCCTTCGTTGGAAACGGGTTTTTTTCATGTAAGGCTAGACAGAAGAAATCTCAGTAAATTCCCTTGTGTTGTGTGTATTCAACTGACAGAGTTGAACCTTCCTTTAGACAGAGCAGATTCGAAACACTCTTTTTCTGCAATTTGCAAGTGGAGACTTCAAGCGCTTTGAGGCCAAAGGCAGAAAAGGAAATATCTTCGTATAAAAACCCGACAGAATCATTCTCAGAAACTGCTCTGTGATGTGTGCGTTCAACTCACAGAGTTTAACTTTTCTATTCATTCAGCAGTTTGGAAACACTCTGTTTGTAAAGTCTGCAAGTGGATATCTTGGCCTCTTAGAGGCCTTCGTTGGAAACGGGTTTTTTCATGTAAGGTTAGACAGAGGAATTCCCAGTAACTTCCTTGTGTTGTGTGCATTCAACTCACAGAGTTGAATGATTCTTTACACAGAGCAGATTTGAGACACTCTTTTGGTGGAATTTGTAAGTGGAGAATTCAGCCGCTTTGAGGTCAACGGTAGAAAAGGAAATATCTTCGTATAAAAACTAGACAGAATGATTCTCAGAAACTCCTTTGTGATGTGTGCGTTCAACTCACAGAGTTTAACCTTTCTTTTCACAGAGCAGTTAGGAAACACTCTGTTTGTGAAGCCTGCCAGTGGATATTCGGACCTCTTTGAGGCCTTCGTTGGAAACGGGATTTCTTCATATTATGCTAGACAGAAGATTTCTCAGTAACTTCTTTGTGTTGTGTGTATGCAACTCACAGAGTTCAACCTTCCTTTAGACAGAGCAGATTTGAAACACTCTTTTTGTGGAATTTGCAAGTGGAGATTTCAAGCGCTTCGATGCCAATGGTAGAAAAGGAAATATCTTCGTATAAAAACAAGACAAACTCGTTCCCAGACACTGCGTAGTGATGTGTGTGTTTAACTCACAGAGTTTAACCTTTCTTTTCATACAGCATTCTGGAAACCCTGTGTTTGTAAAGTCTGCAAGTGGATATTTGGACCTCTTAGATGCCTTCGTTGGAAACGGGATTTCTTCATATAATGCTAGAGGGAAGAATTCTTAGTAACTTCTTTGTGTTGTGTGTATTCAACTGACAGAGTTGAACCTTCCTTTAGACAGAGCAGATTTGAAAGTCTCTTTTTGTGGAATTTGCAAGTGGAGATTTCAAGCGCTTTGAGGCCAAAAGCAGAAAAGGAAATATTTTCCTATAAAAACTCGACAGAATCTTTCTCAGAAACTGCTCTGGGATGTGTGCGTTCAACTCACAGAGTTTAACTTTTCTTTTCATTCAGCAGTTTGGAAACACTCTGTTTGGAAAGTCTGCACGTGGATATTTTGACCTCTTTGAGGCCTTCGTTGGAAACGGGTTTTTTTCATGTAAGGCTAGACAGAAGAAATCTCAGTAACTTCCTTGTGTTGTGTGTATTCAACTGACAGAGTTGAACCTTCCTTTAGACAGAGCAGATTCGAAACACTCTTTTTCTGCAATTTGCAAGTGGAGACTTCAAGCGCTTTGAGGCCAAAGGCAGAAAAGGAAATATCTTCGTATAAAAACCCGACAGAATCATTCTCAGAAACTGCTCTGTGATGTGTGCGTTCAACTCACAGAGTTTAACTTTTCTTTTCATTCAGCAGTTTGGAAACACTCTGTTTGTAAAGTCTGCAAGTGGATATCTTGGCCTCTTAGAGGCCTTCGTTGGAAACGGGTTTTTTCATGTAAGGTTAGACAGAGGAATTCCCAGTAACTTCCTTGTGTTGTATGCATTCAACTCACAGAGTTGAATGATTCTTTACACAGAGCAGATTTGAGACACTCTTTTGGTGGAATTTGTAAGTGGAGAATTCAGCCGCTTTGAGGTCAACGGTAGAAAAGGAAATATCTTCGTATAAAAACTAGAAAGAATGATTCTCAGAAACTGTTTTGTGATGTGTGCGTTCAACTCACAGAGTTTAACCTTTCTTTTCAAAGAGCAGTTAGGAAACACTCTGTTTGTAAAGTCTGCAAGTGGATATTCAGACCTCTTTGAAGCCTTCGTTGGAAACGGGATTTCTTCATATTATGCTAGACAGATGAATTCTCAGTAACTTCCTTGTGTTGTGTGTATTCAACTCACAGAGTTGAACGATCCTTTACACAGAGCAGATTTGAAACACTGTTTTTCTGGAATTTGCAAGTGGAGATTTCAGCCGCTTTGAGGTCAATGGTAGAAAAGGAAATATCTTCGTATAAAAACTAGACAGAATGATTCTCAGAAACTCCTTTGTGATGTGTGCGTTCAACTCACAGAGTTTAACCTTTCTTTTCACAGAGCAGTTAGGAAACACTCTGTTTGTGAAGCCTGCCAGTGGATATTCGGACCTCTTTCAGGCCTTCGTTGGAAACGGGATTTCTTCATATTATGCTAGACAGAAGATTTCTCAGTAACTTCTTTGTGTTGTGTGTATGCAACTCACAGAGTTCAACCTTCCTTTAGACAGAGCAGATTTGAAACACTCTTTTTGTGGAATTTGCAAGTGGAGATTTCAAGCGCTTCGATGCCAATGGTAGAAAAGGAAATATCTTCGTATAAAAACAAGACAAACTCGTTCCCAGACACTGCGTAGTGATGTGTGTGTTTAACTCACAGAGTTTAACCTTTCTTTTCATACAGCATTCTGGAAACCCTCTGTTTGTAAAGTCTGCAAGTCGATATTTGGACCTCTTAGATGCCTTCGTTGGAAACGGGATTTCTTCATATAATGCTAGAGGGAAGAATTCTTAGTAACTTCTTTGTGTTGTGTGTATTCAACTGACAGAGTTGAACCTTCCTTTAGACAGAGCAGATTTGAAAGTCTCTTTTTGTGGAATTTGCAAGTGGAGATTTCAAGCGCTTTGAGGCCAAAAGCAGAAAAGGAAATATTTTCCTATAAAACCTCGACAGAATCTTTCTCAGAAACTGCTCTGGGATGTGTGCGTTCAACTCACAGAGTTTAACTTTCTTTTCATTCAGCAGTTTGGAAACACTCTGTTTGGAAAGTCTGCACGTGGATATTTTGACCTCTTTGAGGCCTTCGTTGGAAACGGGTTTTTTTCATGTAAGGCTAGACAGAAGAAATCTCAGTAACTTCCTTGTGTTGTGTGTATTCAACTGACAGAGTTGAACCTTCCTTTAGACAGAGCAGATTCGAAACACTCTTTTTCTGCAATTTGCAAGTGGAGACTTCAAGCGCTTTGAGGCCAAAGGCAGAAAAGGAAATATCTTCGTATAAAAACCCGACAGAATCATTCTCAGAAACTGCTCTGTGATGTGTGCGTTCAACTCACAGAGTTTAACTTTTCTTTTCATTCAGCAGTTTGGAAACACTCTGTTTGTAAAGTCTGCAAGTGGATATCTTGGCCTCTTAGAGGCCTTCATTGGAAACGGGTTTTTTCATGTAAGGTTAGACAGAGGAATTCCCAGTAACTTCCTTGTGTTGTGTGCATTCAACTCACAGAGTTGAATGATTCTTTACACAGAGCAGATTTGAGACACTCTTTTGGTGGAATTTGTAAGTGGAGAATTCAGCCGCTTTGAGGTCAACGGTAGAAAAGGAAATATCTTCGTATAAAAACTAGACAGAATGATTCTCAGAAACTGTTTTGTGATGTGTGCGTTCAACTCACACAGTTTAACCTTTCTTTTCAGAGAGCAGTTAGGAAACACTCTGTTTGTAAAGTCTGCAAGTGGATATTCAGACCTCTTTGAGGCCTTCGTTGGAAACGGGATTTCTTCATATTATGCTAGACAGATGAATTCTCAGTAACTTCCTTGTGTTGTGTGTATTCAACTCACAGAGTTGAACGATCCTTTACACAGAGCAGATTTGAAACACTGTTTTTCTGGAATTTGCAAGTGGAGATTTCAGCCGCTTTGAGGTCAATGGTAGAAAAGGAAATATCTTCGTATAAAAACTAGACAGAATGATTCTCAGAAACTCCTTTGTGATGTGTGCGTTCAACTCACAGAGTTTAACCTTTCTTTTCACAGAGCAGTTAGGAAACACTCTGTTTGTGAAGCCTGCCAGTGGATATTCGGACCTCTTTGAGGCCTTCGTTGGAAACGGGATTTCTTCATATTATGCTAGACAGAAGATTTCTCAGTAACTTCTTTGTGTTGTGTGTATGCAACTCACAGAGTTCAACCTTCCTTTAGACAGAGCAGATTTGAAACACTCTTTTTGTGGAATTTGCAAGTGGAGATTTCAAGCGCTTCGATGCCAATGGTAGAAAAGGAAATATCTTCGTATAAAAACAAGACAAACTCGTTCCCAGACACTGCGTAGTGATGTGTGTGTTTAACTCACAGAGTTTAACCTTTCTTTTCATACAGCATTCTGGAAACCCTGTGTTTGTAAAGTCTGCAAGTGGATATTTGGACCTCTTAGATGCCTTCGTTGGAAACGGGATTTCTTCATATAATGCTAGAGGGAAGAATTCTTAGTAACTTCTTTGTGTTGTGTGTATTCAACTGACAGAGTTGAACCTTCCTTTAGACAGAGCAGATTTGAAAGTCTCTTTTTGTGGAATTTGCAAGTGGAGATTTCAAGCGCTTTGAGGCCAAAAGCAGAAAAGGAAATATTTTCCTATAAAAACTAGACAGAATCTTTCTCAGAAACTGCTCTGGGATGTGTGCGTTCAACTCACAGAGTTTAACTTTTCTTTTCATTCAGCAGTTTGGAAACACTCTGTTTGGAAAGTCTGCACGTGGATATTTTGACCTCTTTGAGGCCTTCGTTGGAAACGGGTTTTTTTCATGTAAGGCTAGACAGAAGAAATCTCAGTAACTTCCTTGTGTTGTGTGTATTCAACTGACAGAGTTGAACCTTCCTTTAGACAGAGCAGATTCGAAACACTCTTTTTCTGCAATTTGCAAGTGGAGACTTCAAGCGCTTTGAGGCCAAAGGCAGAAAAGGAAATATCTTCGTATAAAAACCCGACAGAATCATTCTCAGAAACTGCTCTGTGATGTGTGCGTTCAACTCACAGAGTTTAACTTTTCTTTTCATTCAGCAGTTTGGAAACACTCTGTTTCTAAAGTCTGCAAGTGGATATCTTGGCCTCTTAGAGGCCTTCGTTGGAAACGGGTTTTGTCATGTAAGGTTAGACAGAGGAATTCCCAGTAACTTCCTTGTGTTGTGTGCATTCAACTCACAGAGTTGAATGATTCTTTACACAGAGCAGATTTGAGACACTCTTTTGGTGGAATTTGTTAGTGGAGAATTCAGCCGCTTTGAGGTCAACGGTAGAAAAGGAAATATCTTCGTATAAAAACTAGACAGAATGATTCTCAGAAACTGTTTTGTGATGTGTGCGTTCAACTCACAGAGTTTAACCTTTCTTTTCAAAGAGCAGTTAGGAAACACTCTGTTTGTAAAGTCTGCAAGTGGATATTCAGACCTCTTTGAGGCCTTCGTTGGAAACGGGATTTCTTCATATTATGCTAGACAGATGAATTCTCAGTAACTTCCTTGTGTTGTGTGTATTCAACTCACAGAGTTGAACGATCCTTTACACAGAGCAGATTTGAAACACTGTTTTTCTGGAATTTGCAAGTGGAGATTTCAGCCGCTTTGAGGTCAATGGTAGAAAAAGAAATATCTTCGTATAAAAACTAGACAGAATGATTCTCAGAAACTCCTTTGTGATGTGTGCGTTCAACTCACAGAGTTTAACCTTTCTTTTCACAGAGCAGTTAGGAAACACTCTGTTTGTGAAGCCTGCCAGTGGATATTCAGACCTCTTTGAGGCCTTCGTTGGAAACGGGATTTCTTCATATTATGCTAGACAGAAGATTTCTCAGTAACTTCTTTGTGTTGTGTGTATGCAACTCACAGAGTTCAACCTTCCTTTAGACAGAGCAGATTTGAAACACTCTTTTTGTGGAATTTGCAAGTGGAGATTTCAAGCGCTTCGATGCCAATGGTAGAAAAGGAAATATCTTCGTATAAAAACAAGACAAACTCGTTCCCAGACACTGCGTAGTGATGTGTGTGTTTAACTCACAGAGTTTCACCTTTCTTTTCATACAGCATTCTGGAAACCCTGTGTTTGTAAAGTCTGCAAGTGGATATTTGGACCTCTTAGATGCCTTCGTTGGAAACGGGATTTCTTCATATAATGCTAGAGGGAAGAATTCTTAGTAACTTCTTTGTGTTGTGTGTATTCAACTGACAGAGTTGAACCTTCCTTTAGACAGATCAGATTTGAAAGTCTCTTTTTGTGGAATTTGCAAGTGGAGATTTCAAGCGCTTTGAGGCCAAAAGCAGAAAAGGAAATATTTTCCTATAAAAACTCGACAGAATCTTTCTCAGAAACTGCTCTGGGATGTGTGCGTTCAACTCACAGAGTTTAACTTTTCTTTTCATTCAGCAGTTTGGAAACACTCTGTTTGGAAAGTCTGCACGTGGATATTTTGACCTCTTTGAGGCCTTCGTTGGAAACGGGTTTTTTTCATGTAAGGCTAGACAGAAGAAATCTCAGTAACTTCCTTGTGTTGTGTGTATTCAACTGACAGAGTTGAACCTTCCTTTAGACAGAGCAGATTCGAAACACTCTTTTTCTGCAATTTGCAAGTGGAGACTTCAAGCGCTTTGAGGCCAAAGGCAGAAAAGGAAATATCTTCGTATAAAAACCCGACAGAATCATTCTCAGAAACTGCTCTGTGATGTGTGCGTTCAACTCACAGAGTTTAACTTTTCTTTTCATTCAGCAGTTTGGAAACACTCTGTTTGTAAAGTCTGCAAGTGGATATCTTGGCCTCTTAGAGGCCTTCGTTGGAAACGGGTTTTTTCATGTAAGGATAGACAGAGGAATTCCCAGTAACTTCCTTGTGTTGTGTGCATTCAACTCACAGAGTTGAATGATTCTTTACACAGAGCAGATTTGAGACACTCTTTTGGTGGAATTTGTAAGTGGAGAATTCAGCCGCTTTGAGGTCAACGGTAGAAAAGGAAATATCTTCGTATAAAAACTAGACAGAATGATTCTCAGAAACTGTTTTGTGATGTGTGCGTTCAACTCACAGAGTTTAACCTTTCTTTTCAGAGAGCAGTTAGGAAACACTCTGTAAAGTCTGCAAGTGGATATTCAGACCTCTTTGAGGCCTTCGTTGGAAACGGGATTTCTTCATATTATGCTAGACAGATGAATTCTCAGTAACTTCCTTGTGTTGTGTGTATTCAACTCACAGAGTTGAACGATCCTTTACACAGAGCAGATTTGAAACACTGTTTTTCTGGAATTTGCAAGTGGAGATTTCAGCCGCTTTGAGGTCAATTGTAGAAAAGGAAATATCTTCGTATAAAAACTAGACAGAATGATTCTCAGAAACTCCTTTGTGATGTGTGCGTTCAACTCACAGAGTTTAACCTTTCTTTTCACAGAGCAGTTAGGAAACACTCTGTTTGTGAAGCCTGCCAGTGGATATTCGGACCTCTTTGAGGCCTTCGTTGGAAACGGGATTTCTTCATATTATGCTAGACAGAAGATTTCTCAGTAACTTCTTTGTGTTGTGTGTATGCAACTTACAGAGTTCAACCTTCCTTTAGAGAGAGCATATTTGAAACACTCTTTTTGTGGAATTTGCAAGTGGAGATTTCAAGCGCTTCGATGCAAATGGTAGAAAAGGAAATATCTTCGTATAAAAACAAGACAAACTCGTTCCCAGACACTGCGTAGTGATGTGTGTGTTTAACTCACAGAGTTTAACCTTTCTTTTCATACAGCATTCTGGAAACCCTGTGTTTGTAAAGTCTGCAAGTGGATATTTGGACCTCTTAGATGCCTTCGTTGGAAACGGGATTTCTTCATATAATGCTAGAGGGAAGAATTCTTAGTAACTTCTTTGTGTTGTGTGTATTCAACTGACAGAGTTGAACCTTCCTTTAGACAGAGCAGATTTGAAAGTCTCTTTTTGTGGAATTTGCAAGTGGAGATTTCAAGCGCTTTGAGGCCAAAAGCAGAAAAGGAAATATTTTCCTATAAAAACTCGACAGAATCTTTCTCAGAAACTGCTCTGGGATGTGTGCGTTCAACTCACAGAGTTTAACTTTTCTTTTCATTCAGCAGTTTGGAAACACTCTGTTTGGAAAGTCTGCACGTGGATATTTTGACCTCTTTGAGGCCTTCGTTGGAAACGGGTTTTTTTCATGTAAGGCTAGACAGAAGAAATCTCAGTAACTTCCTTGTGTTGTGTGTATTCAACTGACAGAGTTGAACCTTCCTTTAGACAGAGCAGATTCGAAACACTCTTTTTCTGCAATTTGCAAGTGGAGACTTCAAGCGCTTTGAGGCCAAAGGCAGAAAAGGAAATATCTTCGTATAAAAACCCGACAGAATCATTCTCAGAAACTGCTCTGTGATGTGTGCGTTCAACTCACGGAGTTTAACTTTTCTTTTCATTCAGCAGTTTGGAAACACTCTGTTTGTAAAGTCTGCAAGTGGATATCTTGGCCTCTTAGAGGCCTTCGTTGGAAACGGGTTTTTTCATGTAAGGTTAGACAGAGGAATTCCCAGTAACTTCCTTGTGTTGTGTGCATTCAACTCACAGAGTTGAATGATTCTTTACACAGAGCAGATTTGAGACACTCTTTTGGTGGAATTTGTAAGTGGAGAATTCAGCTGCTTTGAGGTCAACGGTAGAAAAGGAAATATCTTCGTATAAAAACTAGACAGAATGATTCTCAGAAACTGTTTTGTGATGTGTGCGTTGAACTCACAGAGTTTAACCTTTCTTTTCAAAGAGCAGTTAGGAAACACTCTGTTTGTAAAGTCTGCAAGTGGATATTCAGACCTCTTTGAGGCCTTCGTTGGAAACGGGATTTCTTCATATTATGCTAGACAGATGAATTCTCAGTAACTTCCTTGTGTTGTGTGTATTCAACTCACAGAGTTGAACGATCCTTTACACAGAGCAGATTTGAAACACTGTTTTTCTGGAATTTGCAAGTGGAGATTTCAGCCGCTTTGAGGTCAATGGTAGAAAAGGAAATATCTTCGTATAAAAACTAGACAGAATGATTCTCAGAAACTCCTTTGTGATGTGTGCGTTCAACTCACAGGGTTTAACCTTTCTTTTCACAGAGCAGTTAGGAAACACTCTGTTTGTGAAGCCTGCCAGTGGATATTCGGACCTCTTTGAGGCCTTCGTTGGAAACGGGATTTCTTCATATTATGCTAGACAGAAGATTTCTCAGTAACTTCTTTGTGTTGTGTGTATGCAACTCACAGAGTTCAACCTTCCTTTAGACAGAGCAGATTTGAAACACTCTTTTTGTGGAATTTGCAAGTGGAGATTTCAAGCGCTTCGATGCCAATGGTAGAAAAGGAAATATCTTCGTATAAAAACAAGACAAACTCGTTCCCAGACACTGCGTAGTGATGTGTGTGTTTAACTCACAGAGTTTAACCTTTCTTTTCATACAGCATTCTGGAAACCCTGTGTTTGTAAAGTCTGCAAGTGGATATTTGGACCTCTTAGATGCCTTCGTTGGAAACGGGATTTCTTCATATAATGCTAGAGGGAAGAATTCTTAGTAACTTCTTTGTGTTGTGTGTATTCAACTGACAGAGTTGAACCTTCCTTTAGACAGAGCAGATTTGAAAGTCTCTTTTTGTGGAATTTGCAAGTGGAGATTTCAAGCGCTTTGAGGCCAAAAGCAGAAAAGGAAATATTTTCCTATAAAAACTCGACAGAATCTTTCTCAGAAACTGCTCTGGGATGTGTGCGTTCAACTCACAGAGTTTAACTTTTCTTTTCATTCAGCAGTTTGGAAACACTCTGTTTGGAAAGTCTGCACGTGGATATTTTGACCTCTTTGAGGCCTTCGTTGGAAACGGGTTTTTTTCATGTAACGCTAGACAGAAGAAATCTCAGTAACTTCCTTGTGTTGTGTGTATTCAACTGACAGAGTTGAACCTTCCTTTAGACAGAGCAGATTCGAAACACTCTTTTTCTGCAATTTGCAAGTGGAGACTTCAAGCGCTTTGAGGCCAAAGGCAGAAAAGGAAATATCTTCGTATAAAAACCCGACAGAATCATTCTCAGAAACTGCTCTGTGATGTGTGCGTTCAACTCACAGAGTTTAACTTTTCTTTTCATTCAGCAGTTTGGAAACACTCTGTTTGTAAAGTCTGCAAGTGGATATCTTGGCCTCTTAGAGGCCTTCGTTGGAAACGGGTTTTTTCATGTAAGGATACACACAGGAATTCCCAGTAACTTCCTTGTGTTGTGTGCATTCAACTCACAGAGTTGAATGATTCTTTACACAGAGCAGATTTGAGACACTCTTTTGGTGGAATTTGTAAGTGGAGAATTCAGCCGCTTTGAGGTCAACGGTAGAAAAGGAAATATCTTCGTATAAAAACTAGACAGAATGATTCTCAGAAACTGTTTTGTGATGTGTGCGTTCAACTCACAGAGTTTAACCTTTCTTTTCAAAGAGCAGTTAGGAAACACTCTGTTTGTAAAGTCTGCAAGTGGATATTCAGACCTGTTTGAGGCCTTCGTTGGAAACGGGATTTCTTCATATTATGCTAGACAGATGAATTCTCAGTAACTTCCTTGTGTTGTGTGTATTCAACTCACAGAGTTGAACGATCCTTTACACAGAGCAGATTTGAAACACTGTTTTTCTGGAATTTGCAAGTGGAGATTTCAGCCGCTTTGAGGTCAATGGTAGAAAAGGAAATATCTTCGTATAAAAACTAGACAGAATGATTCTCAGAAACTCCTTTGTGATGTGTGCGTTCAACTCACAGAGTTTAACCTTTCTTTTCACAGAGCAGTTAGGAAACACTCTGTTTGTGAAGCCTGCCAGTGGATATTCGGACCTCTTTGAGGCCTTCGTTGGAAACGGGATTTCTTCATATTATGCTAGACAGAAGATTTCTCAGTAACTTCTTTGTGTTGTGTGTATGCAACTCACAGAGTTCAACCTTCCTTTAGACAGAGCAGATTTGAAACACTCTTTTTGTGGAATTTGCAAGTGGAGATTTCAAGCGCTTCGATGCCAATGGTAGAAAAGGAAATATCTTCGTATAAAAACAAGACAAACTCGTTCCCAGACACTGCGTAGTGATGTGTGTGTTTAACTCACAGAGTTTAACCTTTCTTTTCATACAGCATTCTGGAAACCCTGTGTTTGTAAAGTCTGCAAGTGGATATTTGGACCTCTTAGATGCCTTCGTTGGAAACGGGATTTCTTCATATAATGCTAGAGGGAAGAATTCTTAGTAACTTCTTTTTGTTGTGTGTATTCAACTGACAGAGTTGAACCTTCCTTTAGACAGAGCAGATTTGAAAGTCTCTTTTTGTGGAATTTGCAAGTGGAGATTTCAAGCGCTTTGAGGCCAAAAGCAGAAAAGGAAATATTTTCCTATAAAAACTCGACAGAATCTTTCTCAGAAACTTCTCTGGGATGTGTGCGTTCAACTCACAGAGTTTAACTTTTCTTTTCATTCAGCAGTTTGGAAACACTCTGTTTGGAAAGTCTGCACGTGGATATTTTGACCTCTTTGAGGCCTTCGTTGGAAACGGGTTTTTTTCATGTAAGGCTAGACAGAAGAAATCTCAGTAACTTCCTTGTGTTGTGTGTATTCAACTGACAGAGTTGAACCTTCCTTTAGACAGAGCAGATTCGAAACACTCTTTTTCTGCAATTTGCAAGTGGAGACTTCAAGCGCTTTGAGGCCAAAGGCAGAAAAGGAAATATCTTCGTATAAAAACCCGACAGAATCATTCTCAGAAACTGCTCTGTGATGTGTGCGTTCAACTCACAGAGTTTAACTTTTCTTTTCATTCAGCAGTTTGGAAACACTCTGTTTGTAAAGTCTGCAAGTGGATATCTTGGCCTCTTAGAGGCCTTCGTTGGAAACGGGTTTTTTCATGTAAGGTTAGACAGAGGAATTCCCAGTAACTTCCTTGTGTTGTGTGCATTCAACTCACAGAGTTGAATGATTCTTTACACAGAGCAGATTTGAGACACTCTTTTGGTGGAATTTGTAAGTGGAGAATTCAGCTGCTTTGAGGTCAACGGTAGAAAAGGAAATATCTTCGTATAAAAACTAGACAGAATGATTCTCAGAAACTGTTTTGTGATGTGTGCGTTCAACTCACAGAGTTTAACCTTTCTTTTCAAAGAGCAGTTAGGAAACACTCTGTTTGTAAAGTCTGCAAGTGGATATTCAGACCTCTTTGAGGCCTTCGTTGGAAACGGGATTTCTTCATATTATGCTAGACAGATGAATTCTCAGTAACTTCCTTGTGTTGTGTGTATTCAACTCACAGAGTTGAACGATCCTTTACACAGAGCAGATTTGAAACACTGTTTTTCTGGAATTTGCAAGTGGAGATTTCAGCCGCTTTGAGGTCAATGGTAGAAAAGGAAATATCTTCGTATAAAAACTAGACAGAATGATTCTCAGAAACTCCTTTGTGATGTGTGCGTTCAACTCACAGAGTTTAACCTTTCTTTTCACAGAGCAGTTAGGAAACACTCTGTTTGTGAAGCCTGCCAGTGGATATTCGGACCTCTTTGAGGCCTTCGTTGGAAACGGGATTTCTTCATATTATGCTAGACAGAAGATTTCTCAGTAACTTCTTTGTGTTGTGTGTATGCAACTCACAGAGTTCAACCTTCCTTTAGACACAGCAGATTTGAAACACTCTTTTTGTGGAATTTGCAAGTGGAGATTTCAAGCGCTTCGATGCCAATGGTAGAAAAGGAAATATCTTCGTATAAAAACAAGACAAACTCGTTCCCAGACACTGCGTAGTGATGTGTGTGTTTAACTCACAGAGTTTAACCTTTCTTTTCATACAGCATTCTGGAAACCCTGTGTTTGTAAAGTCTGCAAGTGGATATTTGGACCTCTTAGATGCCTTCGTTGGAAACGGGATTTCTTCATATAATGCTAGAGGGAAGAATTCTTAGTAACTTCTTTGTGTTGTGTGTATTCAACTGACAGAGTTGAACCTTCCTTTAGACAGAGCAGATTTGAAAGTCTCTTTTTGTGGAATTTGCAAGTGGAGATTTCAAGCGCTTTGAGGCCGAAAGCAGAAAAGGAAATATTTTCCTATAAAAACTCGACAGAATCTTTCTCAGAAACTGCTGTGGGATGTGTGCGTTCAACTCACAGAGTTTAACTTTTCTTTTCATTCAGCAGTTTGGAAACACTCTGTTTGGAAAGTCTGCACGTGGATATTTTGACCTCTTTGAGGCCTTCGTTGGAAACGGGTTTTTTTCATGTAAGGCTAGACAGAAGAAATCTCAGTAACTTCCTTGTGTTGTGTGTATTCAACTGACAGAGTTGAACCTTCCTTTAGACAGAGCAGATTCGAAACACTCTTTTTCTGCAATTTGCAAGTGGAGACTTCAAGCGCTTTGAGGCCAAAGGCAGAAAAGGAAATATCTTCGTATAAAAACCCGACAGAATCATTCTCAGAAACTGCTCTGTGATGTGTGCGTTCAACTCACAGAGTTTAACTTTTCTTTTCATTCAGCAGTTTGGAAACACTCTGTTTGTAAAGTCTGCAAGTGGATATCTTGGCCTCTTAGAGGCCTTCGTTGGAAACGGGTTTTTTCATGTAAGGTTAGACAGAGGAATTCCCAGTAACTTCCTTGTGTTGTGTGCATTCAACTCACAGAGTTGAATGATTCTTTACACAGAGCAGATTTGAGACACTCTTTTGGTGGAATTTGTAAGTGGAGAATTCAGCCGCTTTGAGGTCAACGGTAGAAAAGGAAATATCTTCGTATAAAAACTAGACAGAATGATTCTCAGAAACTGTTTTGTGATGTGTGCGTTCAACTCACAGAGTTTAACCTTTCTTTTCAAAGAGCAGTTAGGAAACACTCTGTTTGTAAAGTCTGCAAGTGGATATTCAGACCTCTTTGAGGCCTTCGTTGGAAACGGGATTTCTTCATATTATGCTAGACAGATGAATTCTCAGTAACTTCCTTGTGTTGTGTGTATTCAACTCACAGAGTTGAACGATCCTTTACACAGAGCAGATTTGAAACACTGTTTTTCTGGAATTTGCAAGTGGAGATTTCAGCCGCTTTGAGGTCAATGGTAGAAAAGGAAATATCTTCGTATAAAAACTAGACAGAATGATTCTCAGAAACTCCTTTGTGATGTGTGCGTTCAACTCACAGAGTTTAACCTTTCTTTTCACAGAGCAGTTAGGAAACACTCTGTTTGTGAAGCCTGCCAGTGGATATTCGGACCTCTTTGAGGCCTTCGTTGGAAACGGGATTTCTTCATATTATGCTAGACAGAAGATTTCTCAGTAACTTCTTTGTGTTGTGTGTATGCAACTCACAGAGTTCAACCTTCCTTTAGACAGAGCAGATTTGAAACACTCTTTTTGTGGAATTTGCAAGTGGAGATTTCAAGCGCTTCGATGCCAATGGTAGAAAAGGAAATATCTTCGTATAAAAACAAGACAAACTCGTTCCCAGACACTGCGTAGTGATGTGTGTGTTTAACTCACAGAGTTTCACCTTTCTTTTCATACAGCATTCTGGAAACCCTGTGTTTGTAAAGTCTGCAAGTGGATATTTGGACCTCTTAGATGCCTTCGTTGGAAACGGGATTTCTTCATATAATGCTAGAGGGAAGAATTCTTAGTAACTTCTTTGTGTTGTGTGTATTCAACTGACAGAGTTGAACCTTCCTTTAGACAGAGCAGATTTGAAAGTCTCTTTTTGTGGAATTTGCAAGTGGAGATTTCAAGCGCTTTGAGGCCAAAAGCAGAAAAGGAAATATTTTCCTATAAAAACTAGACAGAATCATTCTCAGAAACTGCTCTGTGATGTGTGCGTTCAACTCACAGAGTTTAACTTTTCTTTTCATTCAGCAGTTTGGAAACACTGTTTGGAAAGTCTGCACGTGGATATTTTGACCTCTTTGAGGCCTTCGTTGGAAACGGGTTTTTTTCATGTAAGGCTAGACAGAAGAAATCTCAGTAAATTCCCTTGTGTTGTGTGTATTCAACTGACAGAGTTGAACCTTCCTTTAGACAGAGCAGATTCGAAACACTCTTTTTCTGCAATTTGCAAGTGGAGACTTCAAGCGCTTTGAGGCCAAAGGCAGAAAAGGAAATATCTTCGTATAAAAACCCGACAGAATCATTCTCAGAAACTGCTCTGTGATGTGTGCGTTCAACTCACAGAGTTTAACTTTTCTTTTCATTCAGCAGTTTGGAAACACTCTGTTTGTAAAGTCTGCAAGTGGATATCTTGGCCTCTTAGAGGCCTTCGTTGGAAACGGGTTTTTTCATTTAAGGTTAGACAGAGGAATTCCCAGTAACTTCCTTGTGTTGTGTGCATTCAACTCACAGAGTTGAATGATTCTTTACACAGAGCAGATTTGAGACACTCTTTTGGTGGAATTTGTAAGTGGAGAATTCAGCCGCTTTGAGGTCAACGGTAGAAAAGGAAATATCTTCGTATAAAAACTAGACAGAATGATTCTCAGAAACTGTTTTGTGATGTGTGCTTTCAACTCACAGAGTTTAACCTTTCTTTTCAAAGAGCAGTTAGGAAACACTCTGTTTGTAAAGTCTGCAAGTGGATATTCAGACCTCTTTGAGGCCTTCGTTGGAAACGGGATTTCTTCATATTATGCTAGACAGATGAATTCTCAGTAACTTCCTTGTGTTGTGTGTATTCAACTCACAGAGTTGAACGATCCTTTACACAGAGCAGATTTGAAACACTGTTTTTCTGGAATTTGCAAGTGGAGATTTCAGCCGCTTTGAGGTCAATGGTAGAAAAGGAAATATCTTCGTATAAAAACTAGACAGAATGATTCTCAGAAACTCCTTTGTGATGTGTGCGTTCAACTCACAGAGTTTAACCTTTCTTTTCACAGAGCAGTTAGGAAACACTCTGTTTGTGAAGCCTGCCAGTGGATAATCGGACCTCTTTGAGGCCTTCGTTGGAAACGGGATTTCTTCATATTATGCTAGACAGAAGATTTCTCAGTAACTTCTTTGTGTTGTGTGTATGCAACTCACAGAGTTCAACCTTCCTTTAGAGAGAGCATATTTGAAACACTCTTTTTGTGGAATTTGCAAGTGGAGATTTCAAGCGCTTCGATGCCAATGGTAGAAAAGGAAATATCTTCGTATAAAAACAAGACAAACTCGTTCCCAGACACTGCGTAGTGATGTGTGTGTTTAACTCACAGAGTTTAACCTTTCTTTTCATACAGCATTCTGGAAACCCTGTGTTTGTAAAGTCTGCAAGTGGATATTTGGACCTCTTAGATGCCTTCGTTGGAAACGGGATTTCTTCATATAATGCTAGAGGGAAGAATTCTTAGTAACTTCTTTGTGTTGTGTGTATTCAACTGACAGAGTTGAACCTTCCTTTAGACAGAGCAGATTTGAAAGTCTCTTTTTGTGGAATTTGCAAGTGGAGATTTCAAGCGCTTTGAGGCCAAAAGCAGAAAAGGAAATATTTTCCTATTAAAAACTCGACAGAATCTTTCTCAGAAACTGCTCTGGGATGTGTGCGTTCAACTCACAGAGTTTAACTTTTCTTTTCATTCAGCAGTTTGGAAACACTCTGTTTGGAAAGTCTGCACGTGGATATTTTGACCTCTTTGAGGCCTTCGTTGGAAACGGGTTTTTTTCATGTAAGGCTAGACAGAAGAAATCTCAGTAACTTCCTTGTGTTGTGTGTATTCAACTGACAGAGTTGAACCTTCCTTTAGACAGAGCAGATTCGAAACACTCTTTTTCTGCAATTTGCAAGTGGAGACTTCAAGCGCTTTGAGGCCAAAGGCAGAAAAGGAAATATCTTCGTATAAAAACCCGACAGAATCATTCTCAGAAACTGCTCTGTGATGTGTGCGTTCAACTCACAGAGTTTAACTTTTCTTTTCATTCAGCAGTTTGGAAACACTCTGTTTGTAAAGTCTGCAAGTGGATATCTTGGCCTCTTAGAGGCCTTCGTTGGAAGCGGGTTTTTTCATGTAAGGATAGACAGAGGAATTCCCAGTAACTTCCTTGTGTTGTGTGCATTCAACTCACAGAGTTGAATGATTCTTTACACAGAGCAGATTTGAGACACTCTTTTGGTGGAATTTGTAAGTGGAGAATTCAGCCGCTTTGAGGTCAACGGTAGAAAAGGAAATATCTTCGTATAAAAACTAGACAGAATGATTCTCAGAAACTGTTTTGTGATGTGTGCGTTCAACTCACAGAGTTTAACCTTTCTTTTCAAAGAGCAGTTAGGAAACACTCTGTTTGTAAAGTCTGCAAGTGGATATTCAGACCTACTTTGAGGCCTTCGTTGGAAACGGGATTTCTTCATATTATGCTAGACAGATGAATTCTCAGTAACTTCCTTGTGTTGTGTGTATTCAACTCACAGAGTTGAACGATCCTTTACACAGAGCAGATTTGAAACACTGTTTTTCTGGAATTTGCAAGTGGAGATTTCAGCCGCTTTGAGGTCAATGGTAGAAAAAGAAATATCTTCGTATAAAAACTAGACAGAATGATTCTCAGAAACTCCTTTGTGATGTGTGCGTTCAACTCACAGAGTTTAACCTTTCTTTTCACAGAGCAGTTAGGAAACACTCTGTTTGTGAAGCCTGCCAGTGGATATTCAGACCTCTTTGAGGCCTTCGTTGGAAACGGGATTTCTTCATATTATGCTAGACAGAAGATTTCTCAGTAACTTCTTTGTGTTGTGTGTATGCAACTCACAGAGTTCAACCTTCCTTTAGACAGAGCAGATTTGAAACACTCTTTTTGTGGAATTTGCAAGTGGAGATTTCAAGCGCTTCGATGCCAATGGTAGAAAAGGAAATATCTTCGTATAAAAACAAGACAAACTCGTTCCCAGACACTGCGTAGTGATGTGTGTGTTTAACTCACAGAGTTTAACCTTTCTTTTCATACAGCATTCTGGAAACCCTGTGTTTGTAAAGTCTGCAAGTGGATATTTGGACCTCTTAGATGCCTTCGTTGGAAACGGGATTTCTTCATATAATGCTAGAGGGAAGAATTCTTAGTAACTTCTTTGTGTTGTGTGTATTCAACTGACAGAGTTGAACCTTCCTTTAGACAGAGCAGATTTGAAAGTCTCTTTTTGTGGAATTTGCAAGTGGAGATTTCAAGCGCTTTGAGGCCAAAAGCAGAAAAGGAAATATTTTCCTATAAAAACTAGACAGAATCTTTCTCAGAAACTGCTCTGGGATGTGTGCGTTCAACTCACAGAGTTTAACTTTTCTTTTCATTCAGCAGTTTGGAAACACTCTGTTTGGAAAGTCTGCACGTGGATATTTTGACCTCTTTGAGGCCTTCGTTGGAAACGGGTTTTTTTCATGTAAGGCTAGACAGAAGAAATCTCAGTAACTTCCTTGTGTTGTGTGTATTCAACTGACAGAGTTGAACCTTCTTTTAGACAGAGCAGATTCGAAACACTCTTTTTCTGCAATTTGCAAGTGGAGACTTCAAGCGCTTTGAGGCCAAAGGCAGAAAAGGAAATATCTTCGTATAAAAACCCGACAGAATCATTCTCAGAAACTGCTCTGTGATGTGTGCGTTCAACTCACAGAGTTTAACTTTTCTTTTCATTCAGCAGTTTGGAAACACTCTGTTTGTAAAGTCTGCAAGTGGATATCTTGGCCTCTTAGAGGCCTTCGTTGGAAGCGGGTTTTTTCATGTAAGGATAGACAGAGGAATTCCCAGTAACTTCCTTGTGTTGTGTGCATTCAACTCACAGAGTTGAATGATTCTTTACACAGAGCAGATTTGAGACACTCTTTTGGTGGAATTTGTAAGTGGAGAATTCAGCCGCTTTGAGGTCAACGGTAGAAAAGGAAATATCTTCGTATAAAAACTAGACAGAATGATTCTCAGAAACTGTTTTGTGATGTGTGCGTTCAACTCACAGAGTTTAACCTTTCTTTTCAAAGAGCAGTTAGGAAACACTCTGTTTGTAAAGTCTGCAAGTGGATATTCAGACCTCTTTGAGGCCTTCGTTGGAAACGGGATTTCTTCATATTATGCTAGACAGATGAATTCTCAGTAACTTCCTTGTGTTGTGTGTATTCAACTCACAGAGTTGAACGATCCTTTACACAGAGCAGATTTGAAACACTGTTTTTCTGGAATTTGCAAGTGGAGATTTCAGCCGCTTTGAGGTCAATGGTAGAAAAGGAAATATCTTCTGTATAAAAACTAGACAGAATGATTCTCAGAAACTCCTTTGTGATGTGTGCGTTCAACTCACAGAGTTTAACCTTTCTTTTCACAGAGCAGTTAGGAAACACTCTGTTTGTGAAGCCTGCCAGTGGATATTCGGACCTCTTTGAGGCCTTCGTTGGAAACGGGATTTCTTCATATTATGCTAGACAGAAGATTTCTCAGTAACTTCTTTGTGTTGTGTGTATGCAACTCACAGAGTTCAACCTTCCTTTAGACAGAGCAGATTTGAAACACTCTTTTTGTGGAATTTGCAAGTGGAGATTTCAAGCGCTTCGATGCCAATGGTAGAAAAGGAAATATCTTCGTATAAAAACAAGACAAACTCGTTCCCAGACACTGCGTAGTGATGTGTGTGTTTAACTCACAGAGTTTAACCTTTCTTTTCATACAGCATTCTGGAAACCCTCTGTTTGTAAAGTCTGCAAGTGGATATTTGGACCTCTTAGATGCCTTCGTTGGGAACGGGATTTCTTCATATAATGCTAGAGGGAAGAATTCTTAGTAACTTTTTTGTGTTGTGTGTATTCAACTGACAGAGTTGAACCTTCCTTTAGACAGAGCAGATTTGAAAGTCTCTTTTTGTGGAATTTGCAAGTGGAGATTTCAAGCGCTTTGAGGCCAAAAGCAGAAAAGGAAATATTTTCCTATAAAAACTAGACAGAATCTTTCTCAGAAACTGCTCTGGGATGTGTGCGTTCAACTCACAGAGTTTAACTTTTCTTTTCATTCAGCAGTTTGGAAACACTCTGTTTGGAAAGTCTGCACGTGGATATTTTGACCTCTTTGAGGCCTTCGTTGGAAACGGGTTTTTTTCATGTAAGGCTAGACAGAAGAAATCTCAGTAACTTCCTTGTGTTGTGTGTATTCAACTGACAGAGTTGAACCTTCCTTTAGACAGAGCAGATTCGAAACACTCTTTTTCTGCAATTTGCAAGTGGAAAGTTCAAGCGCTTTGAGGCCAAAGGCAGAAAAGGAAATATCTTCGTATAAAAACCCGACAGAATCACTCTCAGAAACTGCTCTGTGATGTGTGCGTTCAACTCACAGAGTTTAACTTTTCTTTTCATTCAGCAGTTTGGAAACACTCTGTTTGTAAAGTCTGCAAGTGGATATCTTGGCCTCTTAGAGGCCTTCGTTGGAAACGGGTTTTTTCATGTAAGGTTAGACAGAGGAATTCCCAGTAACTTCCTTGTGTTGTGTGCATTCAACTCACAGAGTTGAATGATTCTTTACACAGAGCAGATTTGAGACACTCTTTTGGTGGAATTTGTAAGTGGAGAATTCAGCCGCTTTGAGGTCAACGTTAGAAAAGGAAATATCTTCGTATAAAAACTAGACAGAATGATTCTCAGAAACTGTTTTGTGATGTGTGCGTTCAACTCACAGAGTTTAACCTTTCTTTTCAAAGAGCAGTTAGGAAACACTCTGTTTGTAAAGTCTGCAAGTGGATATTCAGACCTCTTTGAGGCCTTCGTTGGAAACGGGATTTCTTCATATTATGCTAGACAGATGAATTCTCAGTAACTTCCTTGTGTTGTGTGTATTCAACTCACAGAGTTGAACGATCCTTTACACAGAGCAGATTTGAAACACTGTTTTTCTGGAATTTGCAAGTGGAGATTTCAGCCGCTTTGAGGTCAATGGTAGAAAAGGAAATATCTTCGTATAAAAACTAGACAGAATGATTCTCAGAAACTCCTTTGTGATGTGTGCGTTCAACTCACAGAGTTTAACCTTTCTTTTCACAGAGCAGTTAGGAAACACTCTGTTTGTGAAGCCTGCCAGTGGATATTCGGACCTCTTTGAGGCCTTCGTTGGAAACGGGATTTCTTCATATTATGCTAGACAGAAGATTTCTCAGTAACTTCTTTGTGTTGTGTGTATGCAACTCACAGAGTTCAACCTTCCTTTAGACAGAGCAGATTTGAAACACTCTTTTTGTGGAATTTGCAAGTGGAGATTTCAAACGCTTCGATGCCAATGGTAGAAAAGGAAATATCTTCGTATAAAAACAAGACAAACTCGTTCCCAGACACTGCGTAGTGATGTGTGTGTTTAACTCACAGAGTTTAACCTTTCTTTTCATACAGCATTCTGGAAACCCTGTGTTTGTAAAGTCTGCAAGTGGATATTTGGACCTCTTAGATGCCTTCGTTGGAAACGGGATTTCTTCATATAATGCCAGAGGGAAGAATTCTTAGTAACTTCTTTGTGTTGTGTGTATTCAACTGACAGAGTTGAACCTTCCTTTAGACAGAGCAGATTTGAAAGTCTCTTTTTGTGGAATTTGCAAGTGGAGATTTCAAGCGATTTGAGGCCAAAAGCAGAAAAGGAAATATTTTCCTATAAAAACTCGACAGAATCTTTCTCAGAAACTGCTCTGGGATGTGTGCGTTCAACTCACAGAGTTTAACTTTTCTTTTCATTCAGCAGTTTGGAAACACTCTGTTTGGAAAGTCTGCACGTGGATATTTTGACCTCTTTGAGGCCTTCGTTGGAAACGGGTTTTTTTCATGTAAGGCTAGACAGAAGAAATCTCAGTAACTTCCTTGTGTTGTGTGTATTCAACTGACAGAGTTGAACCTTCCTTTAGACAGAGCAGATTCGAAACACTCTTTTTCTGCAATTTGCAAGTGGAGACTTCAAGCGCTTTGAGGCCAAAGGCAGAAAAGGAAATATCTTCGTATAAAAACCCGACAGAATCATTCTCAGGAAACTGCTCTGTGATGTGTGCGTTCAACTCACAGAGTTTAACTTTTCTTTTCATTCAGCAGTTTGGAAACACTCTGTTTGTAAAGTCTGCAAGTGGATATCTTGGCCTCTTAGAGGCCTTCGTTGGAAGCGGGTTTTTTCATGTAAGGTTAGACAGAGGAATTCCCAGTAACTTCCTTGTGTTGTGTGCATTCAACTCACAGAGTTGAATGATTCTTTACACAGAGCAGATTTGAGACACTCTTTTGGTGGAATTTGTAAGTGGAGAATTCAGCCGCTTTGAGGTCAACGGTAGAAAAGGAAATATCTTCGTATAAAAACTAGACAGAATGATTCTCAGAAACTGTTTTGTGATGTGTGCGTTCAACTCACAGAGTTTAACCTTTCTTTTCAAAGAGCAGTTAGGAAACACTCTGTTTGTAAAGTCTGCAAGTGGATATTCAGACCTCTTTGAGGCCTTCGTTGGAAACGGGATTTCTTCATATTATGCTAGACAGAAGAATTCTCAGTAACTTCCTTGTGTTGTGTGTATTCAACTCACAGAGTTGAACGATCCTTTACACAGAGCAGATTTGAAACACTGTTTTTCTGGAATTTGCAAGTGGAGATTTCAGCCGCTTTGAGGTCAATGGTAGAAAAGGAAATATCTTCGTATAAAAACTAGACAGAATGATTCTCAGAAACTCCTTTGTGATGTGTGCGTTCAACTCACAGAGTTTAACCTTTCTTTTCATAGAGCAGTTAGGAAACACTCTGTTTGTGAAGTCTGCCAGTGGATATTCGGACCTTTTTGAGGCCTTCGTTGGAAATGGGATTTCTTCATATTATGCTAGACAGAAGATTTCTCAGTAACTACTTTGTGTTGTCTGTATGCAACTCACAGAGTTCAACCTTCCTTTAGACAGAGCAGATTTGAAACACTCTTTTTGTGGAATTTGCAAGTGGAGATTTCAAGCGCTTCGATGCCAATGGTAGAAAAGGAAATATCTTCGTATAAAAACAAGACAAAATCATTCCCAGAAACTGCGTAGTGATGTATGTGTTTAACTCACAGAGATTAACCTTTCTTTTCATACAGCATTCTGGAAACTCTCTGTTTGGAAAGTCTACAAGTGGATATTTGGAGCTCTTAGATGCCTTCTTTGGAAACGGAATTTCTTAATATAATTCTAGAGGGAAGAATTCTTAGTAACTTCTTTGTGTTATGTGTATTCAACTGACACAGTTGAACCTTCCTTTAGACAGAGCAGATTCGAAACACTCTTTATCTGGAATTTCCAAGAGGAGACTTCAAGCGCTTTCAGGCCAAAGGCAGAAAAGGCATTATCTTCGTATAAAAACTTGACATAATCATTCTCAGAAACTGCTCTGTGATGTGTGCGTTCAACTCACAGAGTTTAACTTTTCTTTTCATTCAGCAGTTTGGAAGCACTCTGTTTGTATAGTCTGCAAGTGGATATATTGACCACTTTGAGGCCTTCGTTGGAAACGGTTTTTTTTCATGTAAGGCTAGACAGAAGAATTCCCGGTAACTTCTTTGTGTTGTGTGCATTCAACTCACAGAGTTGAACGTTCCTTTAGACAGAGCAGATTTGAAACACTCTTTTTGTGCAATTTGCAAGTGGAGATTTCAAGCGCTTTAAGGTCAATGGCAGAAAAGGAAATAACTTCGTTTCAAAACTAGACAGTATGATTCTCAGAAACTCCTTTGTGATGTGTGCGTTCAACTCACAGAGTTTAACCTTTCTTTTCACAGAGCAGTTAGGAAACACTCTGTTTGTGAAGCCTGCCAGTGGATATTCGGACCTCTTTGAGGCCTTCGTTGGAAACGGGATTTCTTCATATTATGCTAGACAGAAGATTTCTCAGTAACTTCTTTGTGTTGTGTGTATGCAACTCACAGAGTTCAACCTTCCTTTAGACAGAGCAGATTTGAAACACTCTTTTTGTGGAATTTGCAAGTGGAGATTTCAAGCGCTTCGATGCCAATGGTAGAAAAGGAAATATCTTCGTATAAAAACAAGACAAACTCGTTCCCAGACACTGCGTAGTGATGTGTGTGTTTAACTCACAGAGTTTCACCTTTCTTTTCATACAGCATTCTGGAAACCCTGTGTTTGTAAAGTCTGCAAGTGGATATTTGGACCTCTTAGATGCCTTCGTTGGAAACGGGATTTCTTCATATAATGCTAGAGGGAAGAATTCTTAGTAACTTCTTTGTGTTGTGTGTATTCAACTGACAGAGTTGAACCTTCCTTTAGACAGAGCAGATTTGAAAGTCTCTTTTTGTGGAATTTGCAAGTGGAGATTTCAAGCGCTTTGAGGCCAAAAGCAGAAAAGGAAATATTTTCCTATAAAAACTCGACAGAATCTTTCTCAGAAACTGCTCTGGGATGTGTGCGTTCAACTCACAGAGTTTAACTTTTCTTTTCATTCAGCAGTTTGGAAACACTCTGTTTGGAAAGTCTGCACGTGGATATTTTGACCTCTTTGAGGCCTTCGTTGGAAACGGGTTTTTTTCATGTAAGGCTAGACAGAAGAAATCTCAGTAACTTCCTTGTGTTGTGTGTATTCAACTGACAGAGTTGAACCTTCCTTTAGACAGAGCAGATTCGAAACACTCTTTTTCTGCAATTTGCAAGTGGAAACTTCAAGCGCTTTGAGGCCAAAGGCAGAAAAGGAAATATCTTCGTATAAAAACCCGATAGAATCATTCTCAGAAACTGCTCTGTGATGTGTGCGTTCAACTCACAGAGTTTAACTTTTCTTTTCATTCAGCAGTTTGGAAACACTCTGTTTGTAAAGTCTGCAAGTGGATATCTTGGCCTCTTAGAGGCCTTCGTTGGAAACGGGTTTTTTCATGTAAGGTTATACAGAGGAATTCCCAGTAACTTCCTTGTGTTGTGTGCATTCAACTCACAGAGTTGAATGATTCTTTACACAGAGCAGATTTGAGACACTCTTTTGGTGGAATTTGTAAGTGGAGAATTCAGCCGCTTTGAGATCAATGGTAGAAAAGGAAATATCTTCGTATAAAAACTAGACAGAATGATTCTCGGAAACTGTTTTGTGATGTGTGCATTCAACTCACAGAGTTTAACTTTTCTTTTCATTCAGCAGTTAGGAAACACTCTGTTTGTAAAGTCTGCAAGTGGATATTCAGACCTCTTTGAGGCCTTCGTTGGAAACGGGATTTCTTCATATTATGCTAGACAGAAGAATTCTCAGTAACTTCCTTGTGTTGTGTGTATTCAACTCACAGAGTTGAACGATCCTTTACACAGAGCAGATTTGAAACACTCTTTTTCTGGAATTTGCAAGTGGAGATTTCAGCCGCTTTGAGGTCAATGGTAGAAAAGGAAATATCTTCGTATAAAAACTAGACAGAATGATTCTCAGAAACTCCTTTGTGATGTGTGCGTTCAACTCACAGAGTTTAACCTTTCTTTTCCCAGAGCAGTTAGAAAACACTCTGTTTGTGAAGTCTGCCAGTGGACATTCGGACCTCTTTGAGGCCATCGTTGGAAACGGGATTTCTTCATATTATGCTAGACAGAAGATTTCTCAGTAACTTCTTTGTGTTGTGTGTATGCAACTCACAGAGTTCAACCTTCCTTTAGACAGAGCAGATTTGAAACACTCTTTTTGTGGAATTTGCAAGTGGAGATTTCAAGCGCTTCGATGCCAATGGTAGAAAAGGAAATATCTTCGTATAAAAACAAGACAAACTCGTTCCCAGACACTGCGTAGTGATGTGTGTGTTTAACTCACAGAGTTTCACCTTTCTTTTCATACAGCATTCTGGAAACCCTGTGTTTGTAAAGTCTGCAAGTGGATATTTGGACCTCTTAGATGCCTTCGTTGGAAACGGGATTTCTTCATATAATGCTAGAGGGAAGAATTCTTAGTAACTTCTTTGTGTTGTGTGTATTCAACTGACAGAGTTGAACCTTCCTTTAGACAGAGCAGATTTGAAAGTCTCTTTTTGTGGAATTTGCAAGTGGAGATTTCAAGCGCTTTGAGGCCAAAAGCAGAAAAGGAAATATTTTCCTATAAAAACTAGACAGAATCTTTCTCAGAAACTGCTCTGGGATGTGTGCGTTCAACTCACAGAGTTTAACTTTTCATTCAGCAGTTTGGAAACACTCTGTTTGGAAAGTCTGCACGTGGATATTTTGACCTCTTTGAGGCCTTCGTTGGAAACGGGTTTTTTTCATGTAAGGCTAGACAGAAGAAATCTCAGTAACTTCCTTGTGTTGTGTGTATTCAACTGACAGAGTTGAACCTTCCTTTAGACAGAGCAGATTCGAAACACTCTTTTTCTGCAATTTGCAAGTGGAGACTTCAAGCGCTTTGAGGCCAAAGGCAGAAAAGGAAATATCTTCGTATAAAAACCCGACAGAATCATTCTCAGAAACTGCTCTGTGATGTGTGCGTTCAACTCACAGAGTTTAACTTTTCTTTTCATTCAGCAGTTTGGAAACACTCTGTTTGTAAAGTCTGCAAGTGGATATCTTGGCCTCTTAGAGGCCTTCGTTGGAAGCGGGTTTTTTCATGTAAGGATAGACAGAGGAATTCCCAGTAACTTCCTTGTGTTGTGTGCATTCAACTCACAGAGTTGAATGATTCTTTACACAGAGCAGATTTGAGACACTCTTTTGGTGGAATTTGTAAGTGGAGAATTCAGCCGCTTTGAGGTCAACGGTAGAAAAGGAAATATCTTCGTATAAAAACTAGACAGAATGATTCTCAGAAACTGTTTTGTGATGTGTGCGTTCAACTCACAGAGTTTAACCTTTCTTTTCAAAGAGCAGTTAGGAAACACTCTGTTTGTAAAGTCTGCAAGTGGATATTCAGACCTCTTTGAGGCCTTCGTTGGAAACGGGATTTCTTCATATTATGCTAGACAGATGAATTCTCAGTAACTTCCTTGTGTTGTGTGTATTCAACTCACAGAGTTGAACGATCCTTTACACAGAGCAGATTTGAAACACTGTTTTTCTGGAATTTGCAAGTGGAGATTTCAGCCGCTTTGAGGTCAATGGTAGAAAAGGAAATATCTTCGTATAAAAACTAGACAGAATGATTCTCAGAAACTCCTTTGTGATGTGTGCGTTCAACTCACAGAGTTTAACCTTTCTTTTCACAGAGCAGTTAGGAAACACTCTGTTTGTGAAGCCTGCCAGTGGATAATCGGACCTCTTTGAGGCCTTCGTTGGAAACGGGATTTCTTCATATTATGCTAGACAGAAGATTTCTCAGTAACTTCTTTGGGTTGTGTGTATGCAACTCACAGAGTTCAACCTTCCTTTAGACAGAGCAGATTTGAAACACTCTTTTTGTGGAATTTGCAAGTGGAGATTTCAAGCGCTTCGATGCCAATGGTAGAAAAGGAAATATCTTCGTATAAAAACAAGACAAACTCGTTCCCAGACACTGCGTAGTGATGTGTGTGTTTAACTCACAGAGATTAACCTTTCTTTTCATACAGCATTCTGGAAACCCTGTGTTTGTAAAGTCTGCAAGTGGATATTTGGACCTCTTAGATGCCTTCGTTGGAAACGGGATTTCTTCATATAATGCTAGAGGGAAGAATTCTTAGTAACTTCTTTGTGTTGTGTGTATTCAACTGACAGAGTTGAACCTTCCTTTAGACAGAGCAGATTTGAAAGTCTCTTTCTGTGGAATTTGCAAGTGGAGATTTCAAGCGCTTTGAGGCCAAAAGCAGAAAAGGAAATATTTTCCTATAAAAACTCGACAGAATCTTTCTCAGAAACTGCTCTGGGATGTGTGCGTTCAACTCACAGAGTTTAACTTTTCTTTTCATTCAGCAGTTTGGAAACACTCTGTTTGGAAAGTCTGCACGTGGATATTTTGACCTCTTTGAGGCCTTCGTTGGAAACGGGTTTTTTTCATGTAAGGCTAGACAGAAGAAATCTCAGTAACTTCCTTGTGTTGTGTGTATTCAACTGACAGAGTTGAACCTTCCTTTAGACAGAGCAGATTCGAAACACTCTTTTTCTGCAATTTGCAAGTGGAGACTTCAAGCGCTTTGAGGCCAAAGGCAGAAAAGGAAATATCTTCGTATAAAAACCCGACAGAATCATTCTCAGAAACTGCTCTGTGATGTGTGCGTTCAACTCACAGAGTTTAACTTTTCTTTTCATTCAGCAGTTTGGAAACACTCTGTTTGTAAAGTCTGCAAGTGGATATCTTGGCCTCTTAGAGGCCTTCGTTGGAAACGGGTTTTATCATGTAAGGTTAGACAGAGGAATTCCCACTAACTTCCTTGTGTTGTGTGCATTCAACTCACAGAGTTGAATGATTCTTTACACAGAGCAGATTTGAGACACTCTTTTGGTGGAATTTGTAAGTGGAGAATTCAGCCGCTTTGAGGTCAACGGTAGAAAAGGAAATATCTTCCTATAAAAACTAGACAGAATGATTCTCAGAAACTGTTTTGTGATGTGTGCTTTCAACTCACAGAGTTTAACCTTTCTTTTCAAAGAGCAGTTAGGAAACACTCTGTTTGTAAAGTCTGCAAGTGGATATTCAGACCTCTTTGAGGCCTTCGTTGGAAACGGGATTTCTTCATATTATGCTAGACAGATGAATTCTCAGTAACTTCCTTGTGTTGTGTGTATTCAACTCACAGAGTTGAACGATCCTTTACACAGAGCAGATTTGAAACACTGTTTTTCTGGAATTTGCAAGTGGAGATTTCAGCCGCTTTGAGGTCAATGGTAGAAAAGGAAATATCTTCGTATAAAAACTAGACAGAATGATTCTCAGAAACTCCTTTGTGATGTGTGCGTTCAACTCACAGAGTTTAACCTTTCTTTTCACAGAGCAGTTAGGAAACACTCTGTTTGTGAAGCCTGCCAGTGGATATTCGGACCTCTTTGAGGCCTTCGTTGGAAACGGGATTTCTTCATATTATGCTAGACAGAAGATTTCTCAGTAACTTCTTTGTGTTGTGTGTATGCAACTCACAGAGTTCAACCTTCCTTTAGACAGAGCAGATTTGAAACACTCTTTTTGTGGAATTTGCAAGTGGAGATTTCAAGCGCTTCGATGCCAATGGTAGAAAAGGAAATATCTTCGTATAAAAACAAGACAAACTCGTTCCCAGACACTGCGTAGTGATGTGTGTGTTTAACTCACAGAGTTTCACCTTTCTTTTCATACAGCATTCTGGAAACCCTCTGTTTGTAAAGTCTGCAAGTGGATATTTGGACCTCTTAGATGCCTTCGTTGGAAACGGGATTTCTTCATATAATGCTAGAGGGAAGAATTCTTAGTAACTTCTTTGCGTTGTGTGTATTCAACTGACAGAGTTGAACCTTCCTTTAGACAGAGCAGATTTGAAAGTCTCTTTTTGTGGAATTTGCAAGTGGAGATTTCAAGCGCTTTGAGGCCAAAAGCAGAAAAGGAAATATTTTCCTATAAATACTAGACAGAATCTTTCTCAGAAACTGCTCTGGGATGTGTGCGTTCAACTCACAGAGTTTAACTTTTCTTTTCATTCAGCAGTTTGGAAACACTCTGTTTGGAAAGTCTGCACGTGGATATTTTGACCTCTTTGAGGCCTTCGTTGGAAACGGGTTTTTTTCATGTAAGGCTAGACAGAAGAAATCTCAGTAACTTCCTTGTGTTGTGTGTATTCAACTGACAGAGTTGAACCTTCCTTTAGACAGAGCAGATTCGAAACACTCTTTTTCTGCAATTTGCAAGTGGAGACTTCAAGCGCTTTGAGGCCAAAGGCAGAAAAGGAAATATCTTCGTATAAAAACCCGACAGAATCATTCTCAGAAACTGCTCTGTGATGTGTGCGTTCAACTCACAGAGTTTAACTTTTCTTTTCATTCAGCAGTTTGGAAACACTCTGTTTGTAAAGTCTGCAAGTGGATATCTTGGCCTCTTAGTGGCCTTCGTTGGAAACGGGTTTTATCATGTAAGGTTAGACAGAGGAATTCCCACTAACTTCCTTGTGTTGTGTGCATTCAACTCACAGAGTTGAATGATTCTTTACACAGAGCAGATTTGAGACACTCTTTTGGTGGAATTTGTAAGTGGAGAATTCAGCCGCTTTGATGTCAACGGTAGAAAAGGAAATATCTTCGTATAAAAACTAGACAGAATGATTCTCAGAAACTGTTTTGTGATGTGTGCTTTCAACTCACAGAGTTTAACCTTTCTTTTCAAAGAGCAGTTAGGAAACACTCTGTTTGTAAAGTCTGCAAGTGGATATTCAGACCTCTTTGAGGCCTTCGTTGGAAACGGGATTTCTTCATATTATGCTAGACAGATGAATTCTCAGTAACTTCCTTGTGTTGTGTGTATTCAACTCACAGAGTTGAACGATCCTTTACACAGAGCAGATTTGAAACACTGTTTTTCTGGAATTTGCAAGTGGAGATTTCAGCCGCTTTGAGGTCAATGGTAGAAAAGGAAATATCTTCGTATAAAAACTAGACAGAATGATTCTCAGAAACTCCTTTGTGATGTGTGCGTTCAACTCACAGAGTTTAACCTTTCTTTTCACAGAGCAGTTAGGAAACACTCTGTTTGTGAAGCCTGCCAGTGGATATTCGGACCTCTTTGAGGCCTTCGTTGGAAACGGGATTTCTTCATATTATGCTAGACAGAAGATTTCTCAGTAACTTCTTTGTGTTGTGTGTATGCAACTCACAGAGTTCAACCTTCCTTTAGACAGAGCAGATTTGAAACACTCTTTTTGTGGAATTTGCAAGTGGAGATTTCAAGCGCTTCGATGCCAATGGTAGAAAAGGAAATATCTTCGTATAAAAACAAGACAAACTCGTTCCCAGACACTGCGTAGTGATGTGTGTGTTTAACTCACAGAGTTTAACCTTTCTTTTCATACAGCATTCTGGAAACCCTGTGTTTGTAAAGTCTGCAAGTGGATATTTGGACCTCTTAGATGCCTTCGTTGGAAACGGGATTTCTTCATATAATGCTAGAGGGAAGAATTCTTAGTAACTTCTTTGTGTTGTGTGTATTCAACTGACAGAGTTGAACCTTCCTTTAGACAGAGCAGATTTGAAAGTCTCTTTTTGTGGAATTTGCAAGTGGAGATTTCAAGCGCTTTGAGGCCAAAAGCAGAAAAGGAAATATTTTCCTATAAAAACTCGACAGAATCTTTCTCAGAAACTGCTCTGGGACGTGTGCGTTCAACTCACAGAGTTTAACTTTTCTTTTCATTCAGCAGTTTGGAAACACTCTGTTTGGAAAGTCTGCACGTGGATATTTTGACCTCTTTGAGGCCTTTGTTGGAAACGGGTTTTTTTCATGTAAGGCTAGACAGAAGAAATCTCAGTAACTTCCTTGTGTTGTGTGTATTCAACTGACAGAGTTGAACCTTCCTTTAGACAGAGCAGATTCGAAACACTCTTTTTCTGCAATTTGCAAGTGGAGACTTCAAGCGCTTTGAGGCCAAAGGCAGAAAAGGAAATATCTTCGTATAAAAACCCGACAGAATCATTCTCAGAAACTGCTCTGTGATGTGTGCGTTCAACTCACAGAGTTTAACTTTTCTTTTCATTCAGCAGTTTGGAAACACTCTGTTTGTAAAGTCTGCAAGTGGATATCTTGGCCTCTTAGAGGCCTTCGTTGGAAGCGGGTTTTTTCATGTAAGGTTAGACAGAGGAATTCCCACTAACTTCCTTGTGTTGTGTGCATTCAACTCACAGAGTTGAATGATTCTTTACACAGAGCAGATTTGAGACACTCTTTTGGTGGAATTTGTAAGTGGAGAATTCAGCCGCTTTGATGTCAACGGTAGAAAAGGAAATATCTTCGTATAAAAACTAGACAGAATGATTCTCAGCAAACTGTTTTGTGATGTGTGCGTTCAACTCACAGAGTTTAACCTTTCTTTTCAAAGAGCAGTTAGGAAACACTCTGTTTGTAAAGTCTGCAAGTGGATATTCAGACGTCTTTGAGGCCTTCGTTGGAAACGGGATTTCTTCATATTATGCTAGACAGAAGAATTCTCAGTAACTTCCTTGTGTTGTGTGTATTCAAGTCACAGAGTTGAACGATCCTTTACACAGTAGCAGATTTGAAACACTGTTTTTCTGGAATTTGCAAGTGGAGATTTCAGCCGCTTTGAGGTCAATGGTAGAAAAGGAAATATCTTCGTATAAAAACTAGACAGAATGATTCTCAGAAACTCCTTTGTGATGTGTGCGTTCAACTCACAGAGTTTAACCTTTCTTTTCACAGAGCAGTTAGGAAACACTCTGTTTGTGAAGCCTGCCAGTGGATATTCGGACCTCTTTGAGGCCTTCGTTGGAAACGGGATTTCTTCATATTATGCTAGACAGAAGATTTCTCAGTAACTTCTTTGTGTTGTGTGTATGCAACTCACAGAGTTCAACCTTCCTTTAGACAGAGCAGATTTGAAACACTCTTTTTGTGGAATTTGCAAGTGGAGATTTCAAGCGCTTCGATGCCAATGGTAGAAAAGGAAATATCTTCGTATAAAAACAAGACAAACTCGTTCCCAGACACTGCGTAGTGATGTGTGTGTTTAACTCACAGAGTTTCACCTTTCTTTTCATACAGCATTCTGGAAACCCTGTGTTTGTAAAGTCTGCAAGTGGATATTTGGACCTCTTAGATGCCTTCGTTGGAAACGGGATTTCTTCATATAATGCTAGAGGGAAGAATTCTTAGTAACTTCTTTGTGTTGTGTGTATTCAACTGACAGAGTTGAACCTTCCTTTAGACAGAGCAGATTTGAAAGTCTCTTTTTGTGGAATTTGCAAGTGGAGATTTCAAGCGCTTCGATGCCAATGGTAGAAAAGGAAATATCTTCGTATAAAAACAAGACAAACTCGTTCCCAGACACTGCGTAGTGATGTGTGTGTTTAACTCACAGAGTTTAACCTTTCTTTTCATACAGCATTCTGGAAACCCTGTGTTTGTAAAGTCTGCAAGTGGATATTTGGACCTCTTAGATGCCTTCGTTGGAAACGGGATTTCTTCATATAATGCTAGAGGGAAGAATTCTTAGTAACTTCTTTGTGTTGTGTGTATTCAACTGACAGAGTTGAACCTTCCTTTAGACAGAGCAGATTTGAAAGTCTCTTTCTGTGGAATTTGCAAGTGGAGATTTCAAGCGCTTTGAGGCCAAAAGCAGAAAAGGAAATATTTTCCTATAAAAACTCGACAGAATCTTTCTCAGAAACTGCTCTGGGATGTGTGCGTTCAACTCACAGAGTTTAACTTTTCTTTTCATTCAGCAGTTTGGAAACACTCTGTTTGGAAAGTCTGCACGTGGATATTTTGACCTACTTTGAGGCCTTCGTTGGAAACGGGTTTTTTTCATGTAAGGCTAGACAGAAAGAAATCTCAGTAACTTCCTTGTGTTGTGTGTATTCAACTGACAGAGTTGAACCTTCCTTTAGACAGAGCAGATTCGAAACACTCTTTTTCTGCAATTTGCAAGTGGAAACTTCAAGCGCTTTGAGGCCAAAGGCAGAAAAGGAAATATCTTCGTATAAAAACCCGACAGAATCATTCTCAGAAACTGCTCTGTGATGTGTGCGTTCAACTCACAGAGTTTAACTTTTCTTTTCATTCAGCAGTTTGGAAACACTCTGTTTGTAAAGTCTGCAAGTGGATATCTTGGCCTCTTAGAGGCCTTCGTTGGAAACGGGTTTTTTCATGTAAGCTTAGACAGAGGAATTCCCAGTAACTTCCTTGTGTTGTGTGCATTCAACTCACAGAGTTGAATGATTCTTTACACAGAGCAGATTTGAGACACTCTTTTGGTGGAATTTGTAAGTGGAGAATTCAGCCGCTTTGAGGTCAACGGTAGAAAAGGAAATATCTTCGTATAAAAACTAGACAGAATGATTCTCAGAAACTGTTTTGTGATGTGTGCGTTCAACTCACAGAGTTTAACCTTTCTTTTCAAAGAGCAGTTAGGAAACACTCTGTTTGTAAAGTCTGCAAGCGGATATTCAGACCTCTTTGAGGCCTTCGTTGGAAACGGGATTTCTTCATATTATGCTAGACAGATGAATTCTCAGTAACTTCCTTGTGTTGTGTGTATTCAACTCACAGAGTTGAACGATCCTTTACACAGAGCAGATTTGAAACACTGTTTTTCTGGAATTTGCAAGTGGAGATTTCAGCCGCTTTGAGGTCAATGGTAGAAAAGGAAATATCTTCGTATAAAAACTAGACAGAATGATTCTCAGAAACTCCTTTGTGATGTGTGCGTTCAACTCACAGAGTTTAACCTTTCTTTTCACAGAGCAGTTAGGAAACACTCTGTTTGTGAAGCCTGCCAGTGGATATTCGGACCTCTTTCAGGCCTTCGTTGGAAACGGGATTTCTTCATATTATGCTAGACAGAAGATTTCTCAGTAACTTCTTTGTGTTGTGTGTATGCAACTCACAGAGTTCAACCTTCCTTTAGACAGAGCAGATTTGAAACACTCTTTTTGTGGAATTTGCAAGTGGAGATTTCAAGCGCTTCGATGCCAATGGTAGAAAAGGAAATATCTTCGTATAAAAACAAGACAAACTCGTTCCCAGACACTGCGTAGTGATGTGTGTGTTTAACTCACAGAGTTTAACCTTTCTTTTCATACAGCATTCTGGAAACCCTCTGTTTGTAAAGTCTGCAAGTCGATATTTGGACCTCTTAGATGCCTTCGTTGGAAACGGGATTTCTTCATATAATGCTAGAGGGAAGAATTCTTAGTAACTTCTTTGTGTTGTGTGTATTCAACTGACAGAGTTGAACCTTCCTTTAGACAGAGCAGATTTGAAAGTCTCTTTTTGTGGAATTTGCAAGTGGAGATTTCAAGCGCTTTGAGGCCAAAAGCAGAAAAGGAAATATTTTCCTATAAAACCTCGACAGAATCTTTCTCAGAAACTGCTCTGGGATGTGTGCGTTCAACTCACAGAGTTTAACTTTTCTTTTCATTCAGCAGTTTGGAAACACTCTGTTTGGAAAGTCTGCACGTGGATATTTTGACCTCTTTGAGGCCTTCGTTGGAAACGGGTTTTTTTCATGTAAGGCTAGACAGAAGAAATCTCAGTAACTTCCTTGTGTTGTGTGTATTCAACTGACAGAGTTGAACCTTCCTTTAGACAGAGCAGATTCGAAACACTCTTTTTCTGCAATTTGCAAGTGGAGACTTCAAGCGCTTTGAGGCCAAAGGCAGAAAAGGAAATATCTTCGTATAAAAACCCGACAGAATCATTCTCAGAAACTGCTCTGTGATGTGTGCGTTCAACTCACAGAGTTTAACTTTTCTTTTCATTCAGCAGTTTGGAAACACTCTGTTTGTAAAGTCTGCAAGTGGATATTCAGACCTCTTTGAGGCCTTCGTTGGAAACGGGATTTCTTCATATTATGCTAGACAGATGAATTCTCAGTAACTTCCTTGTGTTGTGTGTATTCAACTCACAGAGTTGAACGATCCTTTACACAGAGCAGATTTGAAACACTGTTTTTCTGGAATTTGCAAGTGGAGATTTCAGCCGCTTTGAGGTCAATGGTAGAAAAGGAAATATCTTCGTATAAAAACTAGACAGAATGATTCTCAGAAACTCCTTTGTGATGTGTGCGTTCAACTCACAGAGTTTAACCTTTCTTTTCACAGAGCAGTTAGGAAACACTCTGTTTGTGAAGCCTGCCAGTGGATATTCGGACCTCTTTGAGGCCTTCGTTGGAAACGGGATTTCTTCATATTATGCTAGACAGAAGATTTCTCAGTAACTTCTTTGTGTTGTGTGTATGCAACTCACAGAGTTCAACCTTCCTTTAGACAGAGCAGATTTGAAACACTCTTTTTGTGGAATTTGCAAGTGGAGATTTCAAGCGCTTCGATGCCAATGGTAGAAAAGGAAATATCTTCGTAGAAAAACAAGACAAACTCGTTCCCAGACACTGCGTAGTGATGTGTGTGTTTAACTCACAGAGTTTAACCTTTCTTTTCATACAGCATTCTGGAAACCCTGTGTTTGTAAAGTCTGCAAGTGGATATTTGGACCTCTTAGATGCCTTCGTTGGAAACGGGATTTCTTCATATAATGCTAGAGGGAAGAATTCTTAGTAACTTCTTTGTGTTGTGTGTATTCAACTGACAGAGTTGAACCTTCCTTTAGACAGAGCAGATTTGAAAGTCTCTTTTTGTGGAATTTGCAAGTGGAGATTTCAAGCGCTTTGAGGCCAAAAGCAGAAAAGGAAATATTTTCCTATAAAAACTCGACAGAATCTTTCTCAGAAACTGCTCTGGGATGTGTGCGTTCAACTCACAGAGTTTAACTTTTCTTTTCATTCAGCAGTTTGGAAACACTCTGTTTGGAAAGTCTGCACGTGGATATTTTGACCTCTTTGAGGCCTTCGTTGGAAACGGGTTTTTTTCATGTAAGGCTAGACAGAAGAAATCTCAGTAACTTCCTTGTGTTGTGTGTATTCAACTGACAGAGTTGAACCTTCCTTTAGACAGAGCAGATTCGAAACACTCTTTTTCTGCAATTTGCAAGTGGAGACTTCAAGCGCTTTGAGGCCAAAGGCAGAAAAGGAAATATCTTCGTATAAAAACCCGACAGAATCATTCTCAGAAACTGCTCTGTGATGTGTGCGTTCAACTCACAGAGTTTAACTTTTCTTTTCATTCAGCAGTTTGGAAACACTCTGTTTGTAAAGTCTGCAAGTGGATATCTTGGCCTCTTAGAGGCCTTCGTTGGAAACGGGTTTTTTCATGTAAGGTTAGACAGAGGAATTCCCAGTAACTTCCTTGTGTTGTGTGCATTCAACTCACAGAGTTGAATGATTCTTTACACAGAGCAGATTTGAGACACTCTTTTGGTGGAATTTGTAAGTGGAGAATTCAGCCGCTTTGAGGTCAACGGTAGAAAAGGAAATATCTTCGTATAAAAACTAGACAGAATGATTCTCAGAAACTGTTTTGTGATGTGTGCGTTCAACTCACAGAGTTTAACCTTTCTTTTCAAAGAGCAGTTAGGAAACACTCTGTTTGTAAAGTCTGCAAGTGGATATTCAGACCTCTTTGAGGCCTTCGTTGGAAACGGGATTTCTTCATATTATGCTAGACAGATGAATTCTCAGTAACTTTCCTTGTGTTGTGTGTATTCAACTCACAGAGTTGAACGATCCTTTACACAGAGCAGATTTGAAACACTGTTTTTCTGGAATTTGCAAGTGGAGATTTCAGCCGCTTTGAGGTCAATGGTAGAAAAGGAAATATGCTTCGTATAAAAACTAGACAGAATGATTATCAGAAACTGTTTTGTGATGTGTGCGTTCAACTCACAGAGTTTAACCTTTCTTTTCATAGAGCAGTTACGAAACACTCTGTTTGTGAAGCCTGCCAGTGGATATTCGGACCTCTTTGAGACCTTCGTTGGAAACGGTATTTCTTCATATTATGCTAGACAGAAGATTTCTCAGTAACTTCTTTGTGTTGTGTGTATGCAACTCACAGAGTTCAACCTTCCTTTAGAGAGAGCAGATTTGAAACACTCTTTTTGTGGAATTTGCAAGTGGAGATTTCAAGCGCTTCGATGCCAATGGTAGAAAAGGAAATATCTTCGTATAAAAACAAGACAAACTCGTTCCCAGACACTGCGTAGTGATGTGTGTGTTTAACTCACAGAGTTTCACCTTTCTTTTCATACAGCATTCTGGAAACCCTCTGTTTGTAAAGTCTGCAAGTGGATATTTGGACCTCTTAGATGCCTTCGTTGGAAACGGGATTTCTTCATATAATGCTAGAGGGAAGAATTCTTAGTAACTTCTTTGTGTTGTGTGTATTCAACTGACAGCAGTTGAACCTTCCTTTAGACAGAGCAGATTTGAAAGTCTCTTTTTGTGGAATTTGCAAGTGGAGATTTCAAGCGCTTTGAGGCCAAAAGCAGAAAAGGAAATATTTTCCTATAAAAACTCGACACAATCTTTCTCAGAAACTGCTCTGGGATGTGTGCGTTCAACTCACAGAGTTTAACTTTTCTTTTCATTCAGCAGTTTGGAAACACTCTGTTTGGAAAGTCTGCACGTGGATATTTTGACCTCTTTGAGGCCTTCGTTGGAAACGGGTTTTTTTCATGTAAGGCTAGACAGAAGAAATCTCAGTAACTTTCCTTGTGTTGTGTGTATTCAACTGACAGAGTTGAACCTTCTTTTAGACAGAGCAGATTCGAAACACTCTTTTTCTGCAATTTGCAAGTGGAGACTTCAAGCGCTTTGAGGCCAAAGGCAGAAAAGGAAATATCTTCGTATAAAAACCCGACAGAATCATTCTCAGAAACTGCTCTGTGATGTGTGCGTTCAACTCACAGAGTTTAACTTTTCTTTTCATTCAGCAGTTTGGAAACACTCTGTTTGTAAAGTCTGCAAGTGGATATCTTGGCCTCTTAGAGGCCTTCGTTGGAAACGGGTTTTTTCATGTAAGGTTAGACAGAGGAATTCCCAGTAACTTCCTTGTGTTGTGTGCATTCAACTCACAGAGTTGAATGATTCTTTACACAGAGCAGATTTGAGACACTCTTTTGGTGGAATTTGTAAGTGGAGAATTCAGCCGCTTTGAGGTCAACGGTAGAAAAGGAAATATCTTCGTATAAAAACTAGACAGAATGATTCTCAGAAACTGTTTTGTGATGTGTGCGTTCAACTCACAGAGTTTAACCTTTCTTTTCAAAGAGCAGTTAGGAAACACTCTGTTTGTAAAGTCTGCAAGTGGATATTCAGACCTCTTTGAGGCCTTCGTTGGAAACGGGATTTCTTCATATTATGCTAGACAGATGAATTCTCAGTAACTTCCTTGTGTTGTGTGTATTCAACTCACAGAGTTGAACGATCCTTTACACAGAGCAGATTTGAAACACTCTTTTTCTGGAATTTGCAAGTGGAGATTTCAGCCGCTTTGAGGTCAATGGTAGAAAAGGAAATATCTTCGTATAAAAACTAGACAGAATGATTCTCAGAAACTCCTTTGTGATGTGTGCGTTCAACTCACAGAGTTTAACCTTTCTTTTCACAGAGCAGTTGGGAAACACTCTGTTTGTTAAGTCTGCCAGTGGATATTCGGACCTCTTTGAGGCCTTCGTTGGAAACGGGAGTTCTTCATATTATGCTAGACAGATTTCTCAGTAACTACTTTGTGTTGTGTGTATGCATCTCACAGAGTTCAACCTTCCTTTAGAGATAGCAGATTTGAAACACTCTTTTTGTTGAATTTGCAAGTGGAGATTTCAAGCGCTTCGATGCCAATGGTAGAAAAGGAAATATCTTCGTAGAAAAACAAGACAAACTCGTTCCCAGAAACTGCGTAGTGATGTGTGTGTTTAACTCACAGAGTTTAACCTTTCTTTTCATACAGAAGTCTGGAAACCCTGTGTTTGTAAAGTCTGCAAGTGGATATTTGGACCTCTTAGATGCCTTCGTTGGAAACGGGATTTCTCCACATACTGCTAGAGGGAAGAATTCTTAGTAACTTCTTTGTGTTGTGTGTATTCAACTGACAGAGTTGAACCTTCCTTTAGACAGAGCAGATTTGAAAGTCTCTTTTTGTGGAATTTGCAAGTGGAGATTTCAAGCGCTTTGAGGCCAAAAGCAGAAAAGGAAATATTTTCCTATAAAAACTAGACAGAATCATTCTCAGAAACTGCTCTGTGATGTGTGTGTTCAACTCACAGAGTTTAACTTTCTTTTCATTCAGCAGTTTGGAAACACTCTGTTTGGAAAGTCTGCACGTGGATATTTTGACCTCTTTGAGGCCTTCGTTGGAAACGGGTTTTTTTCATGTAAGGCTAGACAGAAGAAATCTCAGTAACTTCCTTGTGTTGTGTGTATTCAACTGACAGAGTTGAACCTTCCTTTAGACAGAGCAGATTCGAAACACTCTTTTTCTGCAATTTGCAAGTGGAGACTTCAAGCGCTTTGAGGCCAAAGGCAGAAAAGGAAATATCTTCGTATAAAAACCCGACAGAATCATTGTCAGAAACTGCTCTGTGATGTGTGCGTTCAACTCACAGAGTTTAACTTTTCTTTTCATTCAGCAGTTTGGAAACACTCTGTTTGTAAAGTCTGCAAGTGGATATCTTGGCCTCTTAGAGGCCTTCGTTGGAAACGGGTTTTTTCATGTAAGGTTAGACAGAGGAATTCCCAGTAACTTCCTTGTGTTGTGTGCATTCAACTCACAGAGTTGAATGATTCTTTACACAGAGCAGATTTGAGACACTCTTTTGGTGGAATTTGTTAGTGGAGAATTCAGCCGCTTTGAGGTCAACGGTAGAAAAGGAAATATCTTCGTATAAAAACTAGACAGAATGATTCTCAGAAACTGTTTTGTGATGTGTGCGTTCAACTCACAGAGTTTAACCTTTCTTTTCAAAGAGCAGTTAGGAAACACTCTGTTTGTAAAGTCTGCAAGTGGATATTCAGACCTCTTTGAGGCCTTCGTTGGAAACGGGATTTCTTCATATTATGCTAGACAGATGAATTCTCAGTAACTTCCTTGTGTTGTGTGTATTCAACTCACAGAGTTGAACGATCCTTTACACAGAGCAGATTTGAAACACTGTTTTTCTGGAATTTGCAAGTGGAGATTTCAGCCGCTTTGAGGTCAATGGTAGAAAAAGAAATATCTTCGTATAAAAACTAGACAGAATGATTCTCAGAAACTCCTTTGTGATGTGTGCGTTCAACTCACAGAGTTTAACCTTTCTTTTCACAGAGCAGTTAGGAAACACTCTGTTTGTGAAGCCTGCCAGTGGATATTCGGACCTCTTTGAGGCCTTCGTTGGAAACGGGATTTCTTCATATTATGCTAGACAGAAGATTTCTCAGTAACTTCTTTGTGTTGTGTGTATGCAACTCACAGAGTTCAACCTTCCTTTAGACAGAGCAGATTTGAAACACTCTTTTTGTGGAATTTGCAAGTGGAGATTTCAAGCGCTTCGATGCCAATGGTAGAAAAGGAAATATCTTCGTATAAAAACAAGACAAACTCGTTCCCAGACACTGCGTAGTGATGTGTGTGTTTAACTCACAGAGTTTCACCTTTCTTTTCATACAGCATTCTGGAAACCCTGTGTTTGTAAAGTCTGCAAGTGGATATTTGGACCTCTTAGATGCCTTCGTTGGAAACGGGATTTCTTCATATAATGCTAGAGGGAAGAATTCTTAGTAACTTCTTTGTGTTGTGTGTATTCAACTGACAGAGTTGAACCTTCCTTTAGACAGAGCAGATTTGAAAGTCTCTTTTTGTGGAATTTGCAAGTGGAGATTTCAAGCGCTTTGAGGCCAAAAGCAGAAAAGGAAATATTTTCCTATAAAAACTAGACAGAATCTTTCTCAGAAACTGCTCTGGGATGTGTGCGTTCAACTCACAGAGTTTAACTTTTCTTTTCATTCAGCAGTTTGGAAACACTCTGTTTGGAAAGTCTGCACGTGGATATTTTGACCTCTTTGAGGCCTTCGTTGGAAACGGGTTTTTTTCATGTAAGGCTAGACAGAAGAAATCTCAGTAACTTCCTTGTGTTGTGTGTATTCAACTGACAGAGTTGAACCTTCCTTTAGACAGAGCAGATTCGAAACACTCTTTTTCTGCAATTTGCAAGTGGAGACTTCAAGCGCTTTGAGGCCAAAGGCAGAAAAGGAAATATCTTCGTATAAAAACCCGACAGAATCATTCTCAGAAACTGCTCTGTGATGTGTGCGTTCAACTCACAGAGTTTAACTTTTCTTTTCATTCAGCAGTTTGGAAACACTCTGTTTGTAAAGTCTGCAAGTGGATATCTTGGCCTCTTAGAGGCCTTCGTTGGAAACGGGTTTTTTCATGTAAGGATAGACACAGGAATTCCCAGTAACTTCCTTGTGTTGTGTGCATTCAACTCACAGAGTTGAATGATTCTTTACACAGAGCAGTTTTGAGACACTCTTTTGGTGGAATTTGTAAGTGGAGAATTCAGCCGCTTTGAGGTCAACGGTAGAAAAGGAAATATCTTCGTATAAAAACTAGACAGAATGATTCTCAGAAACTGTTTTGTGATGTGTGCTTTCAACTCACAGAGTTTAACCTTTCTTTTCAAAGAGCAGTTAGGAAACACTCTGTTTGTAAAGTCTGCAAGAGGATATTCAGACCTCTTTGAGGCCTTCGTTGGAAACGGGATTTCTTCATATTATGCTAGACAGATGAATTCTCAGTAACTTCCTTGTGTTGTGTGTATTCAACTCACAGAGTTGAACGATCCTTTACACAGAGCAGATTTGAAACACTGTTTTTCTGGAATTTGCAAGTGGAGATTTCAGCCGCTTTGAGGTCAATGGTAGAAAAGGAAATATCTTCGTATAAAAACTAGACAGAATGATTCTCAGAAACTCCTTTGTGATGTGTGCGTTCAACTCACAGAGTTTAACCTTTCTTTTCACAGAGCAGTTAGGAAACACTCTGTTTGTGAAGCCTGCCAGTGGATATGCGGACCTCTTTGAGGCCTTCGTTGGAAACGGGATTTCTTCATATTATGCTAGACAGAAGATTTCTCAGTAACTTCTTTGTGTTGTGTGTATGCAACTCACAGAGTTCAACCTTCCTTTAGACAGAGCAGATTTGAAACACTCTTTTTCTGGAATTTGCAAGTGGAGATTTCAAGCGCTTCGATGCCAATGGTAGAAAAGGAAATATCTTCGTATAAAAACAAGACAAACTCGTTCCCAGACACTGCGTAGTGATGTGTGTGTTTAACTCACAGAGTTTAACCTTTCTTTTCATACAGCATTCTGGAAACCCTCTGTTTGTAAAGTCTGCAAGTGGATATTTGGACCTCTTAGATGCCTTCGTTGGAAACGGGATTTCTTCATATAATGCTAGAGGGAAGAATTCTTAGTAACTTCTTTGTGTTGTGTGTATTCAACTGACAGAGTTGAACCTTCCTTTAGACAGAGCAGATTTGAAAGTCTCTTTTTGTGGAATTTGCAAGTGGAGATTTCAAGCGCTTTGAGGCCAAAAGCAGAAAAGGAAATATTTTCCTATAAAAACTAGACAGAATCTTTCTCAGAAACTGCTCTGGGATGTGTGTGTTCAACTCACAGAGTTTAACTTTCTTTTCATTCAGCAGTTTGGAAACACTCTGTTTGGAAAGTCTGCACGTGGATATTTTGACCTCTTTGAGGCCTTCGTTGGAAACGGGTTTTTTTCATGTAAGGCTAGACAGAAGAAATCTCAGTAACTTCCTTGTGTTGTGTGTATTCAACTGACAGAGTTGAACCTTCCTTTAGACAGAGCAGATTCGAAACACTCTTTTTCTGCAATTTGCAAGTGGAGACTTCAAGCGCTTTGAGGCCAAAGGCAGAAAAGGAAATATCTTCGTATAAAAACCCGACAGAATCATTCTCAGAAACTGCTCTGTGATGTGTGCGTTCAACTCACAGAGTTTAACTTTTCTTTTCATTCAGCAGTTTGGAAACACTCTGTTTGTAAAGTCTGCAAGTGGATATCTTGGCCTCTTAGAGGCCTTCGTTGGAAACGGGTTTTTTCATGTAAGGTTAGACAGAGGAATTCCCAGTAACTTCCTTGTGTTGTGTGCATTCAACTCACAGAGTTGAATGATTCTTTACACAGAGCAGATTTGAGACACTCTTTTGGTGGAATTTGTAAGTGGAGAATTCAGCCGCTTTGAGGTCAACGGTAGAAAAGGAAATATCTTCGTATAAAAACTAGACAGAATGATTCTCAGAAACTGTTTTGTGATGTGTGCGTTCAACTCACAGAGTTTAACCTTTCTTTTCAAAGAGCAGTTAGGAAACACTCTGTTTGTAAAGTCTGCAAGTGGATATTCAGACCTCTTTGAGGCCTTCGTTGGAAACGGGATTTCTTCATATTATGCTAGACAGATGAATTCTCAGTAACTTCCTTGTGTTGTGTGTATTCAACTCACAGAGTTGAACGATCCTTTACACAGAGCAGATTTGAAACACTGTTTTTCTGGAATTTGCAAGTGGAGATGTCAGCCGCTTTGAGGTCAATGGTAGAAAAGGAAATATCTTCGTATAAAAACTAGACAGAATGATTCTCAGAAACTCCTTTGTGATGTGTGCGTTCAACTCACAGAGTTTAACCTTTCTTTTCACAGAGCAGTTAGGAAACACTCTGTGAAGCCTGCCAGTGGATATTCGGACCTCTTTGAGGCCTTCGTTGGAAACGGGATTTCTTCATATTATGCTAGACAGAAGATTTCTCAGTAACTTCTTTGTGTTGTGTGTATGCAACTCACAGAGTTCAACCTTCCTTTAGACAGAGCAGATTTGAAACACTCTTTTTGTGGAATTTGCAAGTGGAGATTTCAAGCGCTTCGATGCCAATGGTAGAAAAGGAAATATCTTCGTATAAAAACAAGACAAACTCGTTCCCAGACACTGCGTAGTGATGTGTGTGTTTAACTCACAGAGTTTAACCTTTCTTTTCATACAGCATTCTGGAAACCCTCTGTTTGTAAAGTCTGCAAGTGGATATTTGGACCTCTTAGATGCCTTCGTTGGAAACGGGATTTCTTCATATAATGCTAGAGGGAAGAATTCTTAGTAACTTCTTTGTGTTGTGTGTATTCAACTGACAGAGTTGAACCTTCCTTTAGACAGAGCAGATTTGAAAGTCTCTTTTTGTGGAATTTGCAAGTGGAGATTTCAAGCGCTTTGAGGCCAAAAGCAGAAAAGGAAATATTTTCCTATAAAAACTAGACAGAATCTTTCTCAGAAACTGCTCTGGGATGTGTGCGTTCAACTCACAGAGTTTAACTTTTCTTTTCATTCAGCAGTTTGGAAACACTCTGTTTGGAAAGTCTGCACGTGGATATTTTGACCTCTTTGAGGCCTTCGTTGGAAACGGGTTTTTTTCATGTAAGGCTAGACAGAAGAAATCTCAGTAACTTCCTTGTGTTGTGTGTATTCAACTGACAGAGTTGAACCTTCTTTTAGACAGAGCAGATTCGAAACACTCTTTTTCTGCAATTTGCAAGTGGAGACTTCAAGCGCTTTGAGGCCAAAGGCAGAAAAGGGAATATCTTCGTATAAAAACCCGACAGAATCATTCTCAGAAACTGCTCTGTGATGTGTGCGTTCAACTCACAGAGTTTAACTTTTCTTTTCATTCAGCAGTTTGGAAACACTCTGTTTGTAAAGTCTGCAAGTGGATATCTTGGCCTCTTAGAGGCCTTCGTTGGAAACGGGTTTTTTCATGTAAGGTTAGACAGAGGAATTCCCAGTAACTTCCTTGTGTTGTGTGCATTCAACTCACAGAGTTGAATGATTCTTTACACAGAGCAGATTTGAGACACTCTTTTGGTGGAATTTGTAAGTGGAGAATTCAGCCGCTTTGAGGTCAACGGTAGAAAAGGAAATATCTTCGTATAAAAACTAGACAGAATGATTCTCAGAAACTGTTTTGTGATGTGTGCGTTCAACTCACAGAGTTTAACCTTTCTTTTCAAAGAGCAGTTAGGAAACACTCTGTTTGTAAAGTCTGCAAGTGGATATTCAGACCTCTTTGAGGCCTTCGTTGGAAACGGGATTTCTTCATATTATGCTAGACAGATGAATTCTCAGTAACTTCCTTGTGTTGTGTGTATTCAACTCACAGAGTTGAACGATCCTTTATACAGAGCAGATTTGAAACACTGTTTTTCTGGAATTTGCAAGTGGAGATTTCAGCCGCTTTGAGGTCAATGGTAGAAAAGGAAATATCTTCGTATAAAAACTAGACAGAATGATTCTCAGAAACTCCTTTGTGATGTGTGCGTTCAACTCACAGAGTTTAACCTTTCTTTTCACAGAGCAGTTAGGAAACACTCTGTTTGTGAAGCCTGCCAGTGGATAATCGGACCTCTTTGAGGCCTTCGTTGGAAACGGGATTTCTTCATATTATGCTAGACAGAAGATTTCTCAGTAACTTCTTTGGGTTGTGTGTATGCAACTCACAGAGTTCAACCTTCCTTTAGAGAGAGCATATTTGAAACACTCTTTTTGTGGAATTTGCAAGTGGAGATTTCAAGCGCTTCGATGCCAATGGTAGAAAAGGAAATATCTTCGTATAAAAACAAGACAAACTCGTTCCCAGACACTGCGTAGTGATGTGTGTGTTTAACTCACAGAGTTTAACCTTTCTTTTCATACAGCATTCTGGAAACCCTCTGTTTGTAAAGTCTGCAAGTGGATATTTGGACCTCTTAGATGCCTTCGTTGGAAACGGGATTTCTTCATATAATGCTAGAGGGAAGAATTCTTAGTAACTTCTTTGTGTTGTGTGTATTCAACTGACAGAGTTGAACCTTCCTTTAGACAGAGCAGATTTGAAAGTCTCTTTTTGTGGAATTTGCAAGTGGAGATTTCAAGCGCTTTGAGGCCAAAAGCAGAAAAGGAAATATTTTCCTATAAAAACTCGACAGAATCTTTCTCAGAAACTGCTCTGGGATGTGTGCGTTCAACTCACAGAGTTTAACTTTTCTTTCCATTCAGCAGTTTGGAAACACTCTGTTTGGAAAGTCTGCACGTGGATATTTTGACCTCTTTGAGGCCTTCGTTGGAAACGGGTTTTTTTCATGTAAGGCTAGACAGAAGAAATCTCAGTAACTTCCTTGTGTTGTGTGTATTCAACTGACAGAGTTGAACCTTCCTTTAGACAGAGCAGATTCGAAACACTCTTTTTCTGCAATTTGCAAGTGGAGACTTCAAGCGCTTTGAGGCCAAAGGCAGAAAAGGAAATATCTTCGTATAAAAACCCGACAGAATCATTCTCAGAAACTGCTCTGTGATGTCTGCGTTCAACTCACAGAGTTTAACTTTTCTTTTCATTCAGCAGTTTGGAAACACTCTGTTTGTAAAGTCTGCAAGTGGATATCTTGGCCTCTTAGAGGCCTTCGTTGGAAACGGGTTTTTTCATGTAAGGTTAGACAGAGGAATTCCCAGTAACTTCCTTGTGTTGTGTGCATTCAACTCACAGAGTTGAATGATTCTTTACACAGAGCAGATTTGAGACACTCTTTTGGTGGAATTTGTAAGTGGAGAATTCAGCTGCTTTGAGGTCAACGGTAGAAAAGGAAATATCTTCGTATAAAAACTAGACAGAATGATTCTCAGAAACTGTTTTGTGATGTGTGCGTTCAACTCACAGAGTTTAACCTTTCTTTTCAAAGAGCAGTTAGGAAACATTCTGTTTGTAAAGTCTGCAAGTGGATATTCAGACCTCTTTGAGGCCTTCGTTGGAAACGGGATTTCTTCATATTATGCTAGACAGATGAATTCTCAGTAACTTCCTTGTGTTGTGTGTATTCAACTCACAGAGTTGAACGATCCTTTACACAGAGCAGATTTGAAACGCTGTTTTTCTGGAATTTGCAAGTGGAGATTTCAGCCGCTTTGAGGTCAATGGTAGAAAAGGAAATATCTTCGTATAAAAACTAGACAGAATGATTCTCAGAAACTCCTTTGTGATGTGTGCGTTCAACTCACAGAGTTTAACCTTTCTTTTCACAGAGCAGTTAGGAAACACTCTGTTTGTGAAGCCTGCCAGTGGATATTCGGACCTCTTTGAGGCCTTCGTTGGAAACGGGATTTCTTCATATTATGCTAGACAGAAGATTTCTCAGTAACTTCTTTGTGTTGTGTGTATGCAACTCACAGAGTTCAACCTTCCTTTAGACAGAGCAGATTTGAAACACTCTTTTTGTGGAATTTGCAAGTGGAGATTTCAAGCGCTTTGAGGCCAAAAGCAGAAAAGGAAATATTTTCCTATAAAAACTAGACAGAATCTTTCTCAGAAACTGCTCTGTGATGTGTGCGTTCAACTCACAGAGTTTAACTTTTCTTTTCATTCAGCAGTTTGGAAACACTCTGTTTGTAAAGTCTGCAAGTGGATATCTTGGCCTCTTAGAGGCCTTCGTTGGAAACGGGTTTTTTCATGTAAGGATAGACAGAGGAATTCCCAGTAACTTCCTTGTGTTGTGTGCATTCAACTCACAGAGTTGAATGATTCTTTACACAGAGTAGATTTGAGACACTCTTTTGGTGGAATTTGTTAGTGGAGAATTCAGCCGCTTTGAGGTCAACGGTAGAAAAGGATATATCTTCGTATAAAAACTAGACAGAATGATTCTCAGAAACTGTTTTGTGATGTGTGCGTTCAACTCACAGAGTTTAACCTTTCTTTTCAAAGAGCAGTTAGGAAACACTCTGTTTGTAAAGTCTGCAAGTGGATATTCAGACCTCTTTGAGGCCTTCGTTGGAAACGGGATTTCTTCATATTATGCTAGACAGATGAATTCTCAGTAACTTCCTTGTGTTGTGTGTATTCAACTCACAGAGTTGAACGATCCTTTACACAGAGCAGATTTGAAACACTGTTTTTCTGGAATTTGCAAGTGGAGATTTCAGCCGCTTTGAGGTCAATGGTAGAAAAAGAAATATCTTCGTATAAAAACTAGACAGAATGATTCTCAGAAACTCCTTTGTGATGTGTGCGTTCAACTCACAGAGTTTAACCTTTCTTTTCACAGAGCAGTTAGGAAACACTCTGTTTGTGAAGCCTGCCAGTGGATATTCGGACCTCTTTGAGGCCTTCGTTGGAAACGGGATTTCTTCATATTATGCTAGACAGAAGATTTCTCAGTAACTTCTTTGCGTTGTGTGTATGCAACTCACAGAGTTCAACCTTCCTTTAGACAGAGCAGATTTGAAACACTCTTTTTGTGGAATTTGCAAGTGGAGATTTCAAGCGCTTCGATGCCAATGGTAGAAAAGGAAATATCTTCGTATAAAAACAAGACAAACTCGTTCCCAGACACTGCGTAGTGATGTGTGTGTTTAACTCACAGAGTTTAACCTTTCTTTTCATACAGCATTCTGGAAACCCTCTGTTTGTAAAGTCTGCAAGTGGATATTTGGACCTCTTAGATGCCTTCGTTGGAAACGGGATTTCTTCATATAATGCTAGAGGGAAGAATTCTTAGTAACTTCTTTGTGTTGTGTGTATTCAACTGACAGAGTTGAACCTTCCTTTAGACAGAGCAGATTTGAAAATCTCTTTTTGTGGAATTTGCAAGTGGAGATTTCAAGCGCTTTGAGGCCAAAAGCAGAAAAGGAAATATTTTCCTATAAAAACTCGACAGAATCTTTCTCAGAAACTGCTCTGGGATGTGTGCGTTCAACTCACAGAGTTTAACTTTTCTTTTCATTCAGCAGTTTGGAAACACTCTGTTTGGAAAGTCTGCACGTGGATATTTTGACCTCTTTGAGGCCTTCGTTGGAAACGGGTTTTTTTCATGTAACGCTAGACAGAAGAAATCTCAGTAACTTCCTTGTGTTGTGTGTATTCAACTGACAGAGTTGAACCTTCCTTTAGACAGAGCAGATTCGAAACACTCTTTTTCTGCAATTTGCAAGTGGAGACTTCAAGCGCTTTGAGGCCAAAGGCAGAAAAGGAAATATCTTCGTATAAAAACCCGACAGAATCATTCTCAGAAACTGCTCTGTGATGTGTGCGTTCAACTCACAGAGTTTAACTTTTCTTTTCATTCAGCAGTTTGGAAACACTCTGTTTGTAAAGTCTGCAAGTGGATATCTTGGCCTCTTAGAGGCCTTCGTTGGAAACGGGTTTTTTCATGTAAGGTTAGACAGAGGAATTCCCAGTAACTTCCTTGTGTTGTGTGCATTCAACTCACAGAGTTGAATGATTCTTTACACAGAGCAGATTTGAGACACTCTTTTGGTGGAATTTGTAAGTGGAGAATTCAGCCGCTTTGAGGTCAACGGTAGAAAAGGAAATATCTTCGTATAAAAACTAGACAGAATGATTCTCAGAAACTGTTTTGTGATGTGTGCGTTCAACTCACAGAGTTTAACCTTTCTTTTCAAAGAGCAGTTAGGAAACACTCTGTTTGTAAAGTCTGCAAGTGGATATTCAGACCTCTTTGAGGCCTTCGTTGGAAACGGGATTTCTTCATATTATGCTAGACAGATGAATTCTCAGTAACTTCCTTGTGTTGTGTGTATTCAACTCACAGAGTTGAACGATCCTTTACACAGAGCAGATTTGAAACACTGTTTTTCTGGAATTTGCAAGTGGAGATTTCAGCCGCTTTGAGGTCAATGGTAGAAAAGGAAATATCTTCGTATAAAAACTAGACAGAATGATTCTCAGAAACTCCTTTGTGATGTGTGCGTTCAACTCACAGAGTTTAACCTTTCTTTTCACAGAGCAGTTAGGAAACACTCTGTTTGTGAAGCCTGCCAGTGGATATTCGGACCTCTTTGAGGCCTTCGTTGGAAACGGGATTTCTTCATATTATGCTAGACAGAAGATTTCTCAGTAACTTCTTTGTGTTGTGTGTATGCACCTCACAGAGTTCAACCTTCCTTTAGACAGAGCAGATTTGAAACACTCTTTTTGTGGAATTTGCAAGTGGAGATTTCAAGCGCTTCGATGCCAATGGTAGAAAAGGAAATATCTTCGTATAAAAACAAGACAAACTCGTTCCCAGACACTGCGTAGTGATGTGTGTGTTTAACTCACAGAGTTTCACCTTTCTTTTCATACAGCATTCTGGGAACCCTCTGTTTGTAAAGTCTGCAAGTGGATATTTGGACCTCTTAGATGCCTTCGTTGGAAACGGGATTTCTTCATATAATGCTAGAGGGAAGAATTCTTAGTAACTTTTTTGTGTTGTGTGTATTCAACTGACAGAGTTGAACCTTCCTTTAGACAGAGCAGATTTGAAAGTCTCTTTTTGTGGAATTTGCAAGTGGAGATTTCAAGCGCTTTGAGGCCAAAAGCAGAAAAGGAAATATTTTCCTATAAAAACTAGACAGAATCATTCTCAGAAACTGCTCTGTGATGTGTGTGTTCAACTCACAGAGTTTAACTTTTCTTTTCATTCAGCAGTTTGGAAACACTCTGTTTGGAAAGTCTGCACGTGGATATTTTGACCTCTTTGAGGCCTTCGTTGGAAACGGGTTTTTTTCATGTAAGGCTAGACAGAAGAAATCTCAGTAACTTCCTTGTGTTGTGTGTATTCAACTGACAGAGTTGAACCTTCCTTTAGACAGAGCAGATTCGAAACACTCTTTTTCTGCAATTTGCAAGTGGAGACTTCAAGCGCTTTGAGGCCAAAGGCAGAAAAGGAAATATCTTCGTAGAAAAACCCGACAGAATCATTCTCAGAAACTGCTCTGTGATGTGTGCGTTCAACTCACAGAGTTTAACTTTTCTTTTCATTCAGCAGTTTGGAAACACTCTGTTTGTAAAGTCTGCAAGTGGATATCTTGGCCTCTTAGAGGCCTTCGTTGGAAACGGGTTTTTTCATGTAAGGATAGACAGAGGAATTCCCAGTAACTTCCTTGTGTTGTGTGCATTCAACTCACAGAGTTGAATGATTCTTTACACAGAGCAGATTTGAGACACTCTTTTGGTGGAATTTGTAAGTGGAGAATTCAGCCGCTTTGAGGTCAACGGTAGAAAAGCAAATATCTTCGTATAAAAACTAGACAGAATGATTCTCAGAAACTGTTTTGTGATGTGTGCGTTCAACTCACAGAGTTTAACCTTTCTTTTCAAAGAGCAGTTAGGAAACACTCTGTTTGTAAAGTCTGCAAGTGGATATTCAGACCTCTTTGAGGCCTTCGTTGGAAACGGGATTTCTTCATATTATGCTAGACAGATGAATTCTCAGTAACTTCCTTGTGTTGTGTGTATTCAACTCACAGAGTTAAACGATCCTTTACACAGAGCAGATTTGAAACACTGTTTTTCTGGAATTTGCAAGTGGAGATTTCAGCCGCTTTGAGGTCAATGGTAGAAAAGGAAATATCTTCGTATAAAAACTAGACAGAATGATTCTCAGAAACTCCTTTGTGATGTGTGCGTTCAACTCACAGAGTTTAACCTTTCTTTTCACAGAGCAGTTAGGAAACACTCTGTTTGTGAAGCCTGCCAGTGGATATTCGGACCTCTTTGAGGCCTTCGTTGGAAACGGGATTTCTTCATATTATGCTAGACAGAAGATTTCTCAGTAACTTCTTTGTGTTGTGTGTATGCAACTCACAGAGTTCAACCTTCCTTTAGACAGAGCAGATTTGAAACACTCTTTTTGTGGAATTTGCAAGTGGAGATTTCAAGCGCTTCGATGCCAATGGTAGAAAAGGAAATATCTTCGTATAAAAACAAGACAAACTCGTTCCCAGACACTGCGTAGTGATGTGTGTGTTTAACTCACAGAGTTTAACCTTTCTTTTCATACAGCATTCTGGAAACCCTCTGTTTGTAAAGTCTGCAAGTGGATATTTGGACCTCTTAGATGCCTTCGTTGGAAACGGGATTTCTTCATATAATGCTAGAGGGAAGAATTCTTAGTAACTTCTTTGTGTTGTGTGTATTCAACTGACAGAGTTGAACCTTCCTTTAGACAGAGCAGATTTGAAAGTCTCTTTTTGTGGAATTTGCAAGTGGAGATTTCAAGCGCTTTGAGGCCAAAAGCAGAAAAGGAAATATTTTCCTATAAAAACTAGACAGAATCATTCTCAGAAACTGCTCTGTGATGTGTGTGTTCAATTCACAGAGTTTAACTTTCTTTTCATTCAGCAGTTTGGAAACACTCTGTTTGGAAAGTCTGCACGTGGATATTTTGACCTCTTTGAGGCCTTCGTTGGAAACGGGTTTTTTTCATGTAAGGCTAGACAGAAGAAATCTCAGTAACTTCCTTGTGTTGTGTGTATTCAACTGACAGAGTTGAACCTTCCTTTAGACAGAGCAGATTCGAAACACTCTTTTTCTGCAATTTGCAAGTGGAGACTTCAAGCGCTTTGAGGCCAAAGGCAGAAAAGGAAATATCTTCGTATAAAAACCCGACAGAATCATTCTCAGAAACTGCTCTGTGATGTGTGCGTTCAACTCACAGAGTTTAACTTTTCTTTTCATTCAGCAGTTTGGAAACACTCTGTTTGTAAAGTCTGCAAGTGGATATCTTGGCCTCTTAGAGGCCTTCGTTGGAAACGGGTTTTTTCATGTAAGGTTAGACAGAGGAATTCCCAGTAACTTCCTTGTGTTGTGTGCATTCAACTCACAGAGTTGAATGATTCTTTACACAGAGCAGATTTGAGACACTCTTTTGGTGGAATTTGTTAGTGGAGAATTCAGCCGCTTTGAGGTCAACGGTAGAAAAGGAAATATCTTCGTATAAAAACTAGACAGAATGATTCTCAGAAACTGTTTTGTGATGTGTGCGTTCAACTCACAGAGTTTAACCTTTCTTTTCAAAGAGCAGTTAGGAAACACTCTGTTTGTAAAGTCTGCAAGTGGATATTCAGACCTCTTTGAGGCCTTCGTTGGAAACGGGATTTCTTCATATTATGCTAGACAGATGAATTCTCAGTAACTTCCTTGTGTTGTGTGTATTCAACTCACAGAGTTGAACGATCCTTTACACAGAGCAGATTTGAAACACTGTTTTTCTGGAATTTGCAAGTGGAGATTTCAGCCGCTTTGAGGTCAATGGTAGAAAAAGAAATATCTTCGTATAAAAACTAGACAGAATGATTCTCAGAAACTCCTTTGTGATGTGTGCGTTCAACTCACAGAGTTTAACCTTTCTTTTCACAGAGCAGTTAGGAAACACTCTGTTTGTGAAGCCTGCCAGTGGATATTCGGACCTCTTTGAGGCCTTCGTTGGAAACGGGATTTCTTCATATTATGCTAGACAGAAGATTTCTCAGTAACTTCTTTGTGTTGTGTGTATGCAACTCACAGAGTTCAACCTTCCTTTAGACAGAGCAGATTTGAAACACTCTTTTTGTGGAATTTGCAAGTGGAGATTTCAAGCGCTTCGATGCCAATGGTAGAAAAGGAAATATCTTCGTATAAAAACAAGACAAACTCGTTCCCAGACACTGCGTAGTGATGTGTGTGTTTAACTCACAGAGTTTAACCTTTCTTTTCATACAGCATTCTGGAAACCCTGTGTTTGTAAAGGCTGCAAGTGGATATTTGGACCTCTTAGATGCCTTCGTTGGAAACGGGATTTCTTCATATAATGCTAGAGGGAAGAATTCTTAGTAACTTCTTTGTGTTGTGTGTATTCAACTGACAGAGTTGAACCTTCCTTTAGACAGAGCAGATTTGAAAGTCTCTTTTTGTGGAATTTGCAAGTGGAGATTTCAAGCGCTTTGAGGCCAAAAGCAGAAAAGGAAATATTTTCCTATAAAAACTCGACAGAATCTTTCTCAGAAACTGCTCTGGGATGTGTGCGTTCAACTCACAGAGTTTAACTTTTCTTTTCATTCAGCAGTTTGGAAACACTCTGTTTGGAAAGTCTGCACGTGGATATTTTGACCTCTTTGAGGCCTTCGTTGGAAACGGGTTTTTTTCATGTAAGGCTAGACAGAAGAAATCTCAGTAACTTCCTTGTGTTGTGTGTATTCAACTGACAGAGTTGAACCTTCCTTTAGACAGAGCAGATTCGAAACACTCTTTTTCTGCAATTTGCAAGTGGAGACTTCAAGCGCTTTGAGGCCAAAGGCAGAAAAGGAAATATCTTCGTATAAAAACCCGACAGAATCATTCTCAGAAACTGCTCTGTGATGTGTGCGTTCAACTCACAGAGTTTAACTTTTCTTTTCATTCAGCAGTTTGGAAACACTCTGTTTGTAAAGTCTGCAAGTGGATATCTTGGCCTCTTAGAGGCCTTCGTTGGAAACGGGTTTTTTCATGTAAGGTTAGACAGAGGAATTCCCAGTAACTTCCCTTGTGTTGTGTGCATTCAACTCACAGAGTTGAATGATTCTTTACACAGAGCAGATTTGAGACACTCTTTTGGTGGAATTTGTAAGTGGAGAATTCAGCTGCTTTGAGGTCAACGGTAGAAAAGGAAATATCTTCGTATAAAAACTAGACAGAATGATTCTCAGAAACTGTTTTGTGATGTGTGCGTTCAACTCACAGAGTTTAACCTTTCTTTTCAAAGAGCAGTTAGGAAACACTCTGTTTGTAAAGTCTGCAAGTGGATATTCAGACCTCTTTGAGGCCTTCGTTGGAAACGGGATTTCTTCATATTATGCTAGACAGATGAATTCTCAGTAACTTCCTTGTGTTGTGTGTATTCAACTCACAGAGTTGAACGATCCTTTACACAGAGCAGATTTGAAACACTGTTTTTCTGGAATTTGCAAGTGGAGATTTCAGCCGCTTTGAGGTCAATGGTAGAAAAGGAAATATCTTCGTATAAAAACTAGACAGAATGATTCTCAGAAACTCCTTTGTGATGTGTGCGTTCAACTCACAGAGTTTAACCTTTCTTTTCACAGAGCAGTTAGGAAACACTCTGTTTGTGAAGCCTGCCAGTGGATATTCGGACCTCTTTGAGGCCTTCGTTGGAAACGGGATTTCTTCATATTATGCTAGACAGAAGATTTCTCAGTAACTTCTTTGTGTTGTGTGTATGCAACTCACAGAGTTCAACCTTCCTTTAGACAGAGCAGATTTGAAACACTCTTTTTGTGGAATTTGCAAGTGGAGATTTCAAACGCCTCGATGCCAATGGTAGAAAAGGAAATATCTTCGTATAAAAACAAGACAAACTCGTTCCCAGACACTGCGTAGTGATGTGTGTGTTTAACTCACAGAGTTTAACCTTTCTTTTCATACAGCATTCTGGAAACCCTGTGTTTGTAAAGTCTGCAAGTGGATATTTGGACCTCTTAGATGCCTTCGTTGGAAACGGGATTTCTTCATATAATGCTAGAGGGAAGAATTCTTAGTAACTTCTTTGTGTTGTGTGTATTCAACTGACAGAGTTGAACGTTCCTTTAGACAGAGCAGATTTGAAAGTCTCTTTTTGTGGAATTTGCAAGTGGAGATTTCAAGCGCTTTGAGGCCAAAGGCAGAAAAGGAAATATCTTCGTATAAAAACCCGACAGAATCATTCTCAGAAACTGCTCTGTGATGTGTGCGTTCAACTCACAGAGTTTAACTTTTCTTTTCATTCAGCAGTTTGGAAACACTGTTTGGAAAGTCTGCACGTGGATATTTTGACCTCTTTGAGGCCTTCGTTGGAAACGGGTTTTTTTCATGTAAGGCTAGACAGAAGAAATCTCAGTAACTTCCTTGTGTTGTGTGTATTCAACTGACAGAGTTGAACCTTCCTTTAGACAGAGCAGATTCGAAACACTCTTTTTCTGCAATTTGCAAGTGGAGACTTCAAGCGCTTTGAGGCCAAAGGCAGAAAAGGAAATATCTTCGTATAAAAACCCGACAGAATCATTCTCAGAAACTGCTCTGTGATGTGTGCGTTCAACTCACAGAGTTTAACTTTTCTTTTCATTCAGCAGTTTGGAAACACTCTGTTTGTAAAGTCTGCAAGTGGATATCTTGGCCTCTTAGAGGCCTTCGTTGGAAACGGGTTTTTTCATGTAAGGATAGACAGAGGAATTCCCAGTAACTTCCTTGTGTTGTGTGCATTCAACTCACAGAGTTGAATGATTCTTTACACAGAGCAGATTTGAGACACTCTTTTGGTGGAATTTGTAAGTGGAGAATTCAGCCGCTTTGAGGTCAACGGTAGAAAAGGAAATATCTTCGTAGAAAAACTAGACAGAATGATTCTCAGAAACTGTTTTGTGATGTGTGCGTTCAACTCACAGAGTTTAACCTTTCTTTTCAAAGAGCAGTTAGGAAACACTCTGTTTGTAAAGTCTGCAAGTGGATATTCAGACCTCTTTGAGGCCTTCGTTGGAAACGGGATTTCTTCATATTATGCTAGACAGATGAATTCTCAGTAACTTCCTTGTGTTGTGTGTATTCAACTCACAGAGTTGAACGATCCTTTACACAGAGCAGATTTGAAACACTGTTTTTCTGGAATTTGCAAGTGGAGATTTCAGCCGCTTTGAGGTCAATGGTAGAAAAGGAAATATCTTCGTATAAAAACTAGACAGAATGATTCTCAGAAACTCCTTTGTGATGTGTGCGTTCAACTCACAGAGTTTAACCTTTCTTTTCACAGAGCAGTTAGGAAACACTCTGTTTGTGAAGCCTGCCAGTGGATATTCGGACCTCTTTGAGGCCTTCGTTGGAAACGGGATTTCTTCATATTATGCTAGACAGAAGATTTCTCAGTAACTTCTTTGGGTTGTGTGTATGCAACTCACAGAGTTCAACCTTCCTTTAGACAGAGCAGATTTGAAACACTCTTTTTGTGGAATTTGCAAGTGGAGATTTCAAGCGCTTCGATGCCAATGGTAGAAAAGGAAATATCTTCGTATAAAAACAAGACAAACTCGTTCCCAGACACTGCGTAGTGATGTGTGTGTTTAACTCACAGAGTTTCACCTTTCTTTTCATAGAGCATTCTGGAAACCCTCTGTTTGTAAAGTCTGCAAGTGGATATTTGGACCTCTTAGATGCCTTCTTTGGAAACGGGATTTCTTCATATAATGCTAGAGGGAAGAATTCTTAGTAACTTCTTTGTGTTGTGTGTATTCAACTGACAGAGTTGAACCTTCCTTTAGACAGAGCAGATTTGAAAGTCTCTTTTTGTGGAATTTGCAAGTGGAGATTTCAAGCGCTTTGAGGCCAAAAGCAGAAAAGGAAATATTTTCCTATAAAAACTAGACAGAATCTTTCTCAGAAACTGCTCTGGGATGTGTGCGTTCAACTCACAGAGTTTAACTTTTCTTTTCATTCAGCAGTTTGGAAACACTCTGTTTGGAAAGTCTGCACGTGGATATTTTGACCTCTTTGAGGCCTTCGTTGGAAACGGGTTTTTTTCATGTAACGCTAGACAGAAGAAATCTCAGTAACTTCCTTGTGTTGTGTGTATTCAACTGACAGAGTTGAACCTTCTTTTAGACAGAGCAGATTCGAAACACTCTTTTTCTGCAATTTGCAAGTGGAGACTTCAAGCGCTTTGAGGCCAAAGGCAGAAAAGGAAATATCTTCGTATAAAAACCCGACAGAATCATTCTCAGAAACTGCTCTGTGATGTGTGCGTTCAACTCACAGAGTTTAACTTTTCTTTTCATTCAGCAGTTTGGAAACACTCTGTTTGTAAAGTCTGCAAGTGGATATCTTGGCCTCTTAGAGGCCTTCGTTGGAAACGGGTTTTTTCATGTAAGGTTAGACAGAGGAATTCCCAGTAACTTCCTTGTGTTGTGTGCATTCAACTCACAGAGTTGAATGATTCTTTACACAGAGCAGATTTGAGACACTCTTTTGGTGGAATTTGTTAGTGGAGAATTCAGCCGCTTTGAGGTCAACGGTAGAAAAGGAAATATCTTCGTATAAAAACTGGACAGAATGATTCTCAGAAACTGTTTTGTGATGTGTGCGTTCAACTCACAGAGTTTAACCTTTCTTTTCAAAGAGCAGTTAGGAAACACTCTGTTTGTAAAGTCTGCAAGTGGATATTCAGACCTCTTTGAGGCCTTCGTTGGAAACGGGATTTCTTCATATTATGCTAGACAGATGAATTCTCAGTAACTTCCTTGTGTTGTGTGTATTCAACTCACAGAGTTGAACGATCCTTTACACAGAGCAGATTTGAAACACTGTTTTTCTGGAATTTGCAAGTGGAGATTTCAGCCGCTTTGAGGTCAATGGTAGAAAAGGAAATATCTTCGTATAAAAACTAGACAGAATGATTCTCAGAAACTCCTTTGTGATGTGTGCGTTCAACTCACAGAGTTTAACCTTTCTTTTCACAGAGCAGTTAGGAAACACTCTGTTTGTGAAGCCTGCCAGTGGATATTCGGACCTCTTTGAGGCCTTCGTTGGAAACGGGATTTCTTCATATTATGCTAGACAGAAGATTTCTCAGTAACTTCTTTGTGTTGTGTGTATGCAACTCACAGAGTTCAACCTTCCTTTAGACAGAGCAGATTTGAAACACTCTTTTTGTGGAATTTGCAAGTGGAGATTTCAAGCGCTTCGATGCCAATGGTAGAAAAGGAAATATTCTTCGTATAAAAACAAGACAAACTCGTTCTCCAGACACTGCGTAGTGATGTGTGTGTTTAACTCACAGAGTTTCACCTTTCTTTTCATACAGCATTCTGGAAACCCTGTGTTTGTAAAGTCTGCAAGTGGATATTTGGACCTCTTAGATGCCTTCGTTGGAAACGGGATTTCTTCATATAATGCTAGAGGGAAGAATTCTTAGTAACTTTTTTGTGTTGTGTGTATTCAACTGACAGAGTTGAACCTTCCTTTAGACAGAGCAGATTTGAAAGTCTCTTTTTGTGGAATTTGCAAGTGGAGATTTCAAGCACTTTGAGGCCAAAAGCAGAAAAGGAAATATTTTCCTATAAAAACTAGAGAGAATCATTCTCAGAAACTGCTCTGTGATGTGTGTGTTCAACTCACAGAGTTTAACTTTCTTTTCATTCAGCAGTTTGGAAACACTCTGTTTGGAAAGTCTGCACGTGGATATTTTGACCTCTTTGAGGCCTTCGTTGGAAACGGGTTTTTTTCATGTAAGGCTAGACAGAAGAAATCTCAGTAACTTCCTTGTGTTGTGTGTATTCAACTGACAGAGTTGAACCTTCCTTTAGACAGAGCAGATTCGAAACACTCTTTTTCTGCAATTTGCAAGTGGAGACTTCAAGCGCTTTGAGGCCAAAGGCAGAAAAGGAAATATCTTCGTATAAAAACCCGACAGAATCATTCTCAGAAACTGCTCTGTGATGTGTGCGTTCAACTCACAGAGTTTAACTTTTCTTTTCATTCAGCAGTTTGGAAACACTCTGTTTGGAAAGTCTGCACGTGGATATCTTGGCCTCTTAGAGGCCTTCGTTGGAAACGGGTTTTTTCATGTAAGGTTAGACAGAGGAATTCCCAGTAACTTCCTTGTGTTGTGTGCATTCAACTCACAGAGTTGAATGATTCTTTACACAGAGCAGATTTGAGACACTCTTTTGGTGGAATTTGTTAGTGGAGAATTCAGCCGCTTTGAGGTCAACGGTAGAAAAGGAAATATCTTCGTATAAAAACTAGACAGAATGATTCTCAGAAACTGTTTTGTGATGTGTGCGTTCAACTCACAGAGTTTAACCTTTCTTTTCAAAGAGCAGTTAGGAAACACTCTGTTTGTAAAGTCTGCAAGTGGATATTCAGACCTCTTTGAGGCCTTCGTTGGAAACGGGATTTCTTCATATTATGCTAGACAGATGAATTCTCAGTAACTTCCTTGTGTTGTGTGTATTCAACTCACAGAGTTGAACGATCCTTTACACAGAGCAGATTTGAAACACTGTTTTTCTGGAATTTGCAAGTGGAGATTTCAGCCGCTTTGAGGTCAATGGTAGAAAAAGAAATATCTTCGTATAAAAACTAGACAGAATGATTCTCAGAAACTCCTTTGTGATGTGTGCGTTCAACTCACAGAGTTTAACCTTTCTTTTCACAGAGCAGTTAGGAAACACTCTGTTTGTGAAGCCTGCCAGTGGATATTCGGACCTCTTTGAGGCCTTCGTTGGAAACGGGATTTCTTCATATTATGCTAGACAGAAGATTTCTCAGTAACTTCTTTGTGTTGTGTGTATGCAACTCACAGAGTTCAACCTTCCATTAGACAGAGCAGATTTGAAACACTCTTTTTGTGGAATTTGCAAGTGGAGATTTCAAGCGCTTCGATGCCAATGGTAGAAAAGGAAATATCTTCGTATAAAAACAACACAAAACTCGTTCCCAGACACTGCGTAGTGATGTGTGTGTTTAACTCACAGAGTTTAACCTTTCTTTTCATACAGCATTCTGGAAACCCTCTGTTTGTAAAGTCTGCAAGTGGATATTTGGACCTCTTAGATGCCTTCGTTGGAAACGGGATTTCTTCATATAATGCTAGAGGGAAGAATTCTTAGTAACTTCTTTGTGTTGTGTGTATTCAACTGACAGAGTTGAACCTTCCTTTAGACAGAGCAGATTTGAAAGTCTCTTTTTGTGGAATTTGCAAGTGGAGATTTCAAGCGCTTTGAGGCCAAAAGCAGAAAAGGAAATATTTTCCTATAAAAACTAGACAGAATCTTTCTCAGAAACTGCTCTGGGATGTGTGCGTTCAACTCACAGAGTTTAACTTTTCTTTTCATTCAGCAGTTTGGAAACACTCTGTTTGGAAAGTCTGCACGTGGATATTTTGACCTCTTTGAGGCCTTCGTTGGAAACGGGTTTTTTTCATGTAAGGCTAGACAGAAGAAATCTCAGTAACTTCCTTGTGTTGTGTGTATTCAACTGACAGAGTTGAACCTTCCTTTAGACAGAGCAGATTCGAAACACTCTTTTTCTGCAATTTGCAAGTGGAGACTTCAAGCGCTTTGAGGCCAAAGGCAGAAAAGGAAATATCTTCGTATAAAAACCCGACAGAATCATTCTCAGAAACTGCTCTGTGATGTGTGCGTTCAACTCACAGAGTTTAACTTTTCTTTTCATTCAGCAGTTTGGAAACACTCTGTTTGTAAAGTCTGCAAGTGGATATCTTGGCCTCTTAGAGGCCTTCGTTGGAAACGGGTTTTTTCATGTAAGGTTAGACAGAGGAATTCCCAGTAACTTCCTTGTGTTGTGTGCATTCAACTCACAGAGTTGAATGATTCTTTACACAGAGCAGATTTGAGACACTCTTTTGGTGGAATTTGTAAGTGGAGAATTCAGCCGCTTTGAGGTCAACGGTAGAAAAGGAAATATCTTCGTATAAAAACTAGACAGAATGATTCTCAGAAACTGTTTTGTGATGTGTGCGTTCAACTCACAGAGTTTAACCTTTCTTTTCAAAGAGCAGTTAGGAAACACTCTGTTTGTAAAGTCTGCAAGTGGATATTCAGACCTCTTTGAGGCCTTCGTTGGAAACGGGATTTCTTCATATTATGCTAGACAGATGAATTCTCAGTAACTTCCTTGTGTTGTGTGTATTCAACTCACAGAGTTGAACGATCCTTTACACAGAGCAGATTTGAAACACTGTTTTTCTGGAATTTGCAAGTGGAGATTTCAGCCGCTTTGAGGTCAATGGTAGAAAAGGAAATATCTTCGTATAAAAACTAGACAGAATGATTCTCAGAAACTCCTTTGTGATGTGTGCGTTCAACTCACAGAGTTTAACCTTTCTTTTCACAGAGCAGTTAGGAAACACTCTGTTTGTGAAGCCTGCCAGTGGATATTCGGACCTCCTTTGAGGCCTTCGTTGGAAACGGGATTTCTTCATATTATGCTAGACAGAAGATTTCTCAGTAACTTCTTTGTGTTGTGTGTATGCAACTCACAGAGTTCAACCTTCCTTTAGACAGAGCAGATTTGAAACACTCTTTTTGTGGAATTTGCAAGTGGAGATTTCAAGCGCTTCGATGCCAATGGTAGAAAAGGAAATATCTTCGTATAAAAACAAGACAAACTCGTTCCCAGACACTGCGTAGTGATGTGTGTGTTTAACTCACAGAGTTTCACCTTTCTTTTCATACAGCATTCTGGAAACCCTCTGTTTGTAAAGTCTGCAAGTGGATATTTGGACCTCTTAGATGCCTTCGTTGGAAACGGGATTTCTTCATATAATGCTAGAGGGAAGAATTCTTAGTAACTTCTTTGTGTTGTGTGTATTCAACTGACAGAGTTGAACCTTCCTTTAGACAGAGCAGATTTGAAAGTCTCTTTTTGTGGAATTTGCAAGTGGAGATTTCAAGCGCTTTGAGGCCAAAAGCAGAAAAGGAAATATTTTCCTATAAAAACTAGACAGAATCTTTCTCAGAAACTGCTCTGGGATGTGTGCGTTCAACTCACAGAGTTTAACTTTTCTTTTCATTCAGCAGTTTGGAAACACTCTGTTTGGAAAGTCTGCACGTGGATATTTTGACCTCTTTGAGGCCTTCGTTGGAAACGGGTTTTTTTCATGTAAGGCTAGACAGAAGAAATCTCAGTAACTTCCTTGTGTTGTGTGTATTCAACTGACAGAGTTGAACCTTCTTTTAGACAGAGCAGATTCGAAACACTCTTTTTCTGCAATTTGCAAGTGGAGACTTCAAGCGCTTTGAGGCCAAAGGCAGAAAAGGAAATATCTTCGTATAAAAACCCGACAGAATCATTCTCAGAAACTGCTCTGTGATGTGTGCGTTCAACTCACAGAGTTTAACTTTTCTTTTCATTCAGCAGTTTGGAAACACTCTGTTTGTAAAGTCTGCAAGTGGATATCTTGGCCTCTTAGAGGCCTTCGTTGGAAACGGGTTTTTTCATGTAAGGTTAGACAGAGGAATTCCCAGTAACTTCCTTGTGTTGTGTGCATTCAACTCACAGAGTTGAATGATTCTTTACACAGAGCAGATTTGAGAAACTCTTTTGGTGGAATTTGTAAGTGGAGAATTCAGCCGCTTTGAGGTCAACGGTAGAAAAGGAAATATCTTCGTATAAAAACTAGACAGAATGATTCTCAGAAACTGTTTTGTGATGTGTGCGTTCAACTCACAGAGTTTAACCTTTCTTTTCAAAGAGCAGTTAGGAAACACTCTGTTTGTAAAGTCTGCAAGTGGATATTCAGACCTCTTTGAGGCCTTCGTTGGAAACGGGATTTCTTCATATTATGCTAGACAGATGAATTCTCAGTAACTTCCTTGTGTTGTGTGTATTCAACTCACAGAGTTGAACGATCCTTTACACAGAGCAGATTTGAAACACTGTTTTTCTGGAATTTGCAAGTGGAGATTTCAGCCGCTTTGAGGTCAATGGTAGAAAAGGAAATATCTTCGTATAAAAACTAGACAGAATGATTCTCAGAAACTCCTTTGTGATGTGTGCGTTCAACTCACAGAGTTTAACCTTTCTTTTCACAGAGCAGTTAGGAAACACTCTGTTTGTGAAGCCTGCCAGTGGATATTCGGACCTCTTTGAGGCCTTCGTTGGAAACGGGATTTCTTCATATTATGCTAGACAGAAGATTTCTCAGTAACTTCTTTGTGTTGTGTGTATGCAACTCACAGAGTTCAACCTTCCTTTAGACAGAGCAGATTTGAAACACTCTTTTTGTGGAATTTGCAAGTGGAGATTTCAAGCGCTTCGATGCCAATGGTAGAAAAGGAAATATCTTCGTATAAAAACAAGACAAACTCGTTCTCAGACACTGCGTAGTGATGTGTGTGTTTAACTCACAGAGTTTAACCTTTCTTTTCATACAGCATTCTGGAAACCCTCTGTTTGTAAAGTCTGCAAGTGGATATTTGGACCTCTTAGATGCCTTCGTTGGAAACGGGATTTCTTCATATAATGCTAGAGGGAAGAATTCTTAGTAACTTCTTTGTGTTGTGTGTATTCAACTGACAGAGTTGAACCTTCCTTTAGACAGAGCAGATTCGAAACACTCTTTTTCTGCAATTTGCAAGTGGAGACTTCAAGCGCTTTGAGGCCAAAGGCAGAAAAGGAAATATCTTCGTATAAAAACCCGACAGAATCATTCTCAGAAACTGCTCTGTGATGTGTGCGTTCAACTCACAGAGTTTAACTTTTCTTTTCATTCAGCAGTTTGGAAACACTCTGTTTGTAAAGTCTGCAAGTGGATATCTTGGCCTCTTAGAGGCCTTCATTGGAAACGGGTTTTTTCATGTAAGGTTAGACAGAGGAATTCCCAGTAACTTCCTTGTGTTGTGTGCATTCAACTCACAGAGTTGAATGATTCTTTACACAGAGCAGATTTGAGACACTCTTTGGGTGGAATTTGTAAGTGGAGAATTCAGCCGCTTTGAGGTCAACGGTAGAAAAGGAAATATCTTCGTATAAAAACTAGACAGAATGATTCTCAGAAACTGTTTTGTGATGTGTGCGTTCAACTCACAGAGTTTAACCTTTCTTTTCAAAGAGCAGTTAGGAAACACTCTGTAAAATCTGCAAGTGGATATTCAGACCTCTTTGAGGCCTTCGTTGGAAACGGGATTTCTTCATATAATGCTAGAGGGAAGAATTCTTAGTAACTTCTTTGTGTTGTGTGTATTGAACTGACAGAGTTGAACCTTCCTTTAGACAGAGCAGATTTGAAAGTCTCTTTTTGTGGAATTTGCAAGTGGAGATTTCAAGCGCTTTGAGGCCAAAAGCAGAAAAGGAAATATTTTCTTATAAAAACTAGAGAGAATCATTCTCAGAAACTGCTCTGTGATGTGTGTGTTCAACTCACAGAGTTTACCTTTCTTTTCATTCAGCAGTTTGGAAACACTCTGTTTGGAAAGTCTGCACGTGGATATTTTGACCTCTTTGAGGCCTTCGTTGGAAACGGGTTTTTTTCATGTAAGGCTAGACAGAAGAAATCTCAGTAACTTCCTTGTGTTGTGTGTATTCAACTGACAGAGTTGAACCTTCCTTTAGACAGAGCAGATTCGAAACGCTCTTTTTCTGCAATTTGCAAGTGGAGACTTCAAGCGCTTTGAGGCCAAAGGCAGAAAAGGAAATATCTTCGTATAAAAACCCGACAGAATCATTCTCAGAAACTGCTCTGTGATGTGTGCGTTCAACTCACAGAGTTTAACTTTTCTTTTCATTCAGCAGTTTGGAAACACTCTGTTTGTAAAGTCTGCAAGTGGATATCTTGGCCTCTTAGAGGCCTTCGTTGGAAAGGCGTTTTTTCATGTAAGGTTAGACAGAGGAATTCCCAGTAACTTCCTTGTGTTGTGTGCATTCAACTCACAGAGTTGAATGATTCTTTACACAGAGCAGATTTGAGACACACTTTTGGTGGAATTTGTAAGTGGAGAATTCAGCCGCTTTGAGGTCAACGGTAGAAAAGGAAATATCTTCGTATAAAAACTAGAAAGAATGATTCTCAGAAACTGTTTTGTGATGTGTGCGTTCAACTCACAGAGTTTAACCTTTCTTTTCAAAGAGCAGTTAGGAAACACTCTGTTTGTAAAGTCTGCAAGTGGATATTCAGACCTCTTTGAAGCCTTCGTTGGAAACGGGATTTCATCATATTATGCTAGACAGATGAATTCTCAGTAACTTCCTTGTGTTGTGTGTATTCAACTCACAGAGTTGAACGATCCTTTACACAGAGCAGATTTGAAACACTGTTTTTCTGGAATTTGCAAGTGGAGATTTCAGCCGCTTTGAGGTCAATGGTAGAAAAGGAAATATCTTCGTATAAAAACTGGACAGAATGATTCTCAGAAACTCCTTTGTGATGTGTGCGTTCAACTCACAGAGTTTAACCTTTCTTTTCACAGAGCAGTTAGGAAACACTCTGTTTGTGAAGCCTGCCAGTGGATATTCGGACCTCTTTGAGGCCTTCGTTGGAAACGGGATTTCTTCATATTTTGCTAGACAGAAGATTTCTCAGTAACTTCTTTGTGTTGTGTGTATGCAACTCACAGAGTTCAACCTTCCTTTAGACAGAGCAGATTTGAAACACTCTTTTTGTGGAATTTGCAAGTGGAGATTTCAAGCGCTTCGATGCCAATGGTAGAAAAGGAAATATCTTCGTATAAAAACAAGACAAACTCGTTCCCAGACACTGCGTAGTGATGTGTGTGTTTAACTCACAGAGTTTAACCTTTCTTTTCATACAGCATTCTGGAAACCCTGTGTTTGTAAAGTCTGCAAGTGGATATTTGGACCTCTTAGATGCCTTCGTTGGAAACGGGATTTCTTCATATAATGCTAGAGGGAAGAATTCTTAGTAACTTCTTTGTGTTGTGTGTATTCAACTGACAGAGTTGAACCTTCCTTTAGACAGAGCAGATTTGAAAGTCTCTTTTTGTGGAATTTGCAAGTGGAGATTTCAAGCGCTTTGAGGCCAAAAGCAGAAAAGGAAATATTTTCCTATAAAAACTAGACAGAATCATTCTCAGAAACTGCTCTGTGATGTGTGTGTTCAACTCACAGAGTTTAACTTTCTTTTCATTCAGCAGTTTGGAAACACTCTGTTTGGAAAGTCTGCACGTGGATATTTTGACCTCTTTGAGGCCTTCGTTGGAAACGGGTTTTTTTCATGTAACGCTAGACAGAAGAAATCTCAGTAACTTCCTTGTGTTGTGTGTATTCAACTGACAGAGTTGAACCTTCCTTTAGACAGAGCAGATTCGAAACACTCTTTTTCTGCAATTTGCAAGTGGAGACTTCAAGCGCTTTGAGGCCAAAGGCAGAAAAGGAAATATCTTCGTATAAAAACCCGACAGAATCATTCTCAGAAACTGCTCTGTGATGTGTGCGTTCAACTCACAGAGTTTAACTTTTCTTTTCATTCAGCAGTTTGGAAACACTCTGTTTGTAAAGTCTGCAAGTGGATATCTTGGCCTCTTAGAGGCCTTCGTTGGAAACGGGTTTTTTCATGTAAGGTTAGACAGAGGAATTCCCAGTAACTTCCTTGTGTTGTGTGCATTCAACTCACAGAGTTGAATGATTCTTTACACAGAGCAGTTTTGAGACACTCTTTTGGTGGAATTTGTAAGTGGAGAATTCAGCCGCTTTGAGGTCAACGGTAGAAAAGGAAATATCTTCGTATAAAAACTAGACAGAATGATTCTCAGAAACTGTTTTGTGATGTGTGCGTTCAACTCACAGAGTTTAACCTTTCTTTTCAAAGAGCAGTTAGGAAACACTCTGTTTGTAAAGTCTGCAAGTGGATATTCAGACCTCTTTGAGGCCTTCGTTGGAAACGGGATTTCTTCATATTATGCTAGACAGATGAATTCTCAGTAACTTCCTTGTGTTGTGTGTATTCAACTCACAGAGTTGAACGATCCTTTACACAGAGCAGATTTGAAACACTGTTTTTCTGGAATTTGCAAGTGGAGATTTCAGCCGCTTTGAGGTCAATGGTAGAAAAGGAAATATCTTCGTATAAAAACTAGACAGAATGATTCTCAGAAACTCCTTTGTGATGTGTGCGTTCAACTCACAGAGTTTAACCTTTCTTTTCACAGAGCAGTTAGGAAACACTCTGTTTGTGAAGCCTGCCAGTGGATATTCGGACCTCTTTGAGGCCTTCGTTGGAAACGGGATTTCTTCATATTATGCTAGACAGAAGATTTCTCAGTAACTTCTTTGTGTTGTGTGTATGCAACTCACAGAGTTCAACCTTCCTTTAGACAGAGCAGATTTGAAACACTCTTTTTGTGGAATTTGCAAGTGGAGATTTCAAACGCTTCGATGCCAATGGTAGAAAAGGAAATATCTTCGTATAAAAACAAGACAAACTCGTTCCCAGACACTGCGTAGTGATGTGTGTGTTTAACTCACAGAGTTTCACCTTTCTTTTCATACAGCATTCTGGAAACCCTGTGTTTGTAAAGTCTGCAAGTGGATATTTGGACCTCTTAGATGCCTTCGTTGGAAACGGGATTTCTTCATATAATGCTAGAGGGAAGAATTCTTAGTAACTTCTTTGTGTTGTGTGTATTCAACTGACAGAGTTGAACCTTCCTTTAGACAGAGCAGATTTGAAAGTCTCTTTTTGTGGAATTTGCAAGTGGAGATTTCAAGCGCTTTGAGGCCAAAAGCAGAAAAGGAAATATTTTCCTATAAAAACTCGACAGAATCTTTCTCAGAAACTGCTCTGGGATGTGTGCATTCAACTCACAGAGTTTAACTTTTCTTTTCATTCAGCAGTTTGGAAACACTCTGTTTGGAAAGTCTGCACGTGGATATTTTGACCTCTTTGAGGCCTTCGTTGGAAACGGGTTTTTTTCATGTAACGCTAGACAGAAGAATCTCAGTAACTTCCTTGTGTTGTGTGTATTCAACTGACAGAGTTGAACCTTCCTTTAGACAGAGCAGATTCGAAACACTCTTTTTCTGCAATTTGCAAGTGGAGACTTCAAGCGCTTTGAGGCCAAAGGCAGAAAAGGAAATATCTTCGTATAAAAACCCGACAGAATCATTCTCAGAAACTGCTCTGTGATGTGTGCGTTCAACTCACAGAGTTTAACTTTTCTTTTCATTCAGCAGTTTGGAAACACTCTGTTTGTAAAGTCTGCAAGTGGATATCTTGGCCTCTTAGAGGCCTTCGTTGGAAACGGGTTTTTTCATGTAAGGTTAGACAGAGGAATTCCCAGTAACTTCCTTGTGTTGTGTGCATTCAACTCACAGAGTTGAATGATTCTTTACACAGAGCAGATTTGAGACACTCTTTTGGTGGAATTTGTAAGTGGAGAATTCAGCCGCTTTGAGGTCAACGGTAGAAAAGGAAATATCTTCGTATAAAAACTAGACAGATGATTCTCAGAAACTGTTTTGTGATGTGTGCGTTCAACTCACAGAGTTTAACCTTTCTTTTCAAAGAGCAGTTAGGAAACACTCTGTTTGTAAAGTCTGCAAGTGGATATTCAGACCTCTTTGAGGCCTTCGTTGGAAACGGGATTTCTTCATATTATGCTGGACAGATGAATTCTCAGTAACTTCCTTGTGTTGTGTGTATTCAACTCACAGAGTTGAACGATCCTTTACACAGAGCAGATTTGAAACACTGTTTTTCTGGAATTTGCAAGTGGAGATGTCAGCCGCTTTGAGGTCAATGGTAGAAAAGGAAATATCTTCGTATAAAAACTAGACAGAATGATTCTCAGAAACTCCTTTGTGATGTGTGCGTTCAACTCACAGAGTTTAACCTTTCTTTTCACAGAGCAGTTAGGAAACACTCTGTTTGTGAAGCCTGCCAGTGGATATTCGGACCTCTTTCAGGCCTTCGTTGGAAACGGGATTTCTTCATATTATGCTAGACAGAAGATTTCTCAGTAACTTCTTTGTGTTGTGTGTATGCAACTCACAGAGTTCAACCTTCCTTTAGACAGAGCAGATTTGAAACACTCTTTTTGTGGAATTTGCAAGTGGAGATTTCAAGCGCTTCGATGCCAATGGTAGAAAAGGAAATATCTTCGTATAAAAACAAGACAAACTCGTTCCCAGACACTGCGTAGTGATGTGTGTGTTTAACTCACAGAGTTTAACCTTTCTTTTCATACAGCATTCTGGAAACCCTCTGTTTGTAAAGTCTGCAAGTGGATATTTGGACCTCTTAGATGCCTTCGTTGGAAACGGGATTTCTTCATATAATGCTAGAGGGAAGAATTCTTAGTAACTTCTTTGTGTTGTGTGTATTCAACTGACAGAGTTGAACCTTCCTTTAGACAGAGCAGATTTGAAAGTCTCTTTTTGTGGAATTTGCAAGTGGAGATTTCAAGCGCTTTGAGGCCAAAAGCAGAAAAGGAAATATTTTCCTATAAAAACTCGACAGAATCTTTCTCAGAAACTGCTGTGGGATGTGTGCGTTCAACTCACAGAGTTTAACTTTTCTTTTCATTCAGCAGTTTGGAAACACTCTGTTTGGAAAGTCTGCACGTGGATATTTTGACCTCTTTGAGGCCTTCGTTGGAAACGGGTTTTTTTCATGTAAGGCTAGACAGAAGAAATCTCAGTAACTTCCTTGTGTTGTGTGTATTCAACTGACAGAGTTGAACCTTCCTTTAGACAGAGCAGATTTGAAACACTCTTTTTCTGCAATTTGCAAGTGGAGACTTCAAGCGCTTTGAGGCCAAAGGCAGAAAAGGATATATCTTCGTATAAAAACCCGACAGAATCATTCTCAGAAACTGCTCTGTGATGTCTGCGTTCAACTCACAGAGTTTAACTTTTCTTTTCATTCAGCAGTTTGGAAACACTCTGTTTGTAAAGTCTGCAAGTGGATATCTTGGCCTCTTAGAGGCCTTCGTTGGAAACGGGTTTTTTCATGTAAGGATAGACAGAGGAATTCCCAGTAACTTCCTTGTGTTGTGTGCATTCAACTCACAGAAGTTGAATGATTCTTTACACAGAGCAGATTTGAGACACTCTTTTGGTGGAATTTGTAAGTGGAGAATTCAGCCGCTTTGAGGTCAACGGTAGAAAAGGAAATATCTTCGTATAAAAACTAGACAGAATGATTCTCAGAAACTGTTTTGTGATGTGTGCGTTCAACTCACAGAGTTTAACCTTTCTTTTCAGAGAGCAGTTAGGAAACACTCTGTTTGTAAAGTCTGCATGTGGATATTCAGACCTCTTTGAGGCCTTCGTTGGAAACGGGATTTCTTCATATTATGCTAGACAGATGAATTCTCAGTAACTTCCTTGTGTTGTGTGTATTCAACTCACAGAGTTGAACTATCCTTTACACAGAGCAGATTTGAAACACTGTTTTTCTGGAATTTGCAAGTGGAGATTTCAGCCGCTTTGAGGTCAATGGTAGAAAAGGAAATATCTTCGTATAAAAACTAGACAGAATGATTCTCAGAAACTCCTTTGTGATGTGTGCGTTCAACTCACAGAGTTTAACCTTTCTTTTCACAGAGCAGTTAGGAAACACTCTGTTTGTGAAGCCTGCCAGTGGATAATCGGACCTCTTTGAGGCCTTCGTTGGAAACGGGATTTCTTCATATTATGCTAGACAGAAGATTTCTCAGTAACTTCTTTGTGTTGTGTGTATGCAACTCACAGAGTTCAACCTTCCTTTAGACAGAGCAGATTTGAAACACTCTTTTTGTGGAATTTGCAAGTGGAGATTTCAAGCGCTTCGATGCCAATGGTAGAAAAGGAAATATCTTCGTATAAAAACAAGACAAACTCGTTCCCAGACACTGCGTAGTGATGTGTGTGTTTAACTCACAGAGTTTAACCTTTCTTTTCATACAGCATTCTGGAAACCCTGTGTTTGTAAAGTCTGCAAGTGGATATTTGGACCTCTTAGATGCCTTCGTTGGAAACGGGATTTCTTCATATAATGCTAGAGGGAAGAATTCTTAGTAACTTCTTTGTGTTGTGTGTATTCAACTGACAGAGTTGAACCTTCCTTTAGACAGAGCAGATTTGAAAGTCTCTTTTTGTGGAATTTGCAAGTGGAGATTTCAAGCGCTTTGAGGCCAAAAGCAGAAAAGGAAATATTTTCCTATAAAAACTCGACAGAATCTTTCTCAGAAACTGCTCTGGGATGTGTGCGTTCAACTCACAGAGTTTAACTTTTCTTTTCATTCAGCAGTTTGGAAACACTCTGTTTGGAAAGTCTGCACGTGGATATTTTGACCTCTTTGAGGCCTTCGTTGGAAACGGGTTTTTTTCATGTAAGGCTAGACAGAAGAAATCTCAGTAACTTCCTTGTGTTGTGTGTATTCAACTGACAGAGTTGAACCTTCCTTTAGACAGAGCAGATTCGAAACACTCTTTTTCTGCAATTTGCAAGTGGAGACTTCAAGCGCTTTGAGGCCAAAGGCAGAAAAGGAAATATCTTCGTATAAAAACCCGACAGAATCATTCTCAGAAACTGCTCTGTGATGTGTGCGTTCAACTCACAGAGTTTAACTTTTCTTTTCATTCAGCAGTTTGGAAACACTCTGTTTGTAAAGTCTGCAAGTGGATATCTTGGCCTCTTAGAGGCCTTCGTTGGAAACGGGTTTTTTCATGTAAGGTTAGACAGAGGAATTCCCAGTAACTTCCTTGTGTTGTGTGCATTCAACTCACAGAGTTGAATGATTCTTTACACAGAGCAGATTTGAGACACTCTTTTGGTGGAATTTGTAAGTGGAGAATTCAGCCGCTTTGAGGTCAACGGTAGAAAAGGAAATATCTTCGTATAAAAACTAGACAGAATGATTCTCAGAAACTGTTTTGTGATGTGTGCGTTCAACTCACAGAGTTTAACCTTTCTTTTCAAAGAGCAGTTAGGAAACACTCTGTTTGTAAAGTCTGCAAGTGGATATTCAGACCTCTTTGAGGCCTTCGTTGGAAACGGGATTTCTTCATATTATGCTAGACAGATGAATTCTCAGTAACTTCCTTGTGTTGTGTGTATTCAACTCACAGAGTTGAACGATCCTTTACACAGAGCAGATTTGAAACACTGTTTTTCTGGAATTTGCAAGTGGAGATTTCAGCCGCTTTGAGGTCAATGGTAGAAAAGGAAATATCTTCGTATAAAAACTAGACAGAATGATTCTCAGAAACTCCTTTGTGATGTGTGCGTTCAACTCACAGAGTTTAACCTTTCTTTTCACAGAGCAGTTAGGAAACACTCTGTTTGTGAAGCCTGCCAGTGGATATTCGGACCTCTTTGAGGCCTTCGTTGGAAACGGGATTTCTTCATATTATGCTAGACAGAAGATTTCTCAGTAACTTCTTTGTGTTGTGTGTATGCAACTCACAGAGTTCAACCTTCCTTTAGACAGAGCAGATTTGAAACACTCTTTTTGTGGAATTTGCAAGTGGAGATTTCAAGCGCTTCGATGCCAATGGTAGAAAAGGAAATATCTTCGTATAAAAACAAGACAAACTCGTTCGCAGACACTGCGTAGTGATGTGTGTGTTTAACTCACAGAGTTTAACCTTTCTTTTCATACAGCATTCTGGAAACCCTCTGTTTGTAAAGTCTGCAAGTGGATATTTGGACCTCTTAGATGCCTTCGTTGGAAACGGGATTTCTTCATATAATGCTAGAGGGAAGAATTCTTAGTAACTTCTTTGTGTTGTGTGTATTCAACTGACAGAGTTGAACCTTCCTTTAGACAGAGCAGATTTGAAAGTCTCTTTTTGTGGAATTTGCAAGTGGAGATTTCAAGCGCTTTGAGGCCAAAAGCAGAAAAGGAAATATTTTCCTATAAAAACTAGACAGAATCTTTCTCAGAAACTGCTCTGGGATGTGTGCGTTCAACTCACAGAGTTTAACTTTTCTTTTCATTCAGCAGTTTGGAAACACTCTGTTTGGAAAGTCTGCACGTGGATATTTTGACCTCTTTGAGGCCTTCGTTGGAAACGGGTTTTTTTCATGTAAGGCTAGACAGAAGAAATCTCAGTAACTTCCTTGTGTTGTGTGTATTCAACTGACAGAGTTGAACCTTCCTTTAGACAGAGCAGATTCGAAACACTCTTTTTCTGCAATTTGCAAGTGGAGACTTCAAGCGCTTTGAGGCCAAAGGCAGAAAAGGAAATATCTTCGTATAAAAACCCGACAGAATCTTTCTCAGAAACTGCTCTGTGATGTGTGCGTTCAACTCACAGAGTTTAACTTTTCTTTTCATTCAGCAGTTTGGAAACACTCTGTTTGTAAAGTCTGCAAGTGGATATCTTGGCCTCTTAGAGGCCTTCGTTGGAAACGGGTTTTTTCATGTAAGGATAGACAGAGGAATTCCCAGTAACTTCCTTGTGTTGTGTGCATTCAACTCACAGAGTTGAACGATTCTTTACACAGAGCAGATTTGAGACACTCTTTTGGTGGAATTTGTAAGTGGAGAATTCAGCCGCTTTGAGGTCAACGGTAGAAAAGGAAATATCTTCGTATAAAAACTAGACAGAATGATTCTCAGAAACTGTTTTGTGATGTGTGCGTTCAACTCACAGAGTTTAACCTTTCTTTTCAGAGAGCAGTTAGGAAACACTCTGTAAAGTCTGCAAGTGGATATTCAGACCTCTTTGAGGCCTTCGTTGGAAACGGGATTTCTTCATATTATGCTAGACAGATGAATTCTCAGTAACTTCCTTGTGTTGTGTGTATTCAACTCACAGAGTTGAACGATCCTTTACACAGAGCAGATTTGAAACACTGTTTTTCTGGAATTTGCAAGTGGAGATGTCAGCCGCTTTGAGGTCAATGGTAGAAAAGGAAATATCTTCGTATAAAAACTAGACAGAATGATTCTCAGAAACTCCTTTGTGATGTGTGCGTTCAACTCACAGAGTTTAACCTTTCTTTTCACAGAGCAGTTAGGAAACACTCTGTTTGTGAAGCCTGCCAGTGGATATTCGGACCTCTTTCAGGCCTTCGTTGGAAACGGGATTTCTTCATATTATGCTAGACAGAAGATTTCTCAGTAACTTCTTTGTGTTGTGTGTATGCAACTCACAGAGTTCAACCTTCCTTTAGACAGAGCAGATTTGAAACACTCTTTTTGTGGAATTTGCAAGTGGAGATTTCAAGCGCTTCGATGCCAATGGTAGAAAAGGAAATATCTTCGTATAAAAACAAGACAAACTCGTTCCCAGACACTGCGTAGTGATGTGTGTGTTTAACTCACAGAGTTTAACCTTTCTTTTCATACAGCATTCTGGAAACCCTCTGTTTGTAAAGTCTGCAAGTCGATATTTGGACCTCTTAGATGCCTTCGTTGGAAACGGGATTTCTTCATATAATGCTAGAGGGAAGAATTCTTAGTAACTTCTTTGTGTTGTGTGTATTCAACTGACAGAGTTGAACCTTCCTTTAGACAGAGCAGATTTGAAAGTCTCTTTTTGTGGAATTTGCAAGTGGAGATTTCAAGCGCTTTGAGGCCAAAAGCAGAAAAGGAAATATTTTCCTATAAAAACTCGACAGAATCTTTCTCAGAAACTGCTCTGGGATGTGTGCGTTCAACTCACAGAGTTTAACTTTTCTTTTCATTCAGCAGTTTGGAAACACTCTGTTTGGAAAGTCTGCACGTGGATATTTTGACCTCTTTGAGGCCTTCGTTGGAAACGGGTTTTTTTCATGTAAGGCTAGACAGAAGAAATCTCAGTAACTTCCTTGTGTTGTGTGTATTCAACTGACAGAGTTGAACCTTCTTTTAGACAGAGCAGATTCGAAACACTCTTTTTCTGCAATTTGCAAGTGGAGACTTCAAGCGCTTTGAGGCCAAAGGCAGAAAAGGAAATATCTTCGTATAAAAACCCGACAGAATCATTCTCAGAAACTGCTCTGTGATGTGTGCGTTCAACTCACAGAGTTTAACTTTTCTTTTCATTCAGCAGTTTGGAAACACTCTGTTTGTAAAGTCTGCAAGTGGATATCTTGGCCTCTTAGAGGCCTTCGTTGGAAACGGGTTTTTTCATGTAAGTTTAGACAGAGGAATTCCCAGTAACTTCCTTGTGTTGTGTGCATTCAACTCACAGAGTTGAATGATTCTTTACACAGAGCAGATTTGAGACACTCTTTTGGTGGAATTTGTAAGTGGAGAATTCAGCCGCTTTGAGGTCAACGGTAGAAAAGGAAATATCTTCGTATAAAAACTAGACAGAATGATTCTCAGAAACTGTTTTGTGATGTGTGCGTTCAACTCACAGAGTTTAACCTTTCTTTTCAAAGAGCAGTTAGGAAACACTCTGTTTGTAAAGTCTGCAAGTGGATATTCAGACCTCTTTGAGGCCTTCGTTGGAAACGGGATTTCTTCATATTATGCTAGACAGATGAATTCTCAGTAACTTCCTTGTGTTGTGTGTATTCAACTCACAGAGTTGAACGATCCTTTACACAGAGCAGATTTGAAACACTGTTTTTCTGGAATTTGCAAGTGGAGATTTCAGCCGCTTTGAGGTCAATGGTAGAAAAGGAAATATCTTCTGTATAAAAACTAGACAGAATGATTCTCAGAAACTCCTTTGTGATGTGTGCGTTCAACTCACAGAGTTTAACCTTTCTTTTCACAGAGCAGTTAGGAAACACTCTGTTTGTGAAGCCTGCCAGTGGATATTCGGACCTCTTTGAGGCCTTCGTTGGAAACGGGATTTCTTCATATTATGCTAGACAGAAGATTTCTCAGTAACTTCTTTGTGTTGTGTGTATGCAACTCACAGAGTTCAACCTTCCTTTAGACAGAGCAGATTTGAAACACTCTTTTTGTGGAATTTGCAAGTGGAGATTTCAAGCGCTTCGATGCCAATGGTAGAAAAGGAAATATCTTCGTATAAAAACAAGACAAACTCGTTCCCAGACACTGCGTAGTGATGTGTGTGTTTAACTCACAGAGTTTAACCTTTCTTTTCATACAGCATTCTGGAAACCCTGTGTTTGTAAAGTCTGCAAGTGGATATTTGGACCTCTTAGATGCCTTCGTTGGAAACGGGATTTCTTCATATAATGCTAGAGGGAAGAATTCTTAGTAACTTCTTTGTGTTGTGTGTATTCAACTGACAGAGTTGAACCTTCCTTTAGACAGAGCAGATTTGAAAGTCTCTTTTTGTGGAATTTGCAAGTGGAGATTTCAAGCGCTTTGAGGCCAAAAGCAGAAAAGGAAATATTTTCCTATAAAAACTCGACAGAATCTTTCTCAGAAACTGCTCTGGGATGTGTGCGTTCAACTCACAGAGTTTAACTTTTCTTTTCATTCAGCAGTTTGGAAACACTCTGTTTGGAAAGTCTGCACGTGGATATTTTGACCTCTTTGAGGCCTTCGTTGGAAACGGGTTTTTTTCATGTAAGGCTAGACAGAAGAAATCTCAGTAACTTCCTTGTGTTGTGTGTATTCAACTGACAGAGTTGAACCTTCCTTTAGACAGAGCAGATTCGAAACACTCTTTTTCTGCAATTTGCAAGTGGAGACTTCAAGCGCTTTGAGGCCAAAGGCAGAAAAGGAAATATCTTCGTATAAAAACCCGACAGAATCATTCTCAGAAACTGCTCTGTGATGTGTGCGTTCAACTCACAGAGTTTAACTTTTCTTTTCATTCAGCAGTTTGGAAACACTCTGTTTGTAAAGTCTGCAAGTGGATATCTTGGCCTCTTAGAGGCCTTCGTTGGAAGCGGGTTTTTTCATGTAAGGATAGACAGAGGAATTCCCAGTAACTTCCTTGTGTTGTGTGCATTCAACTCACAGAGTTGAATGATTCTTTACACAGAGCAGATTTGAGACACTCTTTTGGTGGAATTTGTAAGTGGAGAATTCAGCCGCTTTGAGGTCAACGGTAGAAAAGGAAATATCTTCGTATAAAAACTAGACAGAATGATTCTCAGAAACTGTTTTGTGATGTGTGCGTTCAACTCACAGAGTTTAACCTTTCTTTTCAAAGAGCAGTTAGGAAACACTCAGTTTGTAAAGTCTGCAAGTGGATATTCAGACCTCTTTGAGGCCTTCGTTGGAAACGGGATTTCTTCATATTATGCTAGACAGAGAATTCTCAGTAACTTCCTTGTGTTGTGTGTATTCAACTCACAGAGTTGAACGATCCTTTACACAGAGCAGATTTGAAACACTGTTTTTCTGGAATTTGCAAGTGGAGATTTCAGCCGCTTTGAGGTCAATGGTAGAAAAAGAAATATCTTCGTATAAAAACTAGACAGAATGATTCTCAGAAACTCCTTTGTGATGTGTGCGTTCAACTCACAGAGTTTAACCTTTCTTTTCACAGAGCAGTTAGGAAACACTCTGTTTGTGAAGCCTGCCAGTGGATATTCGGACCTCTTTGAGGCCTTCGTTGGAAACGGGATTTCTTCATATTATGCTAGACAGAAGATTTCTCAGTAACTTCTTTGTGTTGTGTGTATGCAACTCACAGAGTTCAACCTTCCTTTAGACAGAGCAGATTTGAAACACTCTTTTTGTGGAATTTGCAAGTGGAGATTTCAAGCGCTTCGATGCCAATGGTAGAAAAGGAAATATCTTCGTATAAAAACAAGACAAACTCGTTCCCAGACACTGCGTAGTGATGTGTGTGTTTAACTCACAGAGTTTCACCTTTCTTTTCATACAGCATTCTGGAAACCCTCTGTTTGTAAAGTCTGCAAGTGGATATTTGGACCTCTTAGATGCCTTCGTTGGAAACGGGATTTCTTCATATAATGCTAGAGGGAAGAATTCTTAGTAACTTCTTTGTGTTGTGTGTATTCAACTGACAGAGTTGAACCTTCCTTTAGACAGAGCAGATTTGAAAGTCTCTTTTTGTGGAATTTGCAAGTGGAGATTTCAAGCGCTTTGAGGCCAAAAGCAGAAAAGGAAATATTTTCCTATAAAAACTAGACAGAATCTTTCTCAGAAACTGCTCTGGGATGTGTGCGTTCAACTCACAGAGTTTAACTTTTCTTTTCATTCAGCAGTTTGGAAACACTCTGTTTGGAAAGTCTGCACGTGGATATTTTGACCTCTTTGAGGCCTTCGTTGGAAACGGGTTTTTTTCATGTAAGGCTAGACAGAAGAAATCTCAGTAACTTCCTTGTGTTGTGTGTATTCAACTGACAGAGTTGAACCTTCTTTTAGACAGAGCAGATTCGAAACACTCTTTTTCGGCAATTTGCAAGTGGAGACTTCAAGCGCTTTGAGGCCAAAGGCAGAAAAGGAAATATCTTCGTATAAAAACCCGACAGAATCATTCTCAGAAACTGCTCTGTGATGTGTGCGTTCAACTCACAGAGTTTAACTTTTCTTTTCATTCAGCAGTTTGGAAACACTCTGTTTCTAAAGTCTGCAAGTGGATATCTTGGCCTCTTAGAGGCCTTCGTTGGAAACGGGTTTTTTCATGTAAGGTTAGACAGAGGAATTCCCAGTAACTTCCTTGTGTTGCGTGCATTCAACTCACAGAGTTGAATGATTCTTTACACAGAGCAGATTTGAGACACTCTTTTGGTGGAATTTGTAAGTGGAGAATTCAGCCGCTTTGAGGTCAACGGTAGAAAAGGAAATATCTTCGTATAAAAACTAGACAGAATGATTCTCAGAAACTGTTTTGTGATGTGTGCGTTCAACTCACAGAGTTTAACCTTTCTTTTCAAAGAGCAGTTAGGAAACACTCTGTTTGTAAAGTCTGCAAGTGGATATTCAGACCTCTTTGAGGCCTTCGTTGGAAACGGGATTTCTTCATATTATGCTAGACAGATGAATTCTCAGTAACTTCCTTGTGTTGTGTGTATTCAACTCACAGAGTTGAACGATCCTTTACACAGAGCAGATTTGAAACACTGTTTTTCTGGAATTTGCAAGTGGAGATTTCAGCCGCTTTGAGGTCAATGGTAGAAAAGGAAATATCTTCGTATAAAAACTAGACAGAATGATTCTCAGAAACTCCTTTGTGATGTGTGCGTTCAACTCACAGAGTTTAACCTTTCTTTTCACAGAGCAGTTAGGAAACACTCTGTTTGTGAAGCCTGCCAGTGGATATTCGGACCTCTTTGAGGCCTTCGTTGGAAACGGGATTTCTTCATATTATGCTAGACAGAAGATTTCTCAGTAACTTCTTTGGGTTGTGTGTATGCAACTCACAGAGTTCAACCTTCCTTTAGACAGAGCAGATTTGAAACACTCTTTTTGTGGAATTTGCAAGTGGAGATTTCAAGCGCTTCGATGCCAATGGTAGAAAAGGAAATATCTTCGTATAAAAACAAGACAAACTCGTTCCCAGACACTGCGTAGTGATGTGTGTGTTTAACTCACAGAGTTTAACCTTTCTTTTCATACAGCATTCTGGAAACCCTCTGTTTGTAAAGTCTGCAAGTGGATATTTGGACCTCTTAGATGCCTTCGTTGGAAACGGGATTTCTTCATATAATGCTAGAGGGAAGAATTCTTAGTAACTTCTTTGTGTTGTGTGTATTCAACTGACAGAGTTGAACCTTCCTTTAGACAGAGCAGATTTGAAAGTCTCTTTTTGTGGAATTTGCAAGTGGAGATTTCAAGCGCTTTGAGGCCAAAAGCAGAAAAGGAAATATTTTCCTATAAAAACTCGACAGAATCTTTCTCAGAAACTGCTCTGGGATGTGTGCGTTCAACTCACAGAGTTTAACTTTTCTTTTCATTCAGCAGTTTGGAAACACTCTGTTTGGAAAGTCTGCACGTGGATATTTTGACCTCTTTGAGGCCTTCGTTGGAAACGGGTTTTTTTCATGTAACGCTAGACAGAAGAAATCTCAGTAACTTCCTTGTGTTGTGTGTATTCAACTGACAGAGTTGAACCTTCCTTTAGACAGAGCAGATTCGAAACACTCTTTTTCTGCAATTTGCAAGTGGAGACTTCAAGCGCTTTGAGGCCAAAGGCAGAAAAGGAAATATCTTCGTATAAAAACCCGACAGAATCATTCTCAGAAACTGCTCTGTGATGTGTGCGTTCAACTCACAGAGTTTAACTTTTCTTTTCATTCAGCAGTTTGGAAACACTCTGTTTGTAAAGTCTGCAAGTGGATATCTTGGCCTCTTAGAGGCCTTCGTTGGAAACGGGTTTTTTCATGTAAGGTTAGACAGAGGAATTCCCAGTAACTTCCTTGTGTTGTGTGCATTCAACTCACAGAGTTGAATGATTCTTTACACAGAGCAGTTTTGAGACACTCTTTTGGTGGAATTTGTAAGTGGAGAATTCAGCCGCTTTGAGGTCAACGGTAGAAAAGGAAATATCTTCGTATAAAAACTAGACAGAATGATTCTCAGAAACTGTTTTGTGATGTGTGCGTTCAACTCACAGAGTTTAACCTTTCTTTTCAAAGAGCAGTTAGGAAACACTCTGTTTGTAAAGTCTGCAAGTGGATATTCAGACCTCTTTGAGGCCTTCGTTGGAAACGGGATTTCTTCATATTATGCTAGACAGATGAATTCTCAGTAACTTCCTTGTGTTGTGTGTATTCAACTCACAGAGTTGAACGATCCTTTACACAGAGCAGATTTGAAACACTGTTTTTCTGGAATTTGCAAGTGGAGATTTCAGCCGCTTTGAGGTCAATGGTAGAAAAGGAAATATCTTCGTATAAAAACTAGACAGAATGATTCTCAGAAACTCCTTTGTGATGTGTGCGTTCAACTCACAGAGTTTAACCTTTCTTTTCACAGAGCAGTTAGGAAACACTCTGTGAAGCCTGCCAGTGGATATTCGGACCTCTTTGAGGCCTTCGTTGGAAACGGGATTTCTTCATATTATGCTAGACAGAAGATTTATCAGTAACTTCTTTGGGTTGTGTGTATGCAACTCACAGAGTTCAACCTTCCTTTAGACAGAGCAGATTTGAAACACTCTTTTTGTGGAATTTGCAAGTGGAGATTTCAAGCGCTTCGATGCCAATGGTAGAAAAGGAAATATCTTCGTATAAAAACAAGACAAACTCGTTCCCAGACACTGCGTAGTGATGTGTGTGTTTAACTCACAGAGTTTAACCTTTCTTTTCATACAGCATTCTGGAAACCCTGTGTTTGTAAAGTCTGCAAGTGGATATTTGGACCTCTTAGATGCCTTCGTTGGAAACGGGATTTCTTCATATAATGCTAGAGGGAAGAATTCTTAGTAACTTCTTTTTGTTGTGTGTATTCAACTGACAGAGTTGAACCTTCCTTTAGACAGAGCAGATTTGAAAGTCTCTTTTTGTGGAATTTGCAAGTGGAGATTTCAAGCGCTTTGAGGCCAAAAGCAGAAAAGGAAATATTTTCCTATAAAAATTAGACAGAATCTTTCTCAGAAACTGCTCTGGGATGTGTGCGTTCAACTCACAGAGTTTAACTTTTCTTTTCATTCAGCAGTTTGGAAACACTCTGTTTGGAAAGTCTGCACGTGGATATTTTGACCTCTTTGAGGCCTTCGTTGGAAACGGGTTTTTTTCATGTAAGGCTAGACAGAAGAAATCTCAGTAACTTCCTTGTGTTGTGTGTATTCAACTGACAGAGTTGAACCTTCCTTTAGACAGAGCAGATTCGAAACACTCTTTTTCTGCAATTTGCAAGTGGAGACTTCAAGCGCTTTGAGGCCAAAGGCAGAAAAGGAAATATCTTCGTATAAAAACCCGACAGAATCATTCTCAGAAACTGCTCTGTGATGTGTGCGTTCAACTCACAGAGTTTAACTTTTCTTTTCATTCAGCAGTTTGGAAACACTCTGTTTGTAAAGTCTGCAAGTGGATATCTTGGCCTCTTAGAGGCCTTCGTTGGAAACGGGTTTTTTCATGTAAGGTTAGACAGAGGAATTCCCAGTAACTTCCTTGTGTTGTGTGTATTCAACTCACAGAGTTGAATGATTCTTTACACAGAGCAGATTTGAGACACTCTTTTGGTGGAATTTGTAAGTGGAGAATTCAGCCGCTTTGAGGTCAACGGTAGAAAAGGAAATATCTTCGTATAAAAACTAGACAGAATGATTCTCAGAAACTGTTTTGTGATGTGTGCGTTCAACTCACAGAGTTTAACCTTTCTTTTCAAAGAGCAGTTAGGAAACACTCTGTTTGTAAAGTCTGCAAGTGGATATTCAGACCTCTTTGAGGCCTTCGTTGGAAACGGGATTTCTTCATATTATGCTAGACAGATGAATTCTCAGTAACTTCCTTGTGTTGTGTGTATTCAACTCACAGAGTTGAACGATCCTTTACACAGAGCAGATTTGAAACACTGTTTTTCTGGAATTTGCAAGTGGAGATTTCAGCCGCTTTGAGGTCAATGGTAGAAAAAGAAATATCTTCGTATAAAAACTAGACAGAATGATTCTCAGAAACTCCTTTGTGATGTGTGCGTTCAACTCACAGAGTTTAACCTTTCTTTTCACAGAGCAGTTAGGAAACACTCTGTTTGTGAAGCCTGCCAGTGGATATTCGGACCTCTTTGAGGCCTTCGTTGGAAACGGGATTTCTTCATATTATGCTAGACAGAAGATTTCTCAGTAACTTCTTTGTGTTGTGTGTATGCAACTCACAGAGTTCAACCTTCCTTTAGACAGAGCAGATTTGAAACACTCTTTTTGTGGAATTTGCAAGTGGAGATTTCAAGCGCTTCGATGCCAATGGTAGAAAAGGAAATATCTTCGTAGAAAAACAAGACAAACTCGTTCCCAGACACTGCGTAGTGATGTGTGTGTTTAACTCACAGAGTTTCACCTTTCTTTTCATACAGCATTCTGGAAACCCTGTGTTTGTAAAGTCTGCAAGTGGATATTTGGACCTCTTAGATGCCTTCGTTGGAAACGGGATTTCTTCATATAATGCTAGAGGGAAGAATTCTTAGTAACTTCTTTGTGTTGTGTGTATTCAACTGACAGAGTTGAACCTTCCTTTAGACAGAGCAGATTTGAAAGTCTCTTTCTGTGGAATTTGCAAGTGGAGATTTCAAGCGCTTTGAGGCCAAAAGCAGAAAAGGAAATATTTTCCTATAAAAACTCGACAGAATCTTTCTCAGAAACTGCTCTGGGATGTGTGCGTTCAACTCACAGAGTTTAACTTTTCTTTTCATTCAGCAGTTTGGAAACACTCTGTTTGGAAAGTCTGCAAGTGGATATTTTGACCTCTTTGAGGCCTTCGTTGGAAACGCGTTTTTTTCATGTAAGGCTAGACAGAAGAAATCTCAGTAACTTCCTTGTGTTGTGTGTATTCAACTGACAGAGTTGAACCTTCCTTTAGACAGAGCAGATTCGAAACACTCTTTTTCTGCAATTTGCAAGTGGAAACTTCAAGCGCTTTGAGGCCAAAGGCAGAAAAGGAAATATCTTCGTATAAAAACCCGACAGAATCACTCTCAGAAACTGCTCTGTGATGTGTGCGTTCAACTCACAGAGTTTAACTTTTCTTTTCATTCAGCAGTTTGGAAACACTCTGTTTGTAAAGTCTGCAAGTGGATATCTTGGCCTCTTAGAGGCCTTCGTTGGAAACGGGTTTTTTCATGTAAGGTTAGACAGAGGAATTCCCAGTAACTTCCTTGTGTTGTGTGCATTCAACTCACAGAGTTGAATGATTCTTTACACAGAGCAGATTTGAGACACTCTTTTGGTGGAATTTGTAAGTGGAGAATTCAGCCGCTTTGAGGTCAACGGTAGAAAAGGAAATATCTTCGTATAAAAACTAGGCAGAATGATTCTCAGAAACTGTTTTGTGATGTGTGCGTTCAACTCACAGAGTTTAACCTTTCTTTTCAAAGAGCAGTTAGGAAACACTCTGTTTGTAAAGTCTGCAAGTGGATATTCAGACCTCTTTGAGGCCTTCGTTGGAAACGGGATTTCTTCATATTATGCTAGACAGATGAATTCTCAGTAACTTCCTTGTGTTGTGTGTATTCAACTCACAGAGTTGAACGATCCTTTACACAGAGCAGATTTGAAACACTGTTTTTCTGGAATTTGCAAGTGGAGATTTCAGCCGCTTTGAGGTCAATGGTAGAAAAGGAAATATCTTCGTATAAAAACTAGACAGAATGATTCTCAGAAACTCCTTTGTGATGTGTGCGTTCAACTCACAGAGTTTAACCTTTCTTTTCACAGAGCAGTTAGGAAACACTCTGTTTGTGAAGCCTGCCAGTGGATATTCGGACCTCTTTGAGGCCTTCGTTGGAAACGGGATTTCTTCATATTATGCTAGACAGAAGATTTCTCAGTAACTTCTTTGTGTTGTGTGTATGCAACTCAGAGAGTTCAACCTTCCTTTAGACAGAGCAGATTTGAAACACTCTTTTTGTGGAATTTGCAAGTGGAGATTTCAAGCGCTTCGATGCCAATGGTAGAAAAGGAAATATCTTCATATAAAAACAAGACAAACTCGTTCCCAGACACTGCGTAGTGATGTGTGTGTTTAACTCACAGAGTTTCACCTTTCTTTTCATACAGCATTCTGGAAACCCTGTGTTTGTAAAGTCTGCAAGTGGATATTTGGACCTCTTAGATGCCTTCGTTGGAAACGGGATTTCTTCATATAATGCTAGAGGGAAGAATTCTTAGTAACTTCTTTGTGTTGTGTGTATTCAACTGACAGAGTTGAACCTTCCTTTAGACAGAGCAGATTTGAAAGTCTCTTTTTGTGGAATTTGCAAGTGGAGATTTCAAGCGCTTTGAGGCCAAAAGCAGAAAAGGAAATATTTTCCTATAAAAACTCGACAGAATCTTTCTCAGAAACTGCTCTGGGATGTGTGCGTTCAACTCACAGAGTTTAACTTTTCTTTTCATTCAGCAGTTTGGAAACACTCTGTTTGGAAAGTCTGCACGTGGATATTTTGACCTCTTTGAGGCCTTCGTTGGAAACGGGTTTTTTTCATGTAAGGCTAGACAGAAGAAATCTCAGTAACTTCCTTGTGTTGTGTGTATTCAACTGACAGAGTTGAACCTTCCTTTAGACAGAGCAGATTCGAAACACTCTTTTTCTGCAATTTGCAAGTGGAGACTTCAAGCGCTTTGAGGCCAAAGGCAGAAAAGGAAATATCTTCGTATAAAAACCCGACAGAATCATTCTCAGAAACTGCTCTGTGATGTGTGCGTTCAACTCACAGAGTTTAACTTTTCTTTTCATTCAGCAGTTTGGAAACACTCTGTTTGTAAAGTCTGCAAGTGGATATCTTGGCCTCTTAGAGGCCTTCGTTGGAAGCGGGTTTTTTCATGTAAGGATAGACAGAGGAATTCCCAGTAACTTCCTTGTGTTGTATGCATTCAACTCACAGAGTTGAATGATTCTTTACACAGAGCAGATTTGAGACACTCTTTTGGTGGAATTTGTAAGTGGAGAATTCAGCCGCTTTGAGGTCAACGGTAGAAAAGGAAATATCTTCGTATAAAAACTAGAAAGAAATGATTCTCAGAAACTGTTTTGTGATGTGTGCTTTCAACTCACAGAGTTTAACCTTTCTTTTCAAAGAGCAGTTAGGAAACACTCTGTTTGTAAAGTCTGCAAGTGGATATTCAGACCTCTTTGAGGCCTTCGTTGGAAACGGGATTTCTTCATATTATGCTAGACAGATGAATTCTCAGTAACTTCCTTGTGTTGTGTGTATTCAACTCACAGAGTTGAACGATCCTTTACACAGAGCAGATTTGAAACACTGTTTTTCTGGAATTTGCAAGTGGAGATTTCAGCCGCTTTGAGGTCAATGGTAGAAAAGGAAATATCTTCGTATAAAAACTAGACAGAATGATTCTCAGAAACTCCTTTGTGATGTGTGCGTTCAACTCACAGAGTTTAACCTTTCTTTTCACAGAGCAGTTAGGAAACACTCTGTTTGTGAAGCCTGCCAGTGGATAATCGGACCTCTTTGAGGCCTTCGTTGGAAACGGGATTTCTTCATATTATGCTAGACAGAAGATTTCTCAGTAACTTCTTTGTGTTGTGTGTATGCAACTCACAGAGTTCAACCTTCCTTTAGACAGAGCAGATTTGAAACACTCTTTTTGTGGAATTTGCAAGTGGAGATTTCAAGCGCTTCGATGCCAATGGTAGAAAAGGAAATATCTTCGTATAAAAACAAGACAAACTCGTTCCCAGACACTGCGTAGTGATGTGTGTGTTTAACTCACAGAGTTTAACCTTTCTTTTCATACAGCATTCTGGAAACCCTGTGTTTGAAAAGTCTGCAAGTGGATATTTGGACCTCTTAGATGCCTTCGTTGGAAACGGGATTTCTTCATATAATGCTAGAGGGAAGAATTCTTAGTAACTTCTTTGTGTTGTGTGTATTCAACTGACAGAGTTGAACCTTCCTTTAGACAGAGCAGATTTGAAAGTCTCTTTTTGTGGAATTTGCAAGTGGAGATTTCAAGCGCTTTGAGGCCAAAAGCAGAAAAGGAAATATTTTCCTATAAAAACTCGACAGAATCTTTCTCAGAAACTGCTCTGGGATGTGTGCGTTCAACTCACAGAGTTTAACTTTTCTTTTCATTCAGCAGTTTGGAAACACTCTGTTTGGAAAGTCTGCACGTGGATATTTTGACCTCTTTGAGGCCTTCGTTGGAAACGGGTTTTTTTCATGTAAGGCTAGACAGAAGAAATCTCAGTAACTTCCTTGTGTTGTGTGTATTCAACTGACAGAGTTGAACCTTCCTTTAGACAGAGCAGATTCGAAACACTCTTTTTCTGCAATTTGCAAGTGGAGACTTCAAGCGCTTTGAGGCCAAAGACAGAAAAGGAAATATCTTCGTATAAAAACCCGACAGAATCATTCTCAGAAACTGCTCTGTGATGTGTGCGTTCAACTCACAGAGTTTAACTTTTCTTTTCATTCAGCAGTTTGGAAACACTCTGTTTGTAAAGTCTGCAAGTGGATATCTTGGCCTCTTAGAGGCCTTCGTTGGAAACGGGTTTTTTCATGTAAGGTTAGACAGAGGAATTCCCAGTAACTTTCCTTGTGTTGTGTGCATTCAACTCACAGAGTTGAATGATTCTTTACACAGAGCAGTTTTGAGACACTCTTTTGGTGGAATTTGTAAGTGGAGAATTCAGCCGCTTTGAGGTCAACGGTAGAAAAGGAAATATCTTCGTATAAAAACTAGACAGAATGATTCTCAGAAACTGTTTTGTGATGTGTGCGTTCAACTCACAGAGTTTAACCTTTCTTTTCAAAGAGCAGTTAGGAAACACTCTGTTTGTAAAGTCTGCAAGTGGATATTCAGACCTCTTTGAGGCCTTCGTTGGAAACGGGATTTCTTCATATTATGCTAGACAGATGAATTCTCAGTAACTTCCTTGTGTTGTGTGTATTCAACTCACAGAGTTGAACGATCCTTTACACAGAGCAGATTTGAAACACTGTTTTTCTGGAATTTGCAAGTGGAGATTTCAGCCGCTTTGAGGTCAATGGTAGAAAAGGAAATATCTTCGTAGAAAAACTAGACAGAATGATTCTCAGAAACTCCTTTGTGATGTGTGCGTTCAACTCACAGAGTTTAACTTTTCTTTTCACAGAGCAGTTAGGAAACACTCTGTTTGTGAAGCCTGCCAGTGGATAATCGGACCTCTTTGAGGCCTTCGTTGGAAACGGGATTTCTTCATATTATGCTAGACAGAAGATTTCTCAGTAACTTCTTTGTGTTGTGTGTATGCAACTTACAGAGTTCAACCTTCCTTTAGAGAGAGCATATTTGAAACACTCTTTTTGTGGAATTTGCAAGTGGAGATTTCAAGCGCTTCGATGCAAATGGTAGAAAAGGAAATATCTTCGTATAAAAACAAGACAAACTCGTTCCCAGACACTGCGTAGTGATGTGTGTGTTTAACTCACAGAGTTTAACCTTTCTTTTCATACAGCATTCTGGAAACCCTGTGTTTGTAAAGTCTGCAAGTGGATATTTGGACCTTTTAGATGCCTTCGTTGGAAACGGGATTTCTTCATATAATGCTAGAGGGAAGAATTCTTAGTAACTTCTTTGTGTTGTGTGTATTCAACTGACAGAGTTGAACCTTCCTTTAGACAGAGCAGATTTGAAAGTCTCTTTTTGTGGAATTTGCAAGTGGAGATTTCAAGCGCTTTGAGGCCAAAAGCAGAAAAGGAAATATTTTCCTATAAAAACTCGACAGAATCATTCTCAGAAACTGCTCTGTGATGTGTGCGTTCAACTCACAGAGTTTAACTTTTCTTTTCATTCAGCAGTTTGGAAACACTGTTTGGAAAGTCTGCACGTGGATATTTTGACCTCTTTGAGGCCTTCGTTGGAAACGGGTTTTTTTCATGTAAGGCTAGACAGAAGAAATCTCAGTAACTTCCTTGTGTTGTGTGTATTCAACTGACAGAGTTGAACCTTCCTTTAGACAGAGCAGATTCGAAACACTCTTTTTCTGCAATTTGCAAGTGGAGACTTCAAGCGCTTTGAGGCCAAAGGCAGAAAAGGAAATATCTTCGTATAAAAACCCGACAGAATCATTCTCAGAAACTGCTCTGTGATGTGTGCGTTCAACTCACAGAGTTTAACTTTTCTTTTCATTCAGCAGTTTGGAAACACTCTGTTTGTAAAGTCTGCAAGTGGATATCTTGGCCTCTTAGAGGCCTTCGTTGGAAACGGGTTTTTTCATGTAAGGATAGACAGAGGAATTCCCAGTAACTTCCTTGTGTTGTGTGCATTCAACTCACAGAGTTGAATGATTCTTTACACAGAGCAGATTTGAGACACTCTTTTGGTGGAATTTGTAAGTGGAGAATTCAGCCGCTTTGAGGTCAACGGTAGAAAAGGAAATATCTTCGTATAAAAACTAGACAGAATGATTCTCAGAAACTGTTTTGTGATGTGTGCGTTCAACTCACAGAGTTTAACCTTTCTTTTCAAAGAGCAGTTAGGAAACACTCTGTTTGTAAAGTCTGCAAGTGGATATTCAGACCTCTTTGAGGCCTTCGTTGGAAACGGGATTTCTTCATATTATGCTAGACAGATGAATTCTCAGTAACTTCCTTGTGTTGTGTGTATTCAACTCACAGAGTTGAACGATCCTTTACACAGAGCAGATTTGAAACACTGTTTTTCTGGAATTTGCAAGTGGAGATTTCAGCCGCTTTGAGGTCAATGGTAGAAAAGGAAATATCTTCGTATAAAAACTAGACAGAATGATTCTCAGAAACTCCTTTGTGATGTGTGCGTTCAACTCACAGAGTTTAACCTTTCTTTTCACAGAGCAGTTAGGAAACACTCTGTTTGTGAAGCCTGCCAGTGGATATTCGGACCTCTTTGAGGCCTTCGTTGGAAACGGGATTTCTTCATATTATGCTAGACAAAAGATTTCTCAGTAACTTCTTTGTGTTGTGTATATGCAACTCACAGAGTTCAACCTTCCTTTAGACAGAGCAGATTTGAAACACTCTTTTTGTGGAATTTGCAAGTGGAGATTTCAAGCGCTTCGATGCCAATGGTAGAAAAGGAAATATCTTCGTATAAAAACAAGACAAACTCGTTCCCAGACACTGCGTAGTGATGTGTGTGTTTAACTCACAGAGTTTCACCTTTCTTTTCATACAGCATTCTGGAAACCCTCTGTTTGTAAAGTCTGCAAGTGGATATTTGGATCTCTTAGATGCCTTCGTTGGAAACGGGATTTCTTCATATAATGCTAGAGGGAAGAATTCTTAGTAACTTCTTTGTGTTGTGTGTATTCAACTGACAGAGTTGAACCTTCCTTTAGACAGAGCAGATTTGAAAGTCTCTTTTTGTGGAATTTGCAAGTGGAGATTTCAAGCGCTTTGAGGCCAAAAGCAGAAAAGGAAATATTTTCCTATAAAAACTCGACAGAATCTTTCTCAGAAACTGCTCTGGGATGTGTGCGTTCAACTCACAGAGTTTAACTTTTCTTTTCATTCAGCAGTTTGGAAACACTCTGTTTGGAAAGTCTGCACGTGGATATTTTGACCTCTTTGAGGCCTTCGTTGGAAACGGGTTTTTTTCATGTAAGGCTAGACAGAAGAAATCTCAGTAACTTCCTTGTGTTGTGTGTATTCAACTGACAGAGTTGAACCTTCCTTTAGACAGAGCAGATTCGAAACACTCTTTTTCTGCAATTTGCAAGTGGAGACTTCAAGCGCTTTGAGGCCAAAGGCAGAAAAGGAAATATCTTCGTATAAAAACCCGACAGAATCATTCTCAGAAACTGCTCTGTGATGTGTGCGTTCAACTCACAGAGTTTAACTTTTCTTTTCATTCAGCAGTTTGGAAACACTCTGTTTGTAAAGTCTGCAAGTGGATATCTTGGCCTCTTAGAGGCCTTCGTTGGAAACGGGTTTTTTCATTTAAGGTTAGACAGAGGAATTCCCAGTAACTTCCTTGTGTTGTGTGCATTCAACTCACAGAGTTGAATGATTCTTTACACAGAGCAGATTTGAGACACTCTTTGGGTGGAATTTGTAAGTGGAGAATTCAGCCGCTTTGAGGTCAACGGTAGAAAAGGAAATATCTTCGTATAAAATCTAGACAGAATGATTCTCAGAAACTGTTTTTTGATGTGTGCGTTCAACTCACAGAGTTTAACCTTTCTTTTCAAAGAGCAGTTAGGAAACACTCTGTTTGTAAAGTCTGCAAGTGGATATTCAGACCTCTTTGAGGCCTTCGTTGGAAACGGGATTTCTTCATATTATGCTAGACAGATGAATTCTCAGTAACTTCCTTGTGTTGTGTGTATTCAACTCACAGAGTTGAACGATCCTTTACACAGAGCAGATTTGAAACACTGTTTTTCTGGAATTTGCAAGTGGAGATTTCAGCCGCTTTGAGGTCAATGGTAGAAAAGGAAATATCTTCGTATAAAAACTAGACAGAATGATTCTCAGAAACTCCTTTGTGATGTGTGCGTTCAACTCACAGGGTTTAACCTTTCTTTTCACAGAGCAGTTAGGAAACACTCTGTTTGTGAAGCCTGCCAGTGGATATTCGGACCTCTTTGAGGCCTTCGTTGGAAACGGGATTTCTTCATATTATGCTAGACAGAAGATTTCTCAGTAACTTCTTTGTGTTGTGTGTATGCAACTCACAGAGTTCAACCTTCCTTTAGACAGAGCAGATTTGAAACACTCTTTTTGTGGAATTTGCAAGTGGAGATTTCAAGCGCTTCGATGCCAATGGTAGAAAAGGAAATATCTTCGTATAAAAACAAGACAAACTCGTTCCCAGACACTGCGTAGTGATGTGTGTGTTTAACTCACAGAGTTTCACCTTTCTTTTCATACAGCATTCTGGAAACCCTCTGTTTGTAAAGTCTGCAAGTGGATATTTGGACCTCTTAGATGCCTTCGTTGCAAACGGGATTTCTTCATATAATGCTAGAGGGAAGAATTCTTAGTAACTTCTTTGTGTTGTGTGTATTCAACTGACAGAGTTGAACCTTCCTTTAGACAGAGCAGATTTGAAAGTCTCTTTTTGTGGAATTTGCAAGTGGAGATTTCAAGCGCTTTGAGGCCAAAAGCAGAAAAGGAAATATTTTCCTATAAAAACTCGACAGAATCTTTCTCAGAAACTGCTCTGGGATGTGTGCGTTCAACTCACAGAGTTTAACTTTTCTTTTCATTCAGCAGTTTGGAAACACTCTGTTTGGAAAGTCTGCACGTGGATATTTTGACCTCTTTGAGGCCTTCGTTGGAAACGGGTTTTTTTCATGTAAGGCTAGACAGAAGAAATCTCAGTAACTTCCTTGTGTTGTGTGTATTCAACTGACAGAGTTGAACCTTCCTTTAGACAGAGCAGATTCGAAACACTCTTTTTCTGCAATTTGCAAGTGGAGACTTCAAGCGCTTTGAGGCCAAAGGCAGAAAAGGAAATATCTTCGTATAAAAACCCGACAGAATCATTCTCAGAAACTGCTCTGTGATGTGTGCGTTCAACTCACAGAGTTTAACTTTTCTTTTCATTCAGCAGTTTGGAAACACTCTGTTTGTAAAGTCTGCAAGTGGATATCTTGGCCTCTTAGAGGCCTTCGTTGGAAACGGGTTTTTTCATGTAAGGTTAGACAGAGGAATTCCCAGTAACTTCCTTGTGTTGTGTGCATTCAACTCACAGAGTTGAATGATTCTTTACACAGAGCAGATTTGAGACACTGTTGGTGGAATTTGTAAGTGGAGAATTCAGCCGCTTTGAGGTCAATGGTAGAAAAGGAAATATCTTCGTATAAAAACTAGACAGAATGATTCTCAGAAACTGTTTTGTGATGTGTGCGTTCAACTCACAGAGTTTAACCTTTCTTTTCAAAGAGCAGTTAGGAAACACTCTGTTTGTAAAGTCTGCAAGCGGATATTCAGACCTCTTTGAGGCCTTCGTTGGAAACGGGATTTCTTCATATTATGCTAGACAGATGAATTCTCAGTAACTTCCTTGTGTTGTGTGTATTCAACTCACAGAGTTGAACGATCCTTTACACAGAGCAGATTTGAAACACTGTTTTTCTGGAATTTGCAAGTGGAGATTTCAGCCGCTTTGAGGTCAATGGTAGAAAAGGAAATATCTTCGTATAAAAACTAGACAGAATGATTCTCAGAAACTCCTTTGTGATGTGTGCGTTCAACTCACAGAGTTTAACCTGTCTTTTCACAGAGCAGTTAGGAAACACTCTGTTTGTGAAGCCTGCCAGTGGATATTCGGACCTCTTTGAGGCCTTCGTTGGAAACGGGATTTCTTCGTATTATGCTAGACAGAAGATTTCTCAGTAACTTCTTTGTGTTGTGTGTATGCAACTCACAGAGTTCAACCTTCCTTTAGACAGAGCAGATTTGAAACACTCTTTTTGTGGAATTTGCAAGTGGAGATTTCAAGCGCTTCGATGCCAATGGTAGAAAAGGAAATATCTTCGTATAAAAACAAGACAAACTCGTTCCCAGACACTGCGTAGTGATGTGTGTGTTTAACTCACAGAGTTTAACCTTTCTTTTCATACAGCATTCTGGAAACCCTCTGTTTGTAAAGTCTGCAAGTGGATATTTGGACCTCTTAGATGCCTTCGTTGCAAACGGGATTTCTTCATATAATGCTAGAGGGAAGAATTCTTAGTAACTTCTTTGTGTTGTGTGTATTCAACTGACAGAGTTGAACCTTCCTTTAGACAGAGCAGATTTGAAAGTCTCTTTTTGTGGAATTTGCAAGTGGAGATTTCAAGCGCTTTGAGGCCAAAAGCAGAAAAGGAAATATTTTCCTATAAAAACTAGACAGAATCATTCTCAGAAACTGCTCTGTGATGTGTGTGTTCAACTCACAGAGTTTAACTTTCTTTTCATTCAGCAGTTTGGAAACACTCTGTTTGGAAAGTCTGCACGTGGATATTTTGACCTCTTTGAGGCCTTCGTTGGAAACGGGTTTTTTTCATGTAAGGCTAGACAGAAGAAATCTCAGTAACTTCCTTGTGTTGTGTGTATTCAACTGACAGAGTTGAACCTTCCTTTAGACAGAGCAGATTCGAAACACTCTTTTTCTGCAATTTGCAAGTGGAGACTTCAAGCGCTTTGAGGCCAAAGGCAGAAAAGGAAATATCTTCGTATAAAAACCCGACAGAATCATTCTCAGAAACTGCTCTGTGATGTGTGCGTTCAACTCACAGAGTTTAACTTTTCTTTTCATTCAGCAGTTTGGAAACACTCTGTTTGTAAAGTCTGCAAGTGGATATCTTGGCCTCTTAGAGGCCTTCGTTGGAAACGGGTTTTTTCATGTAAGGTTAGACAGAGGAATTCCCAGTAACTTCCTTGTGTTGTGTGCATTCAACTCACAGAGTTGAATGATTCTTTACACAGAGCAGATTTGAGACACTCTTTGGGTGGAATTTGTAAGTGGAGAATTCAGCCGCTTTGAGGTCAACGGTAGAAAAGGAAATATCTTCGTATAAAAACTAGACAGAATGATTCTCAGAAACTGTTTTGTGATGTGTGCGTTCAACTCACAGAGTTTAACCTTTCTTTTCAAAGAGCAGTTAGGAAACACTCTGTAAAGTCTGCAAGTGGATATTCAGACCTGTTTGAGGCCTTCGTTGGAAACGGGATTTCTTCATATAATGCTAGAGGGAAGAATTCTTAGTAACTTCTTTGTGTTGTGTGTATTGAACTGACAGAGTTGAACCTTCCTTTAGACAGAGCAGATTTGAAAGTCTCTTTTTGTGGAATTTGCAAGTGGAGATTTCAAGCACTTTGAGGCCAAAAGCAGAAAAGGAAATATTTTCCTATAAAAACTAGAGAGAATCATTCTCAGAAACTGCTCTGTGATGTGTGTGTTCAACTCACAGAGTTTAACTTTCTTTTCATTCAGCAGTTTGGAAACACTCTGTTTGGAAAGTCTGCACGTGGATATTTTGACCTCTTTGAGGCCTTCGTTGGAAACGGGTTTTTTTCATGTAAGGCTAGACAGAAGAAATCTCAGTAACTTCCTTGTGTTGTGTGTATTCAACTGACAGAGTTGAACTTTCCTTTAGACAGAGCAGATTCGAAACGCTCTTTTTCTGCAATTTGCAAGTGGAGACTTCAAGCGCTTTGAGGCCAAAGGCAGAAAAGGAAATATCTTCGTATAAAAACCCGACAGAATCATTCTCAGAAACTGCTCTGTGATGTGTGCGTTCAACTCACAGATTTTAACTTTTCTTTTCATTCAGCAGTTTGGAAACACTCTGTTTGTAAAGTCTGCAAGTGGATATCTTGGCCTCTTAGAGGCCTTCGTTGGAAACGCGTTTTTTCATGTAAGGTTAGACAGAGGAATTCCCAGTAACTTCCTTGTGTTGTGTGCATTCAACTCACAGAGTTGAATGATTCTTTACACAGAGCAGATTTGAGACACACTTTTGGTGGAATTTGTAAGTGGAGAATTCAGCCGCTTTGAGGTCAACGGTAGAAAAGGAAATATCTTCGTATAAAAACTAGAAAGAATGATTCTCAGAAACTGTTTTGTGATGTGTGCGTTCAACTCACAGAGTTTAACCTTTCTTTTCAAAGAGCAGTTAGGAAACACTCTGTTTGTAAAGTCTGCAAGTGGATATTCAGACCTCTTTGAAGCCTTCGTTGGAAACGGGATTTCATCATATTATGCTAGACAGATGAATTCTCAGTAACTTCCTTGTGTTGTGTGTATTCAACTCACAGAGTTGAACGATCCTTTACACAGAGCAGATTTGAAACACTTTTTCTGGAATTTGCAAGTGGAGACTTCAGCCGCTTTGAGGTCAATGGTAGAAAAGGAAATATCTTCGTATAAAAACTGGACAGAATGATTCTCAGAAACTCCTTTGTGATGTGTGCGTTCAACTCACAGAGTTTAACCTTTCTTTTCACAGAGCAGTTAGGAAACACTCTGTTTGTGAAGCCTGCCAGTGGATATTCGGACCTCTTTGAGGCCTTCGTTGGAAACGGGATTTCTTCATATTTTGCTAGACAGAAGATTTCTCAGTAACTTCTTTGTGTTGTGTGTATGCAACTCACAGAGTTCAACCTTCCTTTAGACAGAGCAGATTTGAAACACTCTTTTTGTGGAATTTGCAAGTGGAAATTTCAAGCGCATCGATGCCAATGGTAGAAAAGGAAATATCTTCGTATAAAAACAAGACAAACTCGTTCCCAGACACTGCGTAGTGATGTGTGTGTTTAACTCACAGAGTTTAACCTTTCTTTTCATACAGCATTCTGGAAACCCTCTGTTTGTAAAGTCTGCAAGTGGATATTTGGACCTCTTAGATGCCTTCGTTGGAAACGGGATTTCTTCATATAATGCTAGAGGGAAGAATTCTTAGTAACTTCTTTGTGTTGTGTGTATTCAACTGACAGAGTTGAACCTTCCTTTAGACAGAGCAGATTTGAAAGTCTCTTTTTGTGGAATTTGCAAGTGGAGATTTCAAGCGCTTTGAGGCCAAAAGCAGAAAAGGAAATATTTTCCTATAAAAACTCGACAGACTCATTCTCAGAAACTGCTCTGTGATGTGTGCGTTCAACTCACAGAGTTTAACTTTTCTTTTCATTCAGCGGTTTGGAAACACTGTTTGGAAAGTCTGCACGTGGATATTTTGACCTCTTTGAGGCCTTCGTTGGAAACGGGTTTTTTTTATGTAAGGCTAGACAGAAGAAATCTCAGTAACTTCCTTGTGTTGTGTGTATTCAACTGACAGAGTTGAACCTTCCTTTAGACAGAGCAGATTCGAAACACTCTTTTTCTGCAATTTGCAAGTGGAGACTTCAAGCGCTTTGAGGCCAAAGGCAGAAAAGGAAATATCTTCGTATAAAAACCCGACAGAATCATTCTCAGAAACTGCTCTGTGATGTGTGCGTTCAACTCACAGAGTTTAACTTTTCTTTTCATTCAGCAGTTTGGAAACACTCTGTTTGTAAAGTCTGCAAGTGGATATCTTGGCCTCTTAGAGGCCTTCGTTGGAAACGCGTTTTTTCATGTAAGGTTAGACAGAGGAATTCCCAGTAACTTCCTTGTGTTGTGTGCATTCAACTCACAGAGTTGAATGATTCTTTACACAGAGCTGATTTGAGACACACTTTTGGTGGAATTTGTAAGTGGAGAATTCAGACGCTTTGAGGTCAACGGTAGAAAAGGAAATATCTTCGTATAAAAACTAGAAAGAATGATTCTCAGAAACTGTTTTGTGATGTGTGCGTTCAACTCAAAGAGTTTAACCTTTGTTTTCAAAGAGCAGTTAGGAAACACTCTGTTTGTAAAGTCTGCAAGTGGATATTCAGACCTCTTTGAAGCCTTCGTTGGAAACGGGATTTCTTCATATTATGCTAGACAGATGAATTCTCAGTAACTTCCTTGTGTTGTGTGTATTCAACTCACAGAGTTGAACGATCCTTTACACAGAGCAGATTTGAAACACTGTTTTTCTGGAATTTGCAAGTGGAGATTTCAGCCGCTTTGAGGTCAATGGTAGAAAAGGAAATATCTTCGTATAAAAACTAGACAGAATGATTCTCAGAAACTCCTTTGTGATGTGTGCGTTCAACTCACAGAGTTTAACCTTTCTTTTCACAGAGCAGTTAGGAAACACTCTGTTTGTGAAGCCTGCCAGTGGATATGCGGACCTCTTTGAGGCCTTCGTTGGAAACGGGATTTCTTCATATTATGCTAGACAGAAGATTTCTCAGTAACTTCTTTGTGTTGTGTGTATGCAACTCACAGAGTTCAACCTTCCTTTAGACAGAGCAGATTTGAAACACTCTTTTTGTGGAATTTGCAAGTGGAGATTTCAAGCGCTTCGATGCCAATGGTAGAAAAGGAAATATTCTTCGTATAAAAACAAGACAAACTCGTTCTCCAGACACTGCGTAGTGATGTGTGTGTTTAACTCACAGAGTTTCACCTTTCTTTTCATACAGCATTCTGGAAACCCTGTGTTTGTAAAGTCTGCAAGTGGATATTTGGACCTCTTAGATGCCTTCGTTGGAAACGGGATTTCTTCATATAATGCTAGAGGGACGAATTCTTAGTAACTTCTTTGTGTTGTGTGTATTCAACTGACAGAGTTGAACCTTCCTTTAGACAGAGCAGATTTGAAAGTCTCTTTTTGTGGAATTTGCAAGTGGAGATTTCAAGCGCTTTGAGGCCAAAAGCAGAAAAGGAAATATTTTCCTATAAAAACTCGACAGAATCTTTCTCAGAAACTGCTCTGGGATGTGTGCGTTCAACTCACAGAGTTTAACTTTTCATTCAGCAGTTTGGAAACACTCTGTTTGGAAAGTCTGCACGTGGATATTTTGACCTCTTTGAGGCCTTCGTTGGAAACGGGTTTTTTTCATGTAAGGCTAGACAGAAGAAATCTCAGTAACTTCCTTGTGTTGTGTGTATTCAACTGACAGAGTTGAACCTTCCTTTAGACAGAGCAGATTCGAAACACTCTTTTTCTGCAATTTGCAAGTGGAGACTTCAAGCGCTTTGAGGCCAAAGGCAGAAAAGGAAATATCTTCGTATAAAAACCCGACAGAATCATTCTCAGTAACTGCTCTGTGATGTGTGCGTTCAACTCACAGAGTTTAACTTTTCTTTTCATTCAGCAGTTTGGAAACACTCTGTTTGTAAAGTCTGCAAGTGGATATCTTGGCCTCTTAGAGGCCTTCGTTGGAAACGGGTTTTTTCATGTAAGGATAGACAGAGGAATTCCCAGTAACTTCCTTGTGTTGTGTGCATTCAACTCACAGAGTTGAATGATTCTTTACACAGAGCAGATTTGAGACACTCTTTTGGTGGAATTTGTAAGTGGAGAATTCAGCCGCTTTGAGGTCAACGGTAGAAAAGGAAATATCTTCGTATAAAAACTAGACAGAATGATTCTCAGAAACTGTTTTGTGATGTGTGCTTTCAACTCACAGAGTTTAACCTTTCTTTTCAAAGAGCAGTTAGGAAACACTCTGTTTGTAAAGTCTGCAAGTGGATATTCAGACCTCTTTGAGGCCTTCGTTGGAAACGGGATTTCTTCATATTATGCTAGACAGATGAATTCTCAGTAACTTCCTTGTGTTGTGTGTATTCAACTCACAGAGTTGAACGATCCTTTACACAGAGCAGATTTGAAACACTGTTTTTCTGGAATTTGCAAGTGGAGATTTCAGCCGCTTTGAGGTCAATGGTAGAAAAGGAAATATCTTCGTATAAAAACTAGACAGAATGATTCTCAGAAACTCCTTTGTGATGTGTGCGTTCAACTCACAGAGTTTAACCTTTCTTTTCACAGAGCAGTTAGGAAACACTCTGTTTGTGAAGCCTGCCAGTGGATATTCGGACCTCTTTGAGGCCTTTGTTGGAAACGGGATTTCTTCATATTATGCTAGACAGAAGATTTCTCAGTAACTTCTTTGTGTTGTGTGTATGCAACTCACAGAGTTCAACCTTCCTTTAGACAGAGCAGATTTGAAACACTCTTTTTGTGGAATTTGCAAGTGGAGATTTCAAGCGCTTCGATGCCAATGGTAGAAAAGGAAATATCTTCGTATAAAAACAAGACAAACTCGTTCCCAGACACTGCGTAGTGATGTGTGTGTTTAACTCACAGAGTTTCACCTTTCTTTTCATACAGCCTTCTGGAAACCCTCTGTTTGTAAAGTCTGCAAGTGGATATTTGGACCTCTTAGATGCCTTCGTTGCAAACGGGATTTCTTCATATAATGCTAGAGGGAAGAATTCTTAGTAACTTCTTTGTGTTGTGTGTATTCAACTGACAGAGTTGAACCTTCCTTTAGACAGAGCAGATTTGAAAGTCTCTTTTTGTGGAATTTGCAAGTGGAGATTTCAAGCGCTTTGAGGCCAAAAGCAGAAAAGGAAATATTTTCCTATAAAAACTAGACAGAATCTTTCTCAGAAACTGCTCTGTGATGTGTGCGTTCAACTCACAGAGTTTAACTTTTCTTTTCATTCAGCAGTTTGGAAACACTCTGTTTGGAAAGTCTGCACGTGGATATTTTGACCTCTTTGAGGCCTTCGTTGGAAACGGGTTTTTTTCATGTAAGGCTAGACAGAAGAAATCTCAGTAACTTCCTTGTGTTGTGTGTATTCAACTGACAGAGTTGAACCTTCCTTTAGACAGAGCAGATTCGAAACACTCTTTTTCTGCAATTTGCAAGTGGAGATTTCAAGCGCTTTGAGGCCAAAGGCAGAAAAGGAAATATCTTCGTATAAAAACCCGACAGAATCATTCTCAGAAACTGCTCTGTGATGTGTGCGTTCAACTCACAGAGTTTAACTTTTCTTTTCATTCAGCAGTTTGGAAACACTCTGTTTGTAAAGTCTGCAAGTGGATATCTTGGCCTCTTAGAGGCCTTCGTTGGAAACGGGTTTTTTCATGTAAGGTTAGACAGAGGAATTCCCAGTAACTTCCTTGTGTTGTGTGCATTCAACTCACAGAGTTGAATGATTCTTTACACAGAGCAGATTTGAGACACTCTTTTGGTGGAATTTGTAAGTGGAGAATTCAGCCGCTTTGAGGTCAACGGTAGAAAAGGAAATATCTTCGTATAAAAACTAGACAGAATGATTCTCAGAAACTGTTTTGTGATGTGTGCGTTCAACTCACAGAGTTTAACCTTTCTTTTCAGAGAGCAGTTAGGAAACACTCTGTTTGTAAAGTCTGCAAGTGGATATTCAGACCTCTTTGAGGCCTTCGTTGGAAACGGGATTTCTTCATATTATGCTAGACAGATGAATTCTCAGTAACTTCCTTGTGTTGTGTGTATTCAACTCACAGAGTTAAACGATCTTTTACACACAGCAGATTTGAAACACTGTTTTTCTGGAATTTGCAAGTGGAGATTTCAGCCGATTTGAGGTCAATGGTAGAAAAGGAAATATCTTCGTATAAAAACTAGACAGAGAATGATTCTCAGAAACTCCTTTGTGATGTGTGCGTTCAACTCACAGAGTTTAACCTTTCTTTTCACAGAGCAGTTAGGAAACACTCTGTTTGTGAAGCCTGCCAGTGGATATTCGGACCTCTTTGAGGCCTTCGTTGGAAACGGGATTTCTTCATATTATGCTATTCAGAAGATTTCTCAGTAACTTCTTTGTGTTGTGTGTATGCAACTCACAGAGTTCAACCTTCCTTTAGACAGAGCAGATTTGAAACACTCTTTTTGTGGAATTTGCAAGTGGAGATTTCAAGCGCTTCGATGCCAATGGTAGAAAAGGAAATATCTTCGTATAAAAACAAGACAAACTCGTTCCCAGACACTGCGTAGTGATGTGTGTGTTTAACTCACAGAGTTTAACCTTTCTTTTCATACAGCATTCTGGAAACCCTGTGTTTGTAAAGTCTGCAAGTGGATATTTGGACCTCTTAGATGCCTTCGTTGGAAACGGGATTTCTTCATATAATGCTAGAGGGAAGAATTCTTAGTAACTTCTTTGTGTTCTGTGTATTCAACTGACAGAGTTGAACCTTCCTTTAGACAGAGCAGATTTGAAAGTCTCTTTCTGTGGAATTTGCAAGTGGAGATTTCAAGCGCTTTGAGGCCAAAAGCAGAAAAGGAAATATTTTCCTATAAAAACTAGACAGAATCTTTCTCAGAAACTGCTCTGGGATGTGTGCGTTCAACTCACAGAGTTTAACTTTTCTTTTCATTCAGCAGTTTGGAAACACTCTGTTTGGAAAGTCTGCACGTGGATATTTTGACCTCTTTGAGGCCTTCGTTGGAAACGGGTTTTTTTCATGTAAGGCTAGACAGAAGAAATCTCAGTAACTTCCTTGTGTTGTGTGTATTCAACTGACAGAGTTGAACCTTCCTTTAGACAGAGCAGATTCGAAACACTCTTTTTCTGCAATTTGCAAGTGGAGACTTCAAGCGCTTTGAGGCCAAAGGCAGAAAAGGAAATATCTTCGTATAAAAACCCGACAGAATCTTTCTCAGAAACTGCTCTGTGATGTGTGCGTTCAACTCACAGAGTTTAACTTTTCTTTTCATTCAGCAGTTTGGAAACACTGTGTTTGTAAAGTCTGCAAGTGGATATCTTGGCCTCTTAGAGGCCTTCGTTGGAAAAGGGTTTTTTCATGTAAGGATAGACAGAGGAATTCCCAGTAACTTCCTTGTGTTGTGTGCATTCAACTCACAGAGTTGAATGATTCTTTACACAGAGCAGATTTGAGACACTCTTTTGGTGGAATTTGTAAGTGGAGAATTCAGCTGCTTTGAGGTCAACGGTAGAAAAGGAAATATCTTCGTATAAAAACTAGACAGAATGATTCTCAGAAACTGTTTTGTGATGTGTGCGTTCAACTCACAGAGTTTAACCTTTCTTTTCAAAGAGCAGTTAGGAAACACTCTGTTTGTAAAGTCTGCAAGTGGATATTGAGACCTCTTTGAGGCCTTCGTTGGAAACGGGATTTCTTCATATTATGCTAGACAGAAGAATTCTCAGTAACTTCCGTGTGTTGTGTGTATTCAACTCACAGAGTTGAACGATCCTTTACACAGAGCAGATTTGAGACACTCTTTTTGTGGAATTTGTAAGTGGAGATTTCAGTCGCTTTGAGCTCAATGGTAGAAAAGGAAATATCTTCGTATAAAAACTACCCAAAATGATTCTCAGAAACTGCTTTGTGATGTGCCCGTCCAACTCACAGAGTTTAACCTTTCTTTTCATAGAGCAGTTAAGAAACCCTCTGTTTGTAAAGTCTGCAAGTGGATATTCAGACCTCTTTGAGGCCTTTGTTCGAAACGGGATTTCTTCAATTTATGCTAGACAGAAGAATTCTTAGTAACTTCCTTGTGTTGTGTGTATTGAACTCACAGAGTAGAACCATCCTTTACACAGAGCAGATCTGAAACACTCTTTTTGTGGAATTTGCAAGTGGAGATTTCAGCCACCTTGAGGTCAATGGTAGAAAAGGAAATATCTTCGTATAAAAACTAGACGGAATGATTCTCAGAAACTGTTTTGTGATGTGTGCGTTCAACTCACAGAGTTTAACCTTTCTTTTCATAGAGCAGTTAGGAAACACTCTGTTTGTGAAGCCTGCCAGTGGATATTCGGACCTCTTTGAGGCCTTCGTTGGAAACGGGATTTCTTCATATTATGCTAGACAGAAGATTTCTCAGTTACTTCTTTGTGTTGTGTGTATGCAACTCACAGAGTTCAACCTTCCTTTAGACAGAGCAGATTTGAAACACTCTTTTTGTGGAATTTGCAAGTGGAGATTTCAAGCGCTTCGATGCCATTAGTAGAAAAGGAAATAGCTTCGTACAAAAACAAGACAAACTCGTTCCCAGACACTGCGTAGTGATGTGTGTGTTTAACTCACAGAGTTTAACCTTTCTTTTCATACAGCATTCTGGAAACCCTCTGTTTGTAAAGTCTGCAAGTGGATATTTGGACCTCTTAGATGCCTTCGTTGGAAACGGCATTTCTTCATATAATGCTAGAGGGAAGAATTCTTAGTAACTTCTTTGTGTTGTGTGTATTCAACTGACAGAGTTGAACTTCCTTTAGACAGAGCAGATTTGAAAGTCTCTTTTTGTGGAATTTGCAAGTGGAGATTTCAAGCGCTTTGAGGCCAAAAGCAGAAAAGGAAATATTTTCCTATAAAAATTAGACAGAATCATTCTCAGAAACTGCTCTGTGAAGTGTGCGTTTAACTCACAGAGTTTAACTTTTCTTTTCATTCAGCAGTTTGGAAACACTCTGTTTGTAAAGTCTGCACGTGGATATTTTGACCTCTTTGAGGCCTTCATTGGAAATGGGTTTTTTTCCTGTAAGGCTAGACAGAAGAAATCTCAGTAACTTCCTTGTGTTGTGTGTATTCAACTGACAGAGTTAAACATTCCTTTAGACAGAGAAGATTCGAAACACTCTTTTTCTGCAATTTGCAAGTGGAGACTTCAAGAGCATTTGAGGCCAAAGGCAGAAAAGGAAATATCTTCGTATAAAAACCAGACAGAATCATTCTCAGAAACTCCTCTGTGATGTGTGCGTTCAACTCACAGAGTTTAACTTTTCTATTCATTCAGCAGTTTGGAAACACTCTGTTTGTGAAGTCTGCAAGTGGATATATTGGCTTCTTTGAGGCCTTCGTTGGAAACGAGTTTTTTTCATGTAAGGCTAGACAGAGGAATTCCCAGTAACTTCCCTTGTGTTGTGTGCATTCAACTCACAGATTTGAATGATTCTTTCCACAGAGCAGATTTGAGACACTCTTTTGTTAGAATTTGTAAGTGGAGAAATCAGCAGCTTTGAGGTCAATGGTAGAAAAGGAAATATCTTCGTATAAAAACTAGACAGAATGATTCTCAGAAACTGTTTTGTGATGTGTGCGTTCAACTCACAGAGTTTAACCTTTCTTTTCAAAGATCAGTTAGGAAACACTCTGTTTGTAAAGTCTGCAAGTGGATATTCAGACCTCTTTGAGGCCTTCGTTGGAAACGGGATTTCTTCATATTATGCTAGACAGATGAATTCTCAGTAACTTCCTTGTGTTGTGTGTATTCAACTCACAGAGTTGAACGATCCTTTACACAGAGCAGATTTGAAACACTGTTTTTCTGGAATTTGCAAGTGGAGATTTCAGCCGCTTTGAGGTCAATGGTAGAAAAGGAAATATCTTCGTATAAAAACTAGACAGAATGATTCTCAGAAACTCCTTTGTGATGTGTGCGTTCAACTCACAGAGTTTAACCTTTCTTTTCACAGAGCAGTTAGGAAACACTCTGTTTGTGAAGCCTGCCAGTGGATATTCGGACCTCTTTGAGGCCTTCGTTGGAAACGGGATTTCTTCGTATTATGCTAGACAGAAGATTTCTCAGTAACTTCTTTGTGTTGTGTGTATGCAACTCACAGAGTTCAACCTTCCTTTAGACAGAGCAGATTTGAAACACTCTTTTTGTGGAATTTGCAAGTGGAGATTTCAAGCGCTTCGATGCCAATGGTAGAGAAGGAAATATCTTCGTATAAAAACAAGACAAACTCGTTCCCAGACACTGCGTAGTGATGTGTGTGTTTAACTCACAGAGTTTAACCTTTCTTTTCATACAGCATTCTGGAAACCCTCTGTTTGTAAAGTCTGCAAGTGGATATTTGGACCTCTTAGATGCCTTCGTTGGAAACGGGATTTCTTCATATAATGCTAGAGGGAAGAATTCTTAGTAACTTCTTTGTGTTGTGTGTATTCAACTGACAGAGTTGAACCTTCCTTTAGACAGAGCAGATTTGAAAGTCTCTTTTTGTGGAATTTGCAAGTGGAGATTTCAAGCGCTTTGAGGCCAAAAGCAGAAAAGGAAATATTTTCCTATAAAAACTAGACAGAATCATTCTCAGAAACTGCTCTGTGATGTGTGTGTTCAACTCACAGAGTTTAACTTTCTTTTCATTCAGCAGTTTGGAAACACTCTGTTTGGAAAGTCTGCACGTGGATATTTTGACCTCTTTGAGGCCTTCGTTGGAAACGGGTTTTTTCATATAAGGCTAGACAGAAGAAATCTCAGTAACTTCCTTGTGTTGTGTGTATTCAACTGACAGAGTTGAACCTTCCTTTAGACAGAGCAGATTCGAAACACTCTTTTTCTGCAATTTCCAAGTGGAGACTTCAAGCGCTTTGAGGCCAAAGGCAGAAAAGGAAATATCTTCGTATAAAAACCCGACAGAATCATTCTCAGAAACTGCTCTGTGATGTGTGCGTTCAACTCACAGAGTTTAACTTTTCTTTTCATTCAGCAGTTTGGAAACACTCTGTTTGTAAAGTCTGCAAGTGGATATCTTGGCCTCTTAGATGCCTTCGTTGGAAACGGTTTTTTTCATGTAAGGTTAGACAGAGGAATTCCCAGTAACTTCCTTGTGTTGTGTGCATTCAACTCACAGAGTTGAATGATTCTTTACACAGAGCAGATTTGAGACACTCTTTTGGTGGAATTTGTAAGTGGAGAATTCAGCCGCTTTGAGGTCAACGGTAGAAAAGGAAATATCTTCGTATAAAAACTAGACAGAATGATTCTCAGAAACTGTTTTGTGATGTGTGCGTTCAACTCACAGAGTTTAACCTTTCTTTTCAAAGAGCAGTTAGGAAACACTCTGTTTGTAAAGTCTGCAAGTGGATATTCAGACCTCTTTGAGGCCTTCGTTGGAAACGGGATTTCTTCATATTATGCTAGACAGATGAATTCTCAGTAACTTCCTTGTGTTGTGTGTATTCAACTCACAGAGTTGAACGATCCTTTACACAGAGCAGATTTGAAACACTGTTTTTCTGGAATTTGCAAGTGGAGATTTCAGCCGCTTTGAGGTCAATGGTAGAAAAGGAAATATCTTCGTATAAAAACTAGACAGAATGATTCTCAGAAACTCCTTTGTGATGTGTGCGTTCAACTCACAGAGTTTAACCTTTCTTTTCACAGAGCAGTTAGGAAACACTCTGTTTGTGAAGCCTGCCAGTGGATATTCGGACCTCTTTGAGGCCTTCGTTGGAAACGGGATTTCTTCATATTATGCTAGACAGAAGATTTCTCAGTAACTACTTTGTGTTGTGTGTATGCAACTCACAGAGTTCAACCTTCCTTTAGACAGAGCAGATTTGAAACACTCTTTTTGTGGAATTTGCAAGTGGAGATTTCAAGCGCTTCGATGCCAATGGTAGAAAAGGAAATATCTTCGTATAAAAACAAGACAAACTCGTTCCCAGACACTGCGTAGTGATGTGTGTGTTTAACTCACAGAGTTTAACCTTTCTTTTCATACAGCATTCTGGAAACCCTGTGTTTGTAAAGTCTGCAAGTGGATATTTGGACCTCTTAGATGCCTTCGTTGGAAACGGGATTTCTTCATATAATGCTAGAGGGAAGAATTCTTAGTAACTTCTTTGTGTTGTGTGTATTCAACTGACAGAGTTGAACCTTCCTTTAGACAGAGCAGATTTGAAAGTCTCTTTTTGTGGAATTTGCAAGTGGAGATTTCAAGCGCTTTGAGGCCAAAAGCAGAAAAGGAAATATTTTCCTATAAAAACTAGACAGAATCTTTCTCAGAAACTGCTCTGGGATGTGTGCGTTCAACTCACAGAGTTTAACTTTTCTTTTCATTCAGCAGTTTGGAAACACTCTGTTTGGAAAGTCTGCACGTGGATATTTTGACCTCTTTGAGGCCTTCGTTGGAAACGGGTTTTTTTCATGTAAGGCTAGACAGAAGAAATCTCAGTAACTTCCTTGTGTTGTGTGTATTCAACTGACAGAGTTGAACCTTCCTTTAGACAGAGCAGATTCGAAACACTCTTTTTCTGCAATTTGCAAGTGGAGACTTCAAGCGCTTTGAGGCCAAAGGCAGAAAAGGAAATATCTTCGTATAAAAACCCGACAGAATCATTCTCAGAAACTGCTCTGTGATGTGTGCGTTCAACTCACAGAGTTTAACTTTTCTTTTCATTCAGCAGTTTGGAAACACTCTGTTTGTAAAGTCTGCAAGTGGATATCTTGGCCTCTTAGAGGCCTTCGTTGGAAACGGGTTTTTTCATTTAAGGTTAGACAGAGGAATTCCCAGTAACTTCCTTGTGTTGTGTGCATTCAACTCACAGAGTTGAATGATTCTTTACACAGAGCAGATTTGAGACACTCTTTTGGTGGAATTTGTAAGTGGAGAATTCAGCCGCTTTGAGGTCAACGGTAGAAAAGGAAATATCTTCGTATAAAAACTAGACAGAATGATTCTCAGAAACTGTTTTGTGATGTGTGCGTTCAACTCACAGAGTTTAACCTTTCTTTTCAAAGAGCAGTTAGGAAACACTCTGTTTGTAAAGTCTGCAAGTGGATATTCAGACCTCTTTGAGGCCTTCGTTGGAAACGGGATTTCTTCATATTATGCTAGACAGATGAATTCTCAGTAACTTCCTTGTGTTGTGTGTATTCAACTCACAGAGTTGAACGATCCTTTACACAGAGCAGATTTGAAACACTGTTTTTCTGGAATTTGCAAGTGGAGATTTCAGCCGCTTTGAGGTCAATGGTAGAAAAGGAAATATCTTCGTATAAAAACTAGACAGAATGATTCTCAGAAACTCCTTTGTGATGTGTGCGTTCAACTCACAGAGTTTAACCTTTCTTTTCACAGAGCAGTTAGGAAACACTCTGTTTGTGAAGCCTGCCAGTGGATATTCGGACCTCTTTGAGGCCTTCGTTGGAAACGGGATTTCTTCATATTATGCTAGACAGAAGATTTCTCAGTAACTTCTTTGTGTTGTGTGTATGCAACTCACAGAGTTCAACCTTCCTTTAGACAGAGCAGATTTGAAACACTCTTTTTGTGGAATTTGCAAGTGGAGATTTCAAGCGCTTCGATGCCAATGGTAGAAAAGGAAATATCTTCGTATAAAAACAAGACAAACTCGTTCCCAGACACTGCGTAGTGATGTGTGTGTTTAACTCACAGAGTTTAACCTTTCTTTTCATACAGCATTCTGGAAACCCTGTGTTTGTAAAGTCTGCAAGTGGATATTTGGACCTCTTAGATGCCTTCGTTGGAAACGGGATTTCTTCATATAATGCTAGAGGGAAGAATTCTTAGTAACTTCTTTGTGTTGTGTGTATTCAACTGACAGAGTTGAACCTTCCTTTAGACAGAGCAGATTTGAAAGTCTCTTTTTGTGGAATTTGCAAGTGGAGATTTCAAGCGCTTTGAGGCCAAAAGCAGAAAAGGAAGTATTTTCCTATAAAAACTCGACAGAATCTTTCTCAGAAACTGCTCTGGGACGTGTGCGTTCAACTCACAGAGTTTAACTTTTCTTTTCATTCAGCAGTTTGGAAACACTCTGTTTGGAAAGTCTGCACGTGGATATTTTGACCTCTTTGAGGCCTTTGTTGGAAACGGGTTTTTTTCATGTAAGGCTAGACAGAAGAAATCTCAGTAACTTCCTTGTGTTGTGTGTATTCAACTGACAGAGTTGAACCTTCCTTTAGACAGAGCAGATTCGAAACACTCTTTTTCTGCAATTTGCAAGTGGAGACTTCAAGCGCTTTGAGGCCAAAGGCAGAAAAGGAAATATCTTCGTATAAAAACCCGACAGAATCATTCTCAGAAACTGCTCTGTGATGTGTGCGTTCAACTCACAGAGTTTAACTTTTCTTTTCATTCAGCAGTTTGGAAACACTCTGTTTGTAAAGTCTGCAAGTGGATATCTTGGCCTCTTAGAGGCCTTCGTTGGAAACGGGTTTTTTCATGTAAGGATAGACAGAGGAATTCCCAGTAACTTCCTTGTGTTGTGTGCATTCAACTCACAGAGTTGAACGATTCTTTACACAGAGCAGATTTGAGACACTCTTTTGGTGGAATTTGTAAGTGGAGAATTCAGCCGCTTTGAGGTCAACGGTAGAAAAGGAAATATCTTCGTATAAAAACTAGACAGAATGATTCTCAGAAACTGTTTTGTGATGTGTGCGTTCAACTCACAGAGTTTAACCTTTCTTTTCAGAGAGCAGTTAGGAAACACTCTGTAAAGTCTGCAAGTGGATATTCAGACCTCTTTGAGGCCTTCGTTGGAAACGGGATTTCTTCATATTATGCTAGACAGATGAATTCTCAGTAACTTCCTTGTGTTGTGTGTATTCAACTCACAGAGTTGAACGATCCTTTACACAGAGCAGATTTGAAACACTGTTTTTCTGGAATTTGCAAGTGGAGATTTCAGCCGCTTTGAGGTCAATGGTAGAAAAGGAAATATCTTCGTATAAAAACTAGACAGAATGATTCTCAGAAACTCCTTTGTGATGTGTGCGTTCAACTCACAGAGTTTAACCTTTCTTTTCACAGAGCAGTTAGGAAACACTCTGTTTGTGAAGCCTGCCAGTGGATATTCGGACCTCTTTCAGGCCTTCGTTGGAAACGGGATTTCTTCATATTATGCTAGACAGAAGATTTCTCAGTAACTTCTTTGTGTTGTGTGTATGCAACTCACAGAGTTCAACCTTCCTTTAGACAGAGCAGATTTGAAACACTCTTTTTGTGGAATTTGCAAGTGGAGATTTCAAGCGCTTCGATGCCAATGGTAGAAAAGGAAATATCTTCGTATAAAAACAAGACAACTCGTTCCCAGACACTGCGTAGTGATGTGTGTGTTTAACTCACAGAGTTTTAACCTTTCTTTTCATACAGCATTCTGGAAACCCTGTGTTTGTAAAGTCTGCAAGTGGATATTTGGACCTCTTAGATGCCTTCGTTGGAAACGGGATTTCTTCATATAATGCTAGAGGGAAGAATTCTTAGTAACTTCTTTGTGTTGTGTGTATTCAACTGACAGAGTTGAACCTTCCTTTAGACAGAGCAGATTTGAAAGTCTCTTTTTGTGGAATTTGCAAGTGGAGATTTCAAGCGCTTTGAGGCCAAAAGCAGAAAAGGAAATATTTTCCTATAAAAACTCGACAGAATCTTTCTCAGAAACTGCTCTGGGATGTGTGCGTTCAACTCACAGAGTTTAACTTTTCTTTTCATTCAGCAGTTTGGAAACACTCTGTTTGGAAAGTCTGCACGTGGATATTTTGACCTCTTTGAGGCCTTCGTTGGAAACGGGTTTTTTTCATGTAAGGCTAGACAGAAGAAATCTCAGTAAATTCCCTTGTGTTGTGTGTATTCAACTGACAGAGTTGAACCTTCCTTTAGACAGAGCAGATTCGAAACACTCTTTTTCTGCAATTTGCAAGTGGAGACTTCAAGCGCTTTGAGGCCAAAGGCAGAAAAGGAAATATCTTCGTATAAAAACCCGACAGAATCATTCTCAGAAACTGCTCTGTGATGTGTGCGTTCAACTCACAGAGTTTAACTTTTCTTTTCATTCAGCAGTTTGGAAACACTCTGTTTGTAAAGTCTGCAAGTGGATATCTTGGCCTCTTAGAGGCCTTCGTTGGAAGCGGGTTTTTTCATGTAAGGTTAGACAGAGGAATTCCCACTAACTTCCTTGTGTTGTGTGCATTCAACTCACAGAGTTGAATGATTCTTTACACAGAGCAGATTTGAGACACTCTTTTGGTGGAATTTGTAAGTGGAGAATTCAGCCGCTTTGATGTCAACGGTAGAAAAGGAAATATCTTCGTATAAAAACTAGACAGAATGATTCTCAGAAACTGTTTTGTGATGTGTGCTTTCAACTCACAGAGTTTAACCTTTCTTTTCAAAGAGCAGTTAGGAAACACTCTGTTTGTAAAGTCTGCAAGTGGATATTCAGACCTCTTTGAGGCCTTCGTTGGAAACGGGATTTCTTCATATTATGCTAGACAGATGAATTCTCAGTAACTTCCTTGTGTTGTGTGTATTCAACTCACAGAGTTGAACGATCCTTTACACAGAGCAGATTTGAAACACTGTTTTTCTGGAATTTGCAAGTGGAGATTTCAGCCGCTTTGAGGTCAATGGTAGAAAAGGAAATATCTTCGTATAAAAACTAGACAGAATGATTCTCAGAAACTCCTTTGTGATGTGTGCGTTCAACTCACAGAGTTTAACCTTTCTTTTCACAGAGCAGTTAGGAAACACTCTGTTTGTGAAGCCTGCCAGTGGATATTCGGACCTCTTTGAGGCCTTCGTTGGAAACGGGATTTCTTCATATTATGCTAGACAGAAGATTTCTCAGTAACTTCTTTGTGTTGTGTGTATGCAACTCACAGAGTTCAACCTTCCTTTAGACAGAGCAGATTTGAAACACTCTTTTTGTGGAATTTGCAAGTGGAGATTTCAAGCGCTTCGATGCCAATGGTAGAAAAGGAAATATCTTCGTATAAAAACAAGACAAACTCGTTCCCAGACACTGCGTAGTGATGTGTGTGTTTAACTCACAGAGTTTAACCTTTCTTTTCATACAGCATTCTGGAAACCCTGTGTTTGTAAAGTCTGCAAGTGGATATTTGGACCTCTTAGATGCCTTCGTTGGAAACGGGATTTCTTCATATAATGCTAGAGGGAAGAATTCTTAGTAACTTCTTTGTGTTGTGTGTATTCAACTGACAGAGTTGAACCTTCCTTTAGACAGAGCAGATTTGAAAGTCTCTTTTTGTGGAATTTGCAAGTGGAGATTTCAAGCGCTTTGAGGCCAAAAGCAGAAAAGGAAATATTTTCCTATAAAAACTCGACAGAATCTTTCTCAGAAACTGCTCTGGGATGTGTGCGTTCAACTCACAGAGTTTAACTTTTCTTTCCATTCAGCAGTTTGGAAACACTCTGTTTGGAAAGTCTGCACGTGGATATTTTGACCTCTTTGAGGCCTTCGTTGGAAACGGGTTTTTTTCATGTAAGGCTAGACAGAAGAAATCTCAGTAACTTCCTTGTGTTGTGTGTATTCAACTGACAGAGTTGAACCTTCCTTTAGACAGAGCAGATTCGAAACACTCTTTTTCTGCAATTTGCAAGTGGAGACTTCAAGCGCTTTGAGGCCAAAGGCAGAAAAGGAAATATCTTCGTATAAAAACCCGACAGAATCATTCTCAGAAACTGCTCTGTGATGTGTGCGTTCAACTCACAGAGTTTAACTTTTCTTTTCATTCAGCAGTTTGGAAACACTCTGTTTGTAAAGTCTGCAAGTGGATATCTTGGCCTCTTAGAGGCCTTCGTTGGAAACGGGTTTTTTCATGTAAGGATAGACACAGGAATTCCCAGTAACTTCCTTGTGTTGTGTGCATTCAACTCACAGAGTTGAATGATTCTTTACACAGAGCAGATTTGAGACACTCTTTTGGTGGAATTTGTAAGTGGAGAATTCAGCCGCTTTGAGGTCAACGGTAGAAAAGGAAATATCTTCGTATAAAAACTAGACAGAATGATTCTCAGAAACTGTTTTGTGATGTGTGCGTTCAACTCACAGAGTTTAACCTTTCTTTTCAGAGAGCAGTCAGGAAACACTCTGTTTGTAAAGTCTGCAAGTGGATATTCAGACCTCTTTGAGGCCTTCGTTGGAAACGGGATTTCTTCATATTATGCTAGACAGATCGAATTCTCAGTAACTTCCTTGTGTTGTGTGTATTCAACTCACAGAGTTGAACGATCCTTTACACAGAGCAGATTTGAAACACTGTTTTTCTGGAATTTGCAAGTGGAGATTTCAGCCGCTTTGAGGTCAATGGTAGAAAAGGAAATATCTTCGTATAAAAACTAGACAGAATGATTCTCAGAAACTCCTTTGTGATGTGTGCGTTCAACTCACAGAGTTTAACCTTTCTTTTCACAGAGCAGTTAGGAAACACTCTGTTTGTGAAGCCTGCCAGTGGATATTCGGACCTCTTTGAGGCCTTCGTTGGAAACGGGATTTCTTCATATTATGCTAGACAGAAGATTTCTCAGTAACTTCTTTGGGTTGTGTGTATGCAACTCACAGAGTTCAACCTTCCTTTAGACAGAGCAGATTTGAAACACTCTTTTTGTGGAATTTGCAAGTGGAGATTTCAAGCGCTTCGATGCCAATGGTAGAAAAGGAAATATCTTCGTATAAAAACAAGACAAACTCGTTCCCAGACACTGCGTAGTGATGTGTGTGTTTAACTCACAGAGTTTAACCTTTCTTTTCATACAGCATTCTGGAAACCCTGTGTTTGTAAAGTCTGCAAGTGGATATTTGGACCTCTTAGATGCCTTCGGTTGGAAACGGGATTTCTTCATATAATGCTAGAGGGAAGAATTCTTAGTAACTTCTTTGTGTTGTGTGTATTCAACTGACAGAGTTGAACCTTCCTTTAGACAGAGCAGATTTGAAAGTCTCTTTTGGTGGAATTTGCAAGTGGAGATTTCAAGCGCTTTGAGGCCAAAAGCAGAAAAGGAAATATTTTCTTATAAAAACTAGACAGAATCTTTCTCAGAAACTGCTCTGTGATGTGTGCGTTCAACTCACAGAGTTTAACTTTTCTTTTCATTCAGCAGTTTGGAAACACTCTGTTTGGAAAGTCTGCACGTGGATATTTTGACCTCTTTGAGGCCTTCGTTGGAAACGGGTTTTTTTCATGTAAGGCTAGACAGAAGAAATCTCAGTAACTTCCTTGTGTTGTGTGTATTCAACTGACAGAGTTGAACCTTCCTTTAGACAGAGCAGATTCGAAACACTCTTTTTCTGCAATTTGCAAGTGGAGACTTCAAGCGCTTTGAGGCCAAAGGCAGAAAAGGAAATATCTTCGTATAAAAACCCGACAGAATCATTCTCAGAAACTGCTCTGTGATGTGTGCGTTCAACTCACAGAGTTTAACTTTTCTTTTCATTCAGCAGTTTGGAAACACTCTGTTTGAAAAGTCTGCAAGTGGATATCTTGGCCTCTTAGAGGCCTTCGTTGGAAACGGGTTTTTTCATGTAAGGTTAGACAGAGGAATTCCCAGTAACTTCCTTGTGTTGTGTGCATTCAACTCACAGAGTTGAATGATTCTTTACACAGAGCAGATTTGAGACACTCTTTTGGTGGAATTTGTAAGTGGAGAATTCAGCCGCTTTGAGGTCAACGGTAGAAAAGGAAATATCTTCGTATAAAAACTAGACAGAATGATTCTCAGAAACTGTTTTGTGATGTGTGCGTTCAACTCACAGAGTTTAACCTTTCTTTTCAAAGAGCAGTTAGGAAACACTCTGTTTGTAAAGTCTGCAAGTGGATATTCAGACCTCTTTGAGGCCTTCGTTGGAAACGGGATTTCTTCATATTATGCTAGACAGATGAATTCTCAGTAACTTCCTTGTGTTGTGTGTATTCAACTCACAGAGTTGAACGATCCTTTACACAGAGCAGATTTGAAACACTGTTTTTCTGGAATTTGCAAGTGGAGATTTCAGCCGCTTTGAGGTCAATGGTAGAAAAGGAAATATCTTCGTATAAAAACTAGACAGAATGATTCTCAGAAACTCCTTTGTGATGTGTGCGTTCAACTCACAGAGTTTAACCTTTCTTTTCACAGAGCAGTTAGGAAACACTCTGTTTGTGAAGCCTGCCAGTGGATATTCGGACCTCTTTGAGGCCTTCGTTGGAAACGGGATTTCTTCATATTATGCTAGACAGAAGATTTCTCAGTAACTTCTTTGTGTTGTGTGTATGCAACTCACAGAGTTCAACCTTCCTTTAGACAGAGCAGATTTGAAACACTCTTTTTGTGGAATTTGCAAGTGGAGATTTCAAGCGCTTCGATGCCAATGGTAGAAAAGGAAATATCTTCGTATAAAAACAAGACAAACTCGTTCCCAGACACTGCGTAGTGATGTGTGTGTTTAACTCACAGAGTTTAACCTTTCTTTTCATACAGCATTCTGGAAACCCTGTGTTTGTAAAGTCTGCAAGTGGATATTTGGACCTCTTAGATGCCTTCGTTGGAAACGGGATTTCTTCATATAATGCTAGAGGGAAGAATTCTTAGTAACTTCTTTGTGTTGTGTGTATTCAACTGACAGAGTTGAACCTTCCTTTAGACAGAGCAGATTTGAAAGTCTCTTTTTGTGGAATTTGCAAGTGGAGATTTCAAGCGCTTTGAGGCCAAAAGCAGAAAAGGAAATATTTTCCTATAAAAACTCGACAGAATCTTTCTCAGAAACTGCTCTGGGATGTGTGCGTTCAACTCACAGAGTTTAACTTTTCTTTTCATTCAGCAGTTTGGAAACACTCTGTTTGGAAAGTCTGCACGTGGATATTTTGACCTCTTTGAGGCCTTCGTTGGAAACGGGTTTTTTTCATGTAAGGCTAGACAGAAGAAATCTCAGTAACTTCCTTGTGTTGTGTGTATTCAACTGACAGAGTTGAACCTTCCTTTAGACAGAGCAGATTCGAAACACTCTTTTTCTGCAATTTGCAAGTGGAAACTTCAAGCGCTTTGAGGCCAAAGGCAGAAAAGGAAATATCTTCGTATAAAAACCCGACAGAATCATTCTCAGAAACTGCTCTGTGATGTGTGCGTTCAACTCACAGAGTTTAACTTTTCTTTTCATTCAGCAGTTTGGAAACACTCTGTTTGTAAAGTCTGCAAGTGGATATCTTGGCCTCTTAGAGGCCTTCGTTGGAAACGGGTTTTTTCATGTAAGGTTAGACAGAGGAATTCCCAGTAACTTCCTTGTGTTGTGTGCATTCAACTCACAGAGTTGAATGATTCTTTACACAGAGCAGATTTGAGACACTCTTTTGGTGGAATTTGTAAGTGGAGAATTCAGCCGCTTTGAGGTCAACGGTAGAAAAGGAAATATCTTCGTATAAAAACTAGACAGAATGATTCTCAGAAACTGTTTTGTGATGTGTGCGTTCAACTCACAGAGTTTAACCTTTCTTTTCAGAGAGCAGTTAGGAAACACTCTGTTTGTAAAGTCTGCAAGCGGATATTCAGACCTCTTTGAGGCCTTCGTTGGAAACGGGATTTCTTCATATTATGCTAGACAGATGAATTCTCAGTAACTTCCTTGTGTTGTGTGTATTCAACTCACAGAGTTGAACGATCCTTTACACAGAGCAGATTTGAAACACTGTTTTTCTGGAATTTGCAAGTGGAGATTTCAGCCGCTTTGAGGTCAATGGTAGAAAAGGAAATATCTTCGTATAAAACCTAGACAGAATGATTCTCAGAAACTCCTTTGTGATGTGTGCGTTCAACTCACAGAGTTTAACCTTTCTTTTCACAGAGCAGTTAGGAAACACTCTGTTTGTGAAGCCTGCCAGGGGATATTCGGACCTCTTTGAGGCCTTCGTTGGAAACGGGATTTCTTCATATTATGCTAGACAGAAGATTTCTCAGTAACTTCTTTGTGTTGTGTGTATGCAACTCACAGAGTTCAACCTTCCTTTAGACAGAGCAGATTTGAAACACTCTTTTTGTGGAATTTGCAAGTGGAGATTTCAAGCGCTTCGATGCCAATGGTAGAAAAGGAAATATCTTCGTATAAAAACAAGACAAACTCGTTCCCAGACACTGCGTAGTGATGTGTGTGTTTAACTCACAGAGTTTAACCTTTCTTTTCATACAGCATTCTGGAAACCCTGTGTTTGTAAAGTCTGCAAGTGGATATTTGGACCTCTTAGATGCCTTCGTTGGAAACGGGATTTCTTCATATAATGCTAGAGGGAAGAATTCTTAGTAACTTCTTTGTGTTGTGTGTATTCAACTGACAGAGTTGAACCTTCCTTTAGACAGAGCAGATTTGAAAGTCTCTTTCTGTGGAATTTGCAAGTGGAGATTTCAAGCGCTTTGAGGCCAAAAGCAGAAAAGGAAATATTTTCCTATAAAAACTAGACAGAATCTTTCTCAGAAACTGCTCTGGGATGTGTGCGTTCAACTCACAGAGTTTAACTTTTCTTTTCATTCAGCAGTTTGGAAACACTCTGTTTGGAAAGTCTGCACGTGGATATTTTGACCTCTTTGAGGCCTTCGTTGGAAACGGGTTTTTTTCATGTAAGGCTAGACAGAAGAAATCTCAGTAACTTCCTTGTGTTGTGTGTATTCAACTGACAGAGTTGAACCTTCCTTTAGACAGAGCAGATTCGAAACACTCTTTTTCTGCAATTTGCAAGTGGAGACTTCAAGCGCTTTGAGGCCAAAGGCAGAAAAGGAAATATCTTCGTATAAAAACCCGACAGAATCATTCTCAGAAACTGCTCTGTGATGTGTGCGTTCAACTCACAGAGTTTAACTTTTCTTTTCATTCAGCAGTTTGGAAACACTCTGTTTGTAAAGTCTGCAAGTGGATATCTTGGCCTCTTAGAGGCCTTCGTTGGAAACGGGTTTTTTCATGTAAGGATACACACAGGAATTCCCAGTAACTTCCTTGTGTTGTGTGCATTCAACTCACAGAGTTGAATGATTCTTTACACAGAGCAGATTTGAGACACTCTTTTGGTGGAATTTGTAAGTGGAGAATTCAGCCGCTTTGAGGTCAACGGTAGAAAAGGAAATATCTTCGTATAAAAACTAGACAGAATGATTCTCAGAAACTGTTTTGTGATGTGTGCGTTCAACTCACAGAGTTTAACCTTTCTTTTCAAAGAGCAGTTAGGAAACACTCTGTTTGTAAAGTCTGCAAGTGGATATTCAGACCTCTTTGAGGCCTTCGTTGGAAACGGGATTTCTTCATATTATGCTAGACAGATGAATTCTCAGTAACTTCCTTGTGTTGTGTGTATTCAACTCACAGAGTTGAACGATCCTTTACACAGAGCAGATTTGAAACACTGTTTTTCTGGAATTTGCAAGTGGAGGTTTCAGCCGCTTTGAGGTCAATGGTAGAAAAGGAAATATCTTCGTATAAAAACTAGACAGAAATGATTCTCAGAAACTCCTTTGTGATGTGTGCGTTCAACTCACAGAGTTTAACCTTTCTTTTCACAGAGCAGTTAGGAAACACTCTGTTTGTGAAGCCTGCCAGTGGATATTCGGACCTCTTTGAGGCCTTCGTTGGAAACGGGATTTCTTCATATTATGCTAGACAGAAGATTTCTCAGTAACTTCTTTGTGTTGTGTGTATGCAACTCACAGAGTTCAACCTTCCTTTAGACAGAGCAGATTTGAAACACTCTTTTTGTGGAATTTGCAAGTGGAGATTTCAAGCGCTTCGATGCCAATGGTAGAAAAGGAAATATCTTCGTATAAAAACAAGACAAACTCGTTCCCAGACACTGCGTAGTGATGTGTGTGTTTAACTCACAGAGTTTAACCTTTCTTTTCATACAGCATTCTGGAAACCCTCTGTTTGTAAAGTCTGCAAGTGGATATTTGGACCTCTTAGATGCCTTCGTTGGGAACGGGATTTCTTCATATAATGCTAGAGGGAAGAATTCTTAGTAACTTCTTTGTGTTGTGTGTATTCAACTGACAGAGTTGAACCTTCCTTTAGACAGAGCAGATTTGAAAGTCTCTTTTTGTGGAATTTGCAAGTGGAGATTTCAAGCGCTTTGAGGCCAAAAGCAGAAAAGGAAATATTTTCCTATAAAAACTAGACAGAATCATTCTCAGAAACTGCTCTGTGATGTGTGCGTTCAACTCACAGAGCTTAACTTTTCTTTTCATTCAGCAGTTTGGAAACACTCTGTTTGGAAAGTCTGCACGTGGATATTTTGACCTCTTCGAGGCCTTCGTTGGAAACGGGTTTTTTTCATGTAAGGCTAGACAGAAGAAATCTCAGTAACTTCCTTGTGTTATGTGTATTCAACTGACAGAGTTGAACCTTCCTTTAGACAGAGCAGATTCGAAACACTCTTTTTCTGCAATTTGCAAGTGGAGACTTCAAGCGCTTTGAGGCCAAAGGCAGAAAAGGAAATATCTTCGTATAAAAACCCGACAGAATCATTCTCAGAAACTGCTCTGTGATGTGTGCGTTCAACTCACAGAGTTTAACTTTTCTTTTCATTCAGCAGTTTGGAAACACTCTGTTTGTAAAGTCTGCAAGTGGATATCTTGGCCTCTTAGAGGCCTTCGTTGGAAACGGGTTTTTTCATGTAAGGTTAGACAGAGGAATTCCCAGTAACTTCCTTGTGTTGTGTGCATTCAACTCACAGAGTTGAATGATTCTTTACACAGAGCAGATTTGAGACACTCTTTTGGTGGAATTTGTAAGTGGAGAATTCAGCTGCTTTGAGGTAAACGGTAGAAAAGGAAATATCTTCGTATAAAAACTAGACAGAATGATTCTCAGAAACTGTTTTGTGATGTGTGCGTTCAACTCACAGAGTTTAACCTTTCTTTTCAAAGAGCAGTTAGGAAACACTCTGTTTGTAAAGTCTGCAAGTGGATATTCAGACCTCTTTGAGGCCTTCGTTGGAAACGGGATTTCTTCATATTATGCTAGACAGATGAATTCTCAGTAACTTCCTTGTGTTGTGTGTATTCAACTCACAGAGTTGAACGATCCTTTACACAGAGCAGATTTGAAACACTGTTTTTCTGGAATTTGCAAGTGGAGATTTCAGCCGCTTTGAGGTCAATGGTAGAAAAAGAAATATCTTCGTATAAAAACTAGACAGAATGATTCTCAGAAACTCCTTTGTGATGTGTGCGTTCAACTCACAGAGTTTAACCTTTCTTTTCACAGAGCAGTTAGGAAACACTCTGTTTGTGAAGCCTGCCAGTGGATATTCGGACCTCTTTGAGGCCTTCGTTGGAAACGGGATTTCTTCATATTATGCTAGACAGAAGATTTCTCAGTAACTTCTTTGTGTTGTGTGTATGCAACTCACAGAGTTCAACCTTCCTTTAGACAGAGCAGATTTGAAACACTCTTTTTGTGGAATTTGCAAGTGGAGATTTCAAGCGCTTCGATGCCAATGGTAGAAAAGGAAATATCTTCGTATAAAAACAAGACAAACTCGTTCCCAGACACTGCGTAGTGATGTGTGTGTTTAACTCACAGAGTTTAACCTTTCTTTTCATACAGCATTCTGGAAACCCTGTGTTTGTAAAGTCTGCAAGTGGATATTTGGACCTCTTAGATGCCTTCGTTGGAAACGGGATTTCTTCATATAATGCTAGAGGGAAGAATTCTTAGTAACTTCTTTGTGTTGTGTGTATTCAACTGACAGAGTTGAACCTTCCTTTAGACAGAGCAGATTTGAAAGTCTCTTTTTGTGGAATTTGCAAGTGGAGATTTCAAGCGCTTTGAGGCCAAAAGCAGAAAAGGAAATATTTTCCTATAAAAACTAGACAGAATCTTTCTCAGAAACTGCTCTGGGATGTGTGCGTTCAACTCACAGAGTTTAACTTTTCTTTTCATTCAGCAGTTTGGAAACACTCTGTTTGGAAAGTCTGCACGTGGATATTTTGACCTCTTTGAGGCCTTCGTTGGAAACGGGTTTTTTTCATGTAAGGCTAGACAGAAGAAATCTCAGTAACTTCCTTGTGTTGTGTGTATTCAACTGACAGAGTTGAACCTTCCTTTAGACAGAGCAGATTCGAAACACTCTTTTTCTGCAATTTGCAAGTGGAGACTTCAAGCGCTTTGAGGCCAAAGGCAGAAAAGGAAATATCTTCGTATAAAAACCCGACAGAATCTTTCTCAGAAACTGCTCTGTGATGTGTGCGTTCAACTCACAGAGTTTAACTTTTCTTTTCATTCAGCAGTTTGGAAACACTCTGTTTGTAAAGTCTGCAAGTGGATATCTTGGCCTCTTAGAGGCCTTCGTTGGAAACTGGGTTTTTTCATGTAAGGATAGACAGAGGAATTCCCAGTAACTTCCTTGTGTTGTGTGCATTCAACTCACAGAGTTGAATGATTCTTTACACAGAGCAGATTTGAGACACTCTTTTGGTGGAATTTGTAAGTGGAGAATTCAGCCGCTTTGAGGTCAACGGTAGAAAAGGAAATATCTTCGTATAAAAACTAGACAGAATGATTCTCAGAAACTGTTTTGTGATGTGTGCGTTCAACTCACAGAGTTTAACCTTTCTTTTCAAAGAGCAGTTAGGAAACACACTGTTTGTAAAGTCTGCAAGTGGATATTCAGACCTCTTTGAGGCCTTCGTTGGAAACGGGATTTCATCATATTATGCTAGACAGATGAATTCTCAGTAACTTCCTTGTGTTGTGTGTATTCAACTCACAGAGTTAAACGATCCTTTACACAGAGCAGATTTGAAACACTGTTTTTCTGGAATTTGCAAGTGGAGATTTCAGCCGCTTTGAGGTCAATGGTAGAAAAGGAAATATCTTCGTATAAAAACTAGACAGAATGATTCTCAGAAACTCCTTTGTGATGTGTGCGTTCAACTCACGGAGTTTAACCTTTCTTTTCACAGAGCAGTTAGGAAACACTCTGTTTGTGAAGCCTGCCAGTGGATATTCGGACCTCTTTGAGGCCTTCGTTGGAAACGGGATTTCTTCATATTATGCTAGACAGAAGATTTCTCAGTAACTTCTTTGTGTTGTGTGTATGCAACTCACAGAGTTCAACCTTCCTTTAGACAGAGCAGATTTGAAACACTCTTTTTGTGGAATTTGCAAGTGGAGATTTCAAGCGCTTCGATGCCAATGGTAGAAAAGGAAATATCTTCGTATAAAAACAAGACAAACTCGTTCCCAGACACTGCGTAGTGATGTGTGTGTTTAACTCACAGAGTTTAACCTTTCTTTTCATACAGCATTCTGGGAACCCTCTGTTTGTAAAGTCTGCAAGTGGATATTTGGACCTCTTAGATGCCTTCGTTGGAAACGGGATTTCTTCATATAATGCTAGAGGGAAGAATTCTTAGTAACTTCTTTGTGTTGTGTGTATTCAACTGACAGAGTTGAACCTTCCTTTAGACAGAGCAGATTTGAAAGTCTCTTTTTGTGGAATTTGCAAGTGGAGATTTCAAGCGCTTTGAGGCCAAAAGCAGAAAAGGAAATATTTTCCTATAAAAACTAGAGAGAATCATTCTCAGAAACTGCTCTGTGATGTGTGTGTTCAACTCACAGAGTTTAACTTTCTTTTCATTCAGCAGTTTGGAAACACTCTGTTTGGAAAGTCTGCACGTGGATATTTTGACCTCTTTGAGGCCTTCGTTGGAAACGGGTTTTTTTCATGTAAGGCTAGACAGAAGAAATCTCAGTAACTTCCTTGTGTTGTGTGTATTCAACTGACAGAGTTGAACCTTCCTTTAGACAGAGCAGATTCGAAACGCTCTTTTTCTGCAATTTGCAAGTGGAGACTTCAAGCGCTTTGAGGCCAAAGGCAGAAAAGGAAATATCTTCGTATAAAAACCCGACAGAATCATTCTCAGAAACTGCTCTGTGATGTGTGCGTTCAACTCACAGAGTTTAACTTTTCTTTTCATTCAGCAGTTTGGAAACACTCTGTTTGTAAAGTCTGCAAGTGGATATCTTGGCCTCTTAGAGGCCTTCGTTGGAAACGCGTTTTTTCATGTAAGGTTAGACAGAGGAATTCCCAGTAACTTCCTTGTGTTGTGTGCATTCAACTCACAGAGTTGAATGATTCTTTACACAGAGCAGATTTGAGACACACTTTTGGTGGAATTTGTAAGTGGAGAATTCAGCCGCTTTGAGGTCAACGGTAGAAAAGGAAATATCTTCGTATAAAAACTAGAAAGAATGATTCTCAGAAACTGTTTTGTGATGTGTGCGTTCAACTCACAGAGTTTAACCTTTCTTTTCAAAGAGCAGTTAGGAAACACTCTGTTTGTAAAGTCTGCAAGTGGATATTCAGACCTACTTTAAAGCCTTCGTTGGAAACGGGATTTCATCATATTATGCTAGACAGATGAATTCTCAGTAACTTCCTTGTGTTGTGTGTATTCAACTCACAGAGTTGAACGATCCTTTACACAGAGCAGATTTGAAACACTGTTTTTCTGGAATTTGCAAGTGGAGATTTCAGCCGCTTTGAGGTCAATGGTAGAAAAGGAAATATCTTCTGTATAAAAACTAGACAGAATGATTCTCAGAAACTCCTTTGTGATGTGTGCGTTCAACTCACAGAGTTTAACCTTTCTTTTCACAGAGCAGTTAGGAAACACTCTGTTTGTGAAGCCTGCCAGTGGATATTCGGACCTCTTTGAGGCCTTCGTTGGAAACGGGATTTCTTCATATTATGCTAGACAGAAGATTTCTCAGTAACTTCTTTGTGTTGTGTGTATGCAACTCACAGAGTTCAACCTTCCTTTAGACAGAGCAGATTTGAAACACTCTTTTTGTGGAATTTGCAAGTGGAGATTTCAAGCGCTTCGATGCCAATGGTAGAAAAGGAAATATCTTCGTATAAAAACAAGACAAACTCGTTCCCAGACACTGCGTAGTGATGTGTGTGTTTAACTCACAGAGTTTCACCTTTCTTTTCATACAGCATTCTGGAAACCCTCTGTTTGTAAAGTCTGCAAGTGGATATTTGGACCTCTTAGATGCCTTCGTTGGAAACGGGATTTCTTCATATAATGCTAGAGGGAAGAATTCTTAGTAACTTCTTTGTGTTGTGTGTATTCAACTGACAGAGTTGAACCTTCCTTTAGACAGAGCAGATTTGAAAGTCTCTTTTTGTGGAATTTGCAAGTGGAGATTTCAAGCGCTTTGAGGCCAAAAGCAGAAAAGGAAATATTTTCCTATAAAAACTCGACAGAATCTTTCTCAGAAACTGCTCTGGGATGTGTGCATTCAACTCACAGAGTTTAACTTTTCTTTTCATTCAGCAGTTTGGAAACACTCTGTTTGGAAAGTCTACACGTGGATATTTTGACCTCTTTGAGGCCTTCGTTGGAAACGGTTTTTTTTCATGTAAGGCTAGACAGAAGAAATCTCAGTAACTTCCTTGTGTTGTGTGTATTCAACTGACAGAGTTGAACCTTCCTTTAGACAGAGCAGATTCGAAACACTCTTTTTCTGCAATTTGCAAGTGGAGACTTCAAGCGCTTTGAGGCCAAAGGCAGAGAAGGAAATATCTTCGTATAAAAACCCGACAGAATCATTCTCAGAAACTGCTCTGTGATGTGTGCGTTCAACTCACAGAGTTTAACTTTTCTTTTCATTCAGCAGTTTGGAAACACTCTGTTTGTAAAGTCTGCAAGTGGATATCTTGGCCTCTTAGAGGCCTTCGTTGGAAACGGGTTTTTTCATGTAAGGTTAGACAGAGGAATTCCCAGTAACTTCCTTGTGTTGTGTGCATTCAACTCACAGAGTTGAATGATTCTTTACACAGAGCAGTTTTGAGACACTCTTTTGGTGGAATTTGTAAGTGGAGAATTCAGCCGCTTTGAGGTCAACGGTAGAAAAGGAAATATCTTCGTATAAAAACTAGACAGAATGATTCTCAGAAACTGTTTTGTGATGTGTGCGTTCAACTCACAGAGTTTAACCTTTCTTTTCAAAGAGCAGTTAGGAAACACTCTGTTTGTAAAGTCTGCAAGTGGATATTCAGACCTCTTTGAGGCCTTCGTTGGAAACGGGATTTCTTCATATTATGCTAGACAGATGAATTCTCAGTAACTTCCTTGTGTTGTGTGTATTCAACTCACAGAGTTGAACGATCCTTTACACAGAGCAGATTTGAAACACTGTTTTTCTGGAATTTGCAAGTGGAGATTTCAGCCGCTTTGAGGTCAATGGTAGAAAAGGAAATATCTTCGTATAAAAACTAGACAGAATGATTCTCAGAAACTCCTTTGTGATGTGTGCGTTCAACTCACAGAGTTTAACCTTTCTTTTCACAGAGCAGTTAGGAAACACTCTGTTTGTGAAGCCTGCCAGTGGATATTCGGACCTCTTTGAGGCCTTCGTTGGAAACGGGATTTCTTCATATTATGCTAGACAGAAGATTTCTCAGTAACTTCTTTGTGTTGTGTGTATGCAACTCACAGAGTTCAACCTTCCTTTAGACAGAGCAGATTTGAAACACTCTTTTTGTGGAATTTGCAAGTGGAGATTTCAAGCGCTTCGATGCCAATGGTAGAAAAGGAAATATCTTCGTATAAAAACAAGACAAACTCGTTCCCAGACACTGCGTAGTGATGTGTGTGTTTAACTCACAGAGTTTAACCTTTCTTTTCATACAGCATTCTGGAAACCCTCTGTTTGTAAAGTCTGCAAGTGGATATTTGGACCTCTTAGATGCCTTCGTTGGAAACGGGATTTCTTCATATAATGCTAGAGGGAAGAATTCTTAGTAACTTCTTTGTGTTGTGTGTATTCAACTGACAGAGTTGAACCTTCCTTTAGACAGAGCAGATTTGAAAGTCTCTTTTTGTGGAATTTGCAAGTGGAGATTTCAAGCGCTTTGAGGCCAAAAGCAGAAAAGGAAATATTTTCCTATAAAAACTAGACAGAATCATTCTCAGAAACTGCTCTGTGATGTGTGTGTTCAACTCACAGAGTTTAACTTTCTTTTCATTCAGCAGTTTGGAAACACTCTGTTTGGAAGTCTGCACGTGGATATTTTGACCTCTTTGAGGCCTTCGTTGGAAACGGGTTTTTTTCATGTAACGCTAGACAGAAGAAATCTCAGTAACTTCCTTGTGTTGTGTGTATTCAACTGACAGAGTTGAACCTTCCTTTAGACAGAGCAGATTCGAAACACTCTTTTTCTGCAATTTGCAAGTGGAGACTTCAAGCGCTTTGAGGCCAAAGGCAGAAAAGGAAATATTCTTCGTATAAAAACCCGACAGAATCATTCTCAGAAACTGCTCTGTGATGTGTGCGTTCAACTCACAGAGTTTAACTTTTCTTTTCATTCAGCAGTTTGGAAACACTCTGTTTGTAAAGTCTGCAAGTGGATATCTTGGCCTCTTAGAGGCCTTCGTTGGAAACGGGTTTTTTCATGTAAGGTTAGACAGAGGAATTCCCAGTAACTTCCTTGTGTTGTGTGCATTCAACTCACAGAGTTGAATGATTCTTTACACAGAGCAGATTTGAGACACTCTTTTGGTGGAATTTGTAAGTGGAGAATTCAGCCGCTTTGAGGTCAACGGTAGAAAAGCAAATATCTTCGTATAAAAACTAGACAGAATGATTCTCAGAAACTGTTTTGTGATGTGTGCGTTCAACTCACAGAGTTTAACCTTTCTTTTCAAAGAGCAGTTAGGAAACACTCTGTTTGTAAAGTCTGCAAGTGGATATTCAGACCTCTTTGAGGCCTTCGTTGGAAACGGGATTTCTTCATATTATGCTAGACAGATGAATTCTCAGTAACTTCCTTGTGTTGTGTGTATTCAACTCACAGAGTTAAACGATCCTTTACACAGAGCAGATTTGAAACACTGTTTTTCTGGAATTTGCAAGTGGAGATTTCAGCCCCTTTGAGGTCAATGGTAGAAAAGGAAATATCTTCGTATAAAAACTAGACAGAATGATTCTCAGAAACTCCTTTGTGATGTGTGCGTTCAACTCACAGAGTTTAACCTTTCTTTTCACAGAGCAGTTAGGAAACACTCTGTTTGTGAAGCCTGCCAGTGGATATTCGGACCTCTTTGAGGCCTTTGTTGGAAACGGGATTTCTTCATATTACGCTAGACAGAAGATTTCTCAGTAACTTCTTTGGGTTGTGTGTATGCAACTCACAGAGTTCAACCTTCCTTTAGACAGAGCAGATTTGAAACACTCTTTTTGTGGAATTTGCAAGTGGAGATTTCAAGCGCTTCGATGCCAATGGTAGAAAAGGAAATATCTTCGTATAAAAACAAGACAAACTCGTTCCCAGACACTGCGTAGTGATGTGTGTGTTTAACTCACAGAGTTTAACCTTTCTTTTCATACAGCATTCTGGAAACCCTGTGTTTGTAAAGTCTGCAAGTGGATATTTGGACCTCTTAGATGCCTTCGTTGGAAACGGGATTTCTTCATATAATGCTAGAGGGAAGAATTCTTAGTAACTTCTTTGTGTTGTGTGTATTCAACTGACAGAGTTGAACCTTCCTTTAGACAGAGCAGATTTGAAAGTCTCTTTTTGTGGAATTTGCAAGTGGAGATTTCAAGCGCTTTGAGGCCAAAAGCAGAAAAGGAAATATTTTCCTATAAAAACTCGACAGAATCTTTCTCAGAAACTGCTCTGGGACGTGTGCGTTCAACTCACAGAGTTTAACTTTTCTTTTCATTCAGCAGTTTGGAAACACTCTGTTTGGAAAGTCTGCACGTGGATATTTTGACCTCTTTGAGGCCTTCGTTGGAAACGGGTTTTTTTCATGTAAGGCTAGACAGAAGAAATCTCAGTAACTTCCTTGTGTTGTGTGTATTCAACTGACAGAGTTGAACCTTCCTTTAGACAGAGCAGATTCGAAACACTCTTTTTCTGCAATTTGCAAGTGGAGACTTCAAGCGCTTTGAGGCCAAAGGCAGAAAAGGAAATATCTTCGTATAAAAACCCGACAGAATCATTCTCAGAAACTGCTCTGTGATGTGTGCGTTCAACTCACAGAGTTTAACTTTTCTTTTCATTCAGCAGTTTGGAAACACTCTGTTTGTAAAGTCTGCAAGTGGATATCTTGGCCTCTTAGAGGCCTTCGTTGGAAACGGGTTTTTTCATGTAAGGATAGACAGAGGAATTCCCAGTAACTTCCTTGTGTTGTGTGCATTCAACTCACAGAGTTGAATGATTCTTTACACAGAGCAGATTTGAGACACTCTTTTGGTGGAATTTGTAAGTGGAGAATTCAGCCGCTTTGAGGTCAACGGTAGAAAAGGAAATATCTTCGTATAAAAACTAGACAGAATGATTCTCAGAAACTGTTTTGTGATGTGTGCGTTCAACTCACAGAGTTTAACCTTTCTTTTCAAAGAGCAGTTAGGAAACACTCTGTTTGTAAAGTCTGCAAGTGGATATTCAGACCTCTTTGAGGCCTTCGTTGGAAACGGGATTTCTTCATATTATGCTAGACAGATGAATTCTCAGTAACTTCCTTGTGTTGTGTGTATTCAACTCACAGAGTTGAACGATCCTTTACACAGAGCAGATTTGAAACACTGTTTTTCTGGAATTTGCAAGTGGAGATTTCAGCCGCTTTGAGGTCAATGGTAGAAAAGGAAATATCTTCGTATAAAAACTAGACAGAATGATTCTCAGAAACTCCTTTGTGATGTGTGCGTTCAACTCACAGAGTTTAACCTTTCTTTTCACAGAGCAGTTAGGAAACACTCTGTTTGTGAAGCCTGCCAGTGGATATTCGGACCTCTTTGAGGCCTTCGTTGGAAACGGGATATCTTCATATTATGCTAGACACAAGATTTCTCAGTAACTTCTTTGTGTTGTGTGTATGCAACTCACAGAGTTCAACCTTCCTTTAGACAGAGCAGATTTGAAACACTCTTTTTGTGGAATTTGCAAGTGGAGATTTCAAGCGCTTCGATGCCAATGGTAGAAAAGGAAATATCTTCGTATAAAAACAAGACAAACTCGTTCCCAGACACTGCGTAGTGATGTGTGTGTTTAACTCACAGAGTTTAACCTTTCTTTTCATACAGCATTCTGGAAACCCTGTGTTTGTAAAGTCTGCAAGTGGATATTTGGACCTCTTAGATGCCTTCGTTGGAAACGGGATTTCTTCATATAATGCTAGAGGGAAGAATTCTTAGTAACTTCTTTGTGTTGTGTGTATTCAACTGACAGAGTTGAACCTTCCTTTAGACAGAGCAGATTTGAAAGTCTCTTTTTGTGGAATTTGCAAGTGGAGATTTCAAGCGCTTTGAGGCCAAAAGTAGAAAAGGAAATATTTTCCTATAAAAACTCGACAGAATCTTTCTCAGAAACTGCTCTGGGATGTGTGCGTTCAACTCACAGAGTTTAACTTTTCTTTTCATTCAGCAGTTTGGAAACACTCTGTTTGGAAAGTCTGCACGTGGATATTTTGACCTCTTTGAGGCCTTCGTTGGAAACGGGTTTTTTTCATGTAAGGCTAGACAGAAGAAATCTCAGTAACTTCCTTGTGTTGTGTGTATTCAACTGACAGAGTTGAACCTTCCTTTAGACAGAGCAGATTCGAAACACTCTTTTTCTGTAATTTGCAAGTGGAGACTTCAAGCGCTTTGAGGCCAAAGGCAGAAAAGGAAATATCTTCGTATAAGAACCCGACAGAATCATTCTCAGAAACTGCTCTGTGATGTGTGCGTTCAACTCACAGAGTTTAACTTTTCTTTTCATTCAGCAGTTTGGAAACACTCTGTTTGTAAAGTCTGCAAGTGGATATCTTGGCCTCTTAGAGGCCTTCGTTGGAAACGGGTTTTTTCATGTAAGGTTAGACAGAGGAATTCCCAGTAACTTCCTTGTGTTGTGTGCATTCAACTCACAGAGTTGAATGATTCTTTACACAGAGCAGATTTGAGACACTCTTTTGGTGGAATTTGTAAGTGGAGAATTCAGCCGCTTTGAGGTCAACGGTAGAAAAGGAAATATCTTCGTATAAAAACTAGACAGAATGATTCTCATTAACTGTTTTGTGATGTGTGCGTTCAACTCACAGAGTTTAACCTTTCTTTTCAAAGAGCAGTTAGGAAACACTCTGTTTGTAAAGTCTGCAAGTGGATATTCAGACCTCTTTGAGGCCTTCGTTGGAAACGGGATTTCTTCATATTATGCTAGACAGATGAATTCTCAGTAACTTCCTTGTGTTGTGTGTATTCAACTCACAGAGTTGAACGATCCTTTACACAGAGCAGATTTGAAACACTGTTTTTCTGGAATTTGCAAGTGGAGATTTCAGCTGCTTTGAGGTCAATGGTAGAAAAGGAAATATCTTCGTATAAAAACTAGACAGAATGATTCTCAGAAACTCCTTTGTGATGTGTGCGTTCAACTCACAGAGTTTAACCTTTCTTTTCACAGAGCAGTTAGGAAACACTCTGTTTGTGAAGCCTGCCAGTGGATATTCGGACCTCTTTGAGGCCTTCGTTGGAAACGGGATTTCTTCATATTATGCTAGACAGAAGATTTCTCAGTAACTTCTTTGTGTTGTGTGTATGCAACTCACAGAGTTCAACCTTCCTTTAGACAGAGCAGATTTGAAACACTCTTTTTGTGGAATTTGCAAGTGGAGATTTCAAGCGCTTTGAGGCCAAAAGCAGAAAAGGAAATATTTTCCTATAAAAACTAGACAGAATCTTTCTCAGAAACTGCTCTGTGATGTGTGCGTTCAACACACAGAGTTTAACTTTTCTTTTCATTCAGCAGTTTGGAAACACTCTGTTTGTAAAGTCTGCAAGTGGATATCTTGGCCTCTTAGAGGCCTTCGTTGGAAACGGGTTTTTTCATGTAAGGATAGACAGAGGAATTCCCCAGTAACTTCCTTGTGTTGTGTGCATTCAACTCACAGAGTTGAATGATTCTTTACACAGAGCAGATTTGAGACACTCTTTTGGTGGAATTTGTAAGTGGAGAATTCAGCCGCTTTGAGGTCAACGGTAGAAAAGGAAATATCTTCGTATAAAAACTAGACAGAATGATTCTCAGAAACTGTTTTGTGATGTGTGCGTTCAACTCACAGAGTTTAACCTTTCTTTTCAAAGAGCAGTTAGGAAACACTCTGTTTGTAAAGTCTGCAAGTGGATATTCAGACCTCTTTGAGGCCTTCGTTGGAAACGGGATTTCTTCATATTATGCTAGACAGATGAATTCTCAGTAACTTCCTTGTGTTGTGTGTATTCAACTCACAGAGTTGAACGATCCTTTACACAGAGCAGATTTGAAACACTGTTTTTCTGGAATTTGCAAGTGGAGATTTCAGCCGCTTTGAGGTCAATGGTAGAAAAGGAAATATCTTCGTATAAAAACTAGACAGAATGATTCTCAGAAACTCCTTTGTGATGTGTGCGTTCAACTCACAGAGTTTAACCTTTCTTTTCACAGAGCAGTTAGGAAACACTCTGTTTGTGAAGCCTGCCAGTGGATATTCGGACCTCTTTGAGGCCTTCGTTGGAAACGGGATTTCTTCATATTATGCTAGACAGAAGATTTCTCAGTAACTTCTTTGTGTTGTGTGTATGCAACTCACAGAGTTCAACCTTCCTTTAGACAGAGCAGATTTGAAACACTCTTTTTGTGGAATTTGCAATGGAGATTTCAAGCGCTTCGATGCCAATGGTAGAAAAGGAAATATCTTCGTATAAAAACAAGACAAACTCGTTCCCAGACACTGCGTAGTGATGTGTGTGTTTAACTCACAGAGTTTAACCTTTCTTTTCATACAGCATTCTGGAAACCCTCTGTTTGTAAAGTCTGCAAGTGGATATTTGGACCTCTTAGATGCCTTCGTTGGAAACGGGATTTCTTCATATAATGCTAGAGGGAAGAATTCTTAGTAACTTCTTTGTGTTGTGTGTATTCAACTGACAGAGTTGAACCTTCCTTTAGACAGAGCAGATTTGAAAGTCTCTTTTTGTGGAATTTGCAAGTGGAGATTTCAAGCGCTTTGAGGCCAAAAGCAGAAAAGGAAATATTTTCCTATAAAAACTAGACAGAATCATTCTCAGAAACTGCTCTGTGATGTGTGTGTTCAACTCACAGAGTTTAACTTTCTTTTCATTCAGCAGTTTGGAAACACTCTGTTTGGAAAGTCTGCACGTGGATATTTTGACCTCTTTGAGGCCTTCGTTGGAAACGGGTTTTTTTCATGTAAGGCTAGACAGAAGAAATCTCAGTAACTTTCCTTGTGTTGTGTGTATTCAACTGACAGAGTTGAACCTTCCTTTAGACAGAGCAGATTCGAAACACTCTTTTTCTGCAATTTCCAAGTGGAGACTTCAAGCGCTTTGAGGCCAAAGGCAGAAAAGGAAATATCTTCGTATAAAAACCCGACAGAATCTTTCTCAGAAACTGCTCTGTGATGTGTGCGTTCAACTCACAGAGTTTAACTTTTCTTTTCATTCAGCAGTTTGGAAACACTCTGTTTGTAAAGTCTGCAAGTGGATATCTTGGCCTCTTAGAGGCCTTCGTTGGAAGCGGGTTTTTTCATGTAAGGATAGACAGAGGAATTCCCAGTAACTTCCTTGTGTTGTGTGCATTCAACTCACAGAGTTGAATGATTCTTTACACAGAGCAGATTTGAGACACTCTTTTGGTGGAATTTGTAAGTGGAGAATTCAGCCGCTTTGAGGTCAACGGTAGAAAAGGAAATATCTTCGTATAAAAACTAGACAGAATGATTCTCAGAAACTGTTTTGTGATGTGTGCGTTCAACTCACAGAGTTTAACCTTTCTTTTCAAAGAGCAGTTAGGAAACACTCAGTTTGTAAAGTCTGCAAGTGGATATTCAGACCTCTTTGAGGCCTTCGTTGGAAACGGGATTTCTTCATATTATGCTAGACAGATGAATTCTCAGTAACTTCCTTGTGTTGTGTATATTCAACTCACAGAGTTGAACGATCCTTTACACAGAGCAGATTTGAAACACTGTTTTTCTGGAATTTGCAAGTGGAGATTTCAGCCGCTTTGAGGTCAATGGTAGAAAAGGAAATATCTTCGTATAAAAACTAGACAGAATGATTCTCAGAAACTCCTTTGTGATATGTGCGTTCAACTCACAGAGTTTAACCTTTCTTTTCACAGAGCAGTTAGGAAACACTCTGTTTGTGAAGTCTGCCAGTGGATATTCGGACCTCTTTGAGGCCTTCGTTGGAAAAGGGATTTCTTCATATTATTCTAGACAGATTTCTCAGTAACTACTTTGTGTTGTGTGTATGCAACTCACAGAGTTCAACCTTCCTTTAGAGAGAGCAGATTTGAAACACTCTTTTTAAGGAATTTGCAAGTGGAGATTTCAAGCGCTTCGATGCCAATGGTTGAAAAGGAAATATCTTCGTATAAAAACAAGACAAACTCGTTCCCAGAAACTGCTTAGTGATGTGTGTGTTTAACTCACAGACTTTAACGTTTCTTTTCATACAGAATTCTGGAAACCCTCTGTTTGTAAAGTCTGCAAGTGGATATTTGGACCTCTTAGATGCCTTCGTTGGAAACGGGATTTCGTCATATAATAGTAGAGGGAAGAATTCTTAGTAACTTCTTTGTGTTGTGTGTATTCAACTGACAGAGTTGAACCTTCCTTTAGACAGAGCAGATTTGAAAGTCTCTTTTTGTGGAATTTGCAAGTGGAGATTTCAAGCGCTTTGAGGCCAAAAGCAGAAAAGGAAATATTTTCCTATAAAAACTAGACAGAATCTTTCTCAGAAACTGCTCTGGGATGTGTGCGTTCAACTCACAGAGTTTAACTTTTCTTTTCATTCAGCAGTTTGGAAACACTCTGTTTGGAAAGTCTGCACGTGGATATTTTGACCTCTTTGAGGCCTTCGTTGGAAACGGGTTTTTTTCATGTAACGCTAGACAGAAGAAATCTCAGTAACTTCCTTGTGTTGTGTGTATTCAACTGACAGAGTTGAACCTTCCTTTAGACAGAGCAGATTCGAAACACTCTTTTTCTGCAATTTGCAAGTGGAGACTTCAAGCGCTTTGAGGCCAAAGGCAGAAAAGGAAATATCTTCGTATAAAAACCCGACAGAATCATTCTCAGAAACTGCTCTGTGATGTGTGCGTTCAACTCACAGAGTTTAACTTTTCTTTTCATTCAGCAGTTTGGAAACACTCTGTTTGTAAAGTCTGCAAGTGGATATCTTGGCCTCTTAGAGGCCTTCGTTGGAAACGGGTTTTTTCATGTAAGGTTAGACAGAGGAATTCCCAGTAACTTCCTTGTGTTGTGTGCATTCAACTCACAGAGTTGAATGATTCTTTACACAGAGCAGATTTGAGACACTCTTTTGGTGGAATTTGTAAGTGGAGAATTCAGCCGCTTTGAGGTCAACGGTAGAAAAGGAAATATCTTCGTATAAAAACTAGACAGAATGATTCTCAGAAACTGTTTTTTGATGTGTGCGTTCAACTCACAGAGTTTAACCTTTCTTTTCAAAGAGCAGTTAGGAAACACTCTGTTTGTAAAGTCTGCAAGTGGATATTCAGACCTCTTTGAGGCCTTCGTTGGAAACGGGATTTCTTCATATTATGCTAGACAGATGAATTCTCAGTAACTTCCTTGTGTTGTGTGTATTCAACTCACAGAGTTGAACGATCCTTTACACAGAGCAGATTTGAAACACTGTTTTTCTGGAATTTGCAAGTGGAGATTTCAGCCGCTTTGAGGTCAATGGTAGAAAAGGAAATATCTTCGTATAAAAACTAGACAGAATGATTCTCAGAAACTCCTTTGTGATGTGTGCGTTCAACTCACAGAGTTTAACCTTTCTTTTCACAGAGCAGTTAGGAAACACTCTGTTTGTGAAGCCTGCCAGTGGATATTCGGACCTCTTTGAGGCCTTCGTTGGAAACGGGATTTCTTCATATTATGCTAGACAGAAGATTTCTCAGTAACTTCTTTGTGTTGTGTGTATGCAACTCACAGAGTTCAACCTTCCTTTAGACAGAGCAGATTTGAAACACTCTTTTTGTGGAATTTGCAAGTGGAGATTTCAAGCGCTTCGATGCCAATGGTAGAAAAGGAAATATCTTCGTATAAAAACAAGACAAACTCGTTCCCAGACACTGCGTAGTGATGTGTGTGTTTAACTCACAGAGTTTAACCTTTCTTTTCATACAGCATTCTGGAAACCCTCTGTTTGTAAAGTCTGCAAGTGGATATTTGGACCTCTTAGATGCCTTCGTTGGAAACGGGATTTCTTCATATAATGCTAGAGGGAAGAATTCTTAGTAACTTCTTTGTGTTGTGTGTATTCAACTGACAGAGTTGAACCTTCCTTTAGACAGAGCAGATTTGAAAGTCTCTTTTTGTGGAATTTGCAAGTGGAGATTTCAAGCGCTTTGAGGCCAAAAGCAGAAAAGGAAATATTTTCCTATAAAAACTCGACAGAATCTTTCTCAGAAACTGCTCTGGGATGTGTGCGTTCAACTCACAGAGTTTAACTTTTCTTTTCATTCAGCAGTTTGGAAACACTCTGTTTGGAAAGTCTGCACGTGGATATTTTGACCTCTTTGAGGCCTTCGTTGGAAACGGGTTTTTTTCATGTAAGGCTAGACAGAAGAAATCTCAGTAACTTCCTTGTGTTGTGTGTATTCAACTGACAGAGTTGAACCTTCCTTTAGACAGAGCAGATTCGAAACACTCTTTTTCTGCAATTTGCAAGTGGAGACTTCAAGCGCTTTGAGGCCAAAGGCAGAAAAGGAAATATCTTCGTATAAAAACCCGACAGAATCATTCTCAGAAACTGCTCTGTGATGTGTGCGTTCAACTCACAGAGTTTAACTTTTCTTTTCATTCAGCAGTTTGGAAACACTCTGTTTGTAAAGTCTGCAAGTGGATATCTTGGCCTCTTAGAGGCCTTCGTTGGAAACGGGTTTTTTCATGTAAGGTTAGACAGAGGAATTCCCACTAACTTCCTTGTGTTGTGTGCATTCAACTCACAGAGTTGAATGATTCTTTACACAGAGCAGATTTGAGACACTCTTTTGGTGGAATTTGTAAGTGGAGAATTCAGCCGCTTTGATGTCAACGGTAGAAAAGGAAATATCTTCGTATAAAAACTAGACAGAATGATTCTCAGAAACTGTTTTGTGATGTGTGCTTTCAACTCACAGAGTTTAACCTTTCTTTTCAAAGAGCAGTTAGGAAACACTCTGTTTGTAAAGTCTGCAAGTGGATATTCAGACCTCTTTGAGGCCTTCGTTGGAAACGGGATTTCTTCATATTATGCTAGACAGATGAATTCTCAGTAACTTCCTTGTGTTGTGTGTATTCAACTCACAGAGTTGAACGATCCTTTACACAGAGCAGATTTGAAACACTGTTTTTCTGGAATTTGCAAGTGGAGATGTCAGCCGCTTTGAGGTCAATGGTAGAAAAGGAAATATCTTCGTATAAAAACTAGACAGAATGATTCTCAGAAACTCCTTTGTGATGTGTGCGTTCAACTCACAGAGTTTAACCTTTCTTTTCACAGAGCAGTTAGGAAACACTCTGTTTGTGAAGCCTGCCAGTGGATATTCGGACCTCTTTGAGGCCTTCGTTGGAAACGGGATTTCTTCATATTATGCTAGACAGAAGATTTCTCAGTAACTTCTTTGTGTTGTGTGTATGCAACTCACAGAGTTCAACCTTCCTTTAGACAGAGCAGATTTGAAACACTCTTTTTGTGGAATTTGCAAGTGGAGATTTCAAGCGCTTCGATGCCAATGGTAGAAAAGGAAATATCTTCGTATAAAAACAAGACAAACTCGTTCCCAGACACTGCGTAGTGATGTGTGTGTTTAACTCACAGAGTTTAACCTTTCTTTTCATACAGCATTCTGGAAACCCTCTGTTTGTAAAGTCTGCAAGTGGATATTTGGACCTCTTAGATGCCTTCGTTGGAAACGGGATTTCTTCATATAATGCTAGAGGGAAGAATTCTTAGTAACTTCTTTGTGTTGTGTGTATTCAACTGACAGAGTTGAACCTTCCTTTAGACAGAGCAGATTTGAAAGTCTCTTTTTGTGGAATTTGCAAGTGGAGATTTCAAGGGCTTTGAGGCCAAAAGCAGAAAAGGAAATATTTTCCTATAAAAACTAGACAGAATCATTCTCAGAAACTGCTCTGTGATGTGTGCGTTCAACTCACAGAGTTTAACTTTTCTTTTCATTCAGCAGTTTGGAAACACTCTGTTTGGAAAGTCTGCACGTGGATATTTTGACCTCTTTGAGGCCTTCGTTGGAAACGGGTTTTTATCATGTAAGGCTAGACAGAAGAAATCTCAGTAAATTCCCTTGTGTTGTGTGTATTCAACTGACAGAGTTGAACCTTCCTTTAGACAGAGCAGATTCGAAACACTCTTTTTCTGCAATTTGCAAGTGGAGACTTCAAGCGCTTTGAGGCCAAAGGCAGAAAAGGAAATATCTTCGTATAAAAACCCGACAGAATCATTCTCAGAAACTGCTCTGTGATGTGTGCGTTCAACTCACAGAGTTTAACTTTTCTTTTCATTCAGCAGTTTGGAAACACTCTGTTTGTAAAGTCTGCAAGTGGATATCTTGGCCTCTTAGAGGCCTTCGTTGGAAACGGGTTTTTTCATGTAAGGATAGACAGAGGAATTCCCAGTAACTTCCTTGTGTTGTGTGCATTCAACTCACAGAGTTGAATGATTCTTTACACAGAGCAGATTTGAGACACTCTTTTGGTGGAATTTGTAAGTGGAGAATTCAGCCGCTTTGAGGTCAACGGTAGAAAAGGAAATATCTTCGTATAAAAACTAGACAGAATGATTCTCAGAAACTGTTTTGTGATGTGTGCGTTCAACTCACAGAGTTTAACCTTTCTTTTCAGAGAGCAGTTAGGAAACACTCTGTAAAGTCTGCAAGTGGATATTCAGACCTCTTTGAGGCCTTCGTTGGAAACGGGATTTCTTCATATTATGCTAGACAGATGAATTCTCAGTAACTTCCTTGTGTTGTGTGTATTCAACTCACAGAGTTGAACGATCCTTTACACAGAGCAGATTTGAAACACTGTTTTTCTGGAATTTGCAAGTGGAGATTTCAGCCGCTTTGAGGTCAATTGTAGAAAAGGAAATATCTTCGTATAAAAACTAGACAGAATGATTCTCAGAAACTCCTTTGTGATGTGTGCGTTCAACTCACAGAGTTTAACCTTTCTTTTCACAGAGCAGTTAGGAAACACTCTGTTTGTGAAGCCTGCCAGTGGATATTCGGACCTCTTTCAGGCCTTCGTTGGAAACGGGATTTCTTCATATTATGCTAGACAGAAGATTTCTCAGTAACTTCTTTGTGTTGTGTGTATGCAACTCACAGAGTTCAACCTTCCTTTAGACAGAGCAGATTTGAAACACTCTTTTTGTGGAATTTGCAAGTGGAGATTTCAAGCGCTTCGATGCCAATGGTAGAAAAGGAAATATCTTCGTATAAAAACAAGACAAACTCGTTCCCAGACACTGCGTAGTGATGTGTGTGTTTAACTCACAGAGTTTCACCTTTCTTTTCATACAGCGTTCTGGAAACCCTCTGTTTGTAAAGTCTGCAAGTCGATATTTGGACCTCTTAGATGCCTTCGTTGGAAACGGGATTTCTTCATATAATGCTAGAGGGAAGAATTCTTAGTAACTTCTTTGTGTTGTGTGTATTGAACTGACAGAGTTGAACCTTCCTTTAGACAGAGCAGATTTGAAAGTCTCTTTTTGTGGAATTTGCAAGTGGAGATTTCAAGCGCTTTGAGGCCAAAAGCAGAAAAGGAAACATTTTCCTATAAAAACTAGAGAGAATCATTCTCAGAAACTGCTCTGTGATGTGTGTGTTCAACTCACAGAGTTTAACTTTCTTTTCATTCAGCAGTTTGGAAACACTCTGTTTGGAAAGTCTGCACGTGGATATTTTGACCTCTTTGAGGCCTTCGTTGGAAACGGGTTTTTTTCATGTAAGGCTAGACAGAAGAAATCTCAGTAACTTCCTTGTGTTGTGTGTATTCAACTGACAGAGTTGAACCTTCCTTTAGACAGAGCAGATTCGAAACACTCTTTTTCTGCAATTTGCAAGTGGAGACTTCAAGCGCTTTGAGGCCAAAGGCAGAAAAGGAAATATCTTCGTATAAAAACCCGACAGAATCATTCTCAGAAACTGCTCTGTGATGTGTGCGTTCAACTCACAGAGTTTAACTTTTCTTTTCATTCAGCAGTTTGGAAACACTCTGTTTGTAAAGTCTGCAAGTGGATATCTTGGCCTCTTAGAGGCCTTCGTTGGAAACGGGTTTTGTCATGTAAGGTTAGACAGAGGAATTCCCAGTAACTTCCTTGTGTTGTGTGCATTCAACTCACAGAGTTGAATGATTCTTTACACAGAGCAGATTTGAGACACTCTTTTGGTGGAATTTGTAAGTGGAGAATTCAGCTGCTTTGAGGTCAACGGTAGAAAAGGAAATATCTTCGTATAAAAACTAGACAGAATGATTCTCAGAAACTGTTTTGTGATGTGTGCGTTCAACTCACAGAGTTTAACCTTTCTTTTCAAAGAGCAGTTAGGAAACACTCTGTTTGTAAAGTCTGCAAGTGGATATTCAGACCTCTTTGAGGCCTTCGTTGGAAACGGGATTTCTTCATATTATGCTAGACAGATGAATTCTCAGTAACTTCCTTGTGTTGTGTGTATTCAACTCACAGAGTTGAACGATCCTTTACACAGAGCAGATTTGAAACACTGTTTTTCTGGAATTTGCAAGTGGAGATTTCAGCCGCTTTGAGGTCAATGGTAGAAAAGGAAATATCTTCGTATAAAAACTAGACAGAATGATTCTCAGAAACTCCTTTGTGATGTGTGCGTTCAACTCACAGAGTTTAACCTTTCTTTTCACAGAGCAGTTAGGAAACACTCTGTTTGTGAAGCCTGTCAGTGGATATTCGGACCTCTTTGAGGCCTTCGTTGGAAACGGGATTTCTTCATATTATGCTAGACAGAAGATTTCTCAGTAACTTCTTTGTGTTGTGTGTATGCAACTCACAGAGTTCAACCTTCCTTTAGACAGAGCAGATTTGAAACACTCTTTTTGTGGAATTTGCAAGTGGAGATTTCAAGCGCTTCGATGCCAATGGTAGAAAAGGAAATATCTTCGTATAAAAACAAGACAAACTCGTTCCCAGACACTGCGTAGTGATGTGTGTGTTTAACTCACAGAGTTTAACCTTTCTTTTCATACAGCATTCTGGAAACCCTGTGTTTGTAAAGTCTGCAAGTGGATATTTGGACCTCTTAGATGCCTTCGTTGGAAACGGGATTTCTTCATATAATGCTAGAGGGAAGAATTCTTAGTAACTTCTTTGTGTTGTGTGTATTCAACTGACAGAGTTGAACCTTCCTTTAGACAGAGCAGATTTGAAAGTCTCTTTTTGTGGAATTTGCAAGTGGAGATTTCAAGCGCTTTGAGGCCAAAAGCAGAAAAGGAAATATTTTCCTATAAAAACTAGACAGAATCTTTCTCAGAAACTGCTCTGGGATGTGTGCGTTCAACTCACAGAGTTTAACTTTTCTTTTCATTCAGCAGTTTGGAAACACTCTGTTTGGAAAGTCTGCACGTGGATATTTTGACCTCTTTGAGGCCTTCGTTGGAAACGGGTTTTTTTCATGTAAGGCTAGACAGAAGAAATCTCAGTAACTTCCTTGTGTTGTGTGTATTCAACTGACAGAGTTGAACCTTCCTTTAGACAGAGCAGATTCGAAACACTCTTTTTCTGCAATTTGCAAGTGGAGACTTCAAGCGCTTTGAGGCCAAAGGCAGAAAAGGAAATATCTTCGTATAAAAACCCGACAGAATCATTCTCAGAAACTGCTCTGTGATGTGTGCGTTCAACTCACAGAGTTTAACTTTTCTTTTCATTCAGCAGTTTGGAAACACTCTGTTTGTAAAGTCTGCAAGTGGATATCTTGGCCTCTTAGAGGCCTTCGTTGGAAACGGGTTTTTTCATGTAAGGTTAGACAGAGGAATTCCCCACTAACTTCCTTGTGTTGTGTGCATTCAACTCACAGAGTTGAATGATTCTTTACACAGAGCAGATTTGAGACACTCTTTTGGTGGAATTTGTAAGTGGAGAATTCAGCCGCTTTGATGTCAACGGTAGAAAAGGAAATATCTTCGTATAAAAACTAGACAGAATGATTCTCAGAAACTGTTTTGTGATGTGTGCGTTCAACTCACAGAGTTTAACCTTTCTTTTCAAAGAGCAGTTAGGAAACACTCTGTTTGTAAAGTCTGCAAGTGGATATTCAGACCTCTTTGAGGCCTTCGTTGGAAACGGGATTTCTTCATATTATGCTAGACAGATGAATTCTCAGTAACTTCCCTTGTGTTGTGTGTATTCAACTCACAGAGTTGAACGATCCTTTACACAGAGCAGATTTGAAACACTGTTTTTCTGGAATTTGCAAGTGGAGATTTCAGCCGCTTTGAGGTCAATGGTAGAAAAGGAAATATCTTCGTATAAAAACTAGACAGAATGATTCTCAGAAACTCCTTTGTGATGTGTGCGTTCAACTCACAGAGTTTAACCTTTCTTTTCACAGAGCAGTTAGGAAACACTCTGTTTGTGAAGCCTGCCAGTGGATATTCGGACCTCTTTGAGGCCTTCGTTGGAAACGGGATTTCTTCATATTATGCTAGACAGAAGATTTCTCAGTAACTTCTTTGTGTTGTGTGTATGCAACTCACAGAGTTCAACCTTCCTTTAGACAGAGCAGATTTGAAACACTCTTTTTGTGGAATTTGCAAGTGGAGATTTCAAACGCTTCGATGCCAATGGTAGAAAAGGAAATATCTTCGTATAAAAACAAGACAAACTCGTTCCCAGACACTGCGTAGTGATGTGTGTGTTTAACTCACAGAGTTTCACCTTTCTTTTCATACGGCATTCTTGAAACCCTCTGTTTGTAAAGTCTGCAAGTGGATATTTGGACCTCTTAGATGCCTTCGTTGGAAACGGGATTTCTTCATATAATGCTAGAGGGAAGAATTCTTAGTAACTTCTTTGTGTTGTGTGTATTCAACTGACAGAGTTGAACCTTCCTTTAGACAGAGCAGATTTGAAAGTCTCTTTTTGTGGAATTTGCAAGTGGAGATTTCAAGCGCTTTGAGGCCAAAAGCAGAAAAGGAAATATTTTCCTATAAAAACTAGACAGAATCTTTCTCAGAAACTGCTCTGGGATGTGTGCGTTCAACTCACAGAGTTTAACTTTTCTTTTCATTCAGCAGTTTGGAAACACTCTGTTTGGAAAGTCTGCACGTGGATATTTTGACCTCTTTGAGGCCTTCGTTGGAAACGGGTTTTTTTCATGTAAGGCTAGACAGAAGAAATCTCAGTAACTTCCTTGTGTTGTGTGTATTCAACTGACAGAGTTGAACCTTCCTTTAGACAGAGCAGATTCGAAACACTCTTTTTCTGCAATTTGCAAGTGGAGACTTCAAGCGCTTTGAGGCCAAAGGCAGAAAAGGAAATATCTTCGTATAAAAACCCGACAGAATCATTCTCAGAAACTGCTACTGTGATGTGTGCGTTCAACTCACAGAGTTTAACTTTTCTTTTCATTCAGCAGTTTGGAAACACTCTGTTTGTAAAGTCTGCAAGTGGATATCTTGGCCTCTTAGAGGCCTTCGTTGGAAACGGGTTTTTTCATGTAAGGATAGACAGAGGAATTCCCAGTAACTTCCTTGTGTTGTGTGCATTCAACTCACAGAGTTGAATGATTCTTTACACAGAGCAGATTTGAGACACTCTTTTGGTGGAATTTGTAAGTGGAGAATTCAGCCGCTTTGAGGTCAACGGTAGAAAAGGAAATATCTTCGTATAAAAACTAGACAGAATGATTCTCAGAAACTGTTTTGTGATGTGTGCGTTCAACTCACAGAGTTTAACCTTTCTTTTCAAAGAGCAGTTAGGAAACACTCTGTTTGTAAAGTCTGCAAGTGGATATTCAGACCTCTTTGAGGCCTTCGTTGGAAACGGGATTTCTTCATATTATGCTAGACAGATGAATTCTCAGTAACTTCCTTGTGTTGTGTGTATTCAACTCACCGAGTTAAACGATCCTTTACACAGAGCAGATTTGAAACACTGTTTTTCTGGAATTTGCAAGTGGAGATTTCAGCCGCTTTGAGGTCAATGGTAGAAAAGGAAATATCTTCGTATAAAAACTAGACAGAATGATTCTCAGAAACTCCTTTGTGATATGTGCGTTCAACCCACAGAGTTTAACCTTTCTTTTCACAGAGCAGTTAGGAAACACTCTGTGAAGCCTGCCAGTGGATATTCGGACCTCTTTGAGGCCTTCGTTGGAAACGGGATTTCTTCATATTATGCTAGACAGAAGATTTCTCAGTAACTTCTTTGTGTTGTGTGTATGCAACTCACAGAGTTCAACCTTCCTTTAGACAGAGCAGATTTGAAACACTCTTTTTGTGGAATTTGCAAGTGGAGATTTCAAGCGCTTCGATGCCAATGGTAGAAAAGGAAATATCTTCGTATAAAAACAAGACAAACTCGTTCCCAGACACTGCGTAGTGATGTGTGTGTTTAACTCACAGAGTTTAACCTTTCTTTTCATACAGCATTCTGGAAACCCTGTGTTTGTAAAGTCTGCAAGTGGATATTTGGACCTCTTAGATGCCTTCGTTGGAAACGGGATTTCTTCATATAATGCTAGAGGGAAGAATTCTTAGTAACTTCTTTGTGTTGTGTGTATTCAACTGACAGAGTTGAACCTTCCTTTAGACAGAGCAGATTTGAAAGTCTCTTTTTGTGGAATTTGCAAGTGGAGATTTCAAGCGCTTTGAGGCCAAAAGCAGAAAAGGAAATATTTTCCTATAAAACCTCGACAGAATCTTTCTCAGAAACTGCTCTGGGATGTGTGCGTTCAACTCACAGAGTTTAACTTTTCTTTTCATTCAGCAGTTTGGAAACACTCTGTTTGGAAAGTCTGCACGTGGATATTTTGACCTCTTTGAGGCCTTCGTTGGAAACGGGTTTTTTTCATGTAAGGCTAGACAGAAGAAATCTCAGTAACTTCCTTGTGTTGTGTGTATTCAACTGACAGAGTTGAACCTTCCTTTAGACAGAGCAGATTCGAAACACTCTTTTTCTGCAATTTGCAAGTGGAGACTTCAAGCGCTTTGAGGCCAAAGGCAGAAAAGGAAATATCTTCGTATAAAAACCCGACAGAATCATTCTCAGAAACTGCTCTGTAATGTGTGCGTTCAACTCACAGAGTTTAACTTTTCTTTTCATTCAGCAGTTTGGAAACACTCTGTTTGTAAAGTCTGCAAGTGGATATCTTGGCCTCTTAGAGGCCTTCGTTGGAAACGGGTTTTTTCATGTAAGGATAGACAGAGGAATTCCCAGTAACTTCCTTGTGTTGTGTGCATTCAACTCACAGTGTTGAACGATTCTTTACACAGAGCAGATTTGAGACACTCTTTTGGTGGAATTTGTAAGTGGAGAATTCAGCCGCTTTGAGGTCAACGGTAGAAAAGGAAATATCTTCGTATAAAAACTAGACAGAATGATTCTCAGAAACTGTTTTGTGATGTGTGCGTTCAACTCACAGAGTTTAACCTTTCTTTTCAGAGAGCAGTTAGGAAACACTCTGTAAAGTCTGCAAGTGGATATTCAGACCTCTTTGAGGCCTTCGTTGGAAACGGGATTTCTTCATATTATGCTAGACAGATGAATTCTCAGTAACTTCCTTGTGTTGTGTGTATTCAACTCACAGAGTTGAACGATCCTTTACACAGAGCAGATTTGAAACACTGTTTTTCTGGAATTTGCAAGTGGAGATTTCAGCCGCTTTGAGGTCAATGGTAGAAAAGGAAATATCTTCGTATAAAAACTAGACAGAATGATTCTCAGAAACTCCTTTGTGATGTGTGCGTTCAACTCACAGAGTTTAACCTTTCTTTTCACAGAGCAGTTAGGAAACACTCTGTTTGTGAAGCCTGCCAGTGGATATTCGGACCTCTTTCAGGCCTTCGTTGGAAACGGGATTTCTTCATATTATGCTAGACAGAAGATTTCTCAGTAACTTCTTTGTGTTGTGTGTATGCAACTCACAGAGTTCAACTTTCCTTTAGACAGAGCAGATTTGAAACACTCTTTTTGTGGAATTTGCAAGTGGAGATTTCAAGCGCTTCGATGCCAATGGTAGAAAAGGAAATATCTTCGTATAAAAACAAGACAAACTCGTTCCCAGACACTGCGTAGTGATGTGTGTGTTTAACTCACAGAGTTTCACCTTTCTTTTCATACAGCATTCTGGAAACCCTCTGTTTGTAAAGTCTGCAAGTCGATATTTGGACCTCTTAGATGCCTTCGTTGGAAACGGGATTTCTTCATATAATGCTAGAGGGAAGAATTCTTAGTAACTTCTTTGTGTTGTGTGTATTCAACTGACAGAGTTGAACCTTCCTTTAGACAGAGCAGATTTGAAAGTCTCTTTTTGTGGAATTTGCAAGTGGAGATTTCAAGCGCTTTGAGGCCAAAAGCAGAAAAGGAAATATTTTCCTATAAAAACTAGACAGAATCTTTCTCAGAAACTGCTCTGGGATGTGTGCGTTCAACTCACAGAGTTTAACTTTTCTTTTCATTCAGCAGTTTGGAAACACTCTGTTTGGAAAGTCTGCACGTGGATATTTTGACCTCTTTGAGGCCTTCGTTGGAAACGGGTTTTTTTCATGTAAGGCTAGACAGAAGAAATCTCAGTAACTTCCTTGTGTTGTGTGTATTCAACTGACAGAGTTGAACCTTCCTTTAGACAGAGCAGATTCGAAACACTCTTTTTCTGCAATTTGCAAGTGGAGACTTCAAGCGCTTTGAGGCCAAAGGCAGAAAAGGAAATATCTTCGTATAAAAACCCGACAGAATCATTCTCAGAAACTGCTCTGTGATGTGTGCGTTCAACTCACAGAGTTTAACTTTTCTTTTCATTCAGCAGTTTGGAAACACTCTGTTTGTAAAGTCTGCAAGTGGATATCTTGGCCTCTTAGAGGCCTTCGTTGGAAACGGGTTTTTTCATGTAAGGTTAGACAGAGGAATTCCCAGTAACTTCCTTGTGTTGTGTGCATTCAACTCACAGAGTTGAATGATTCTTTACACAGAGCAGATTTGAGACACTCTTTTGGTGGAATTTGTAAGTGGAGAATTCAGCCGCTTTGAGGTCAACGGTAGAAGAGGAAATATCTTCGTATAAAAACTAGACAGAATGATTCTCAGAAACTGTTTTGTGATGTGTGCGTTCAACTCACAGAGTTTAACCTTTCTTTTCAAAGAGCAGTTAGGAAACACTCTGTTTGTAAAGTCTGCAAGTGGATATTCAGACCTCTTTGAGGCCTTCGTTGGAAACGGGATTTCTTCATATTATGCTAGACAGATGAATTCTCAGTAACTTCCTTGTGTTGTGTGTATTCAACTCACAGAGTTGAACGATCCTTTACACAGAGCAGATTTGAAACACTGTTTTTCTGGAATTTGCAAGTGGAGATTTCAGCCGCTTTGAGGTCAATGGTAGAAAAGGAAATATCTTCGTATAAAAACTAGACAGAATGATTCTCAGAAACTCCTTTGTGATGTGTGCGTTCAACTCACAGAGTTTAACCTTTCTTTTCACAGAGCAGTTAGGAAACACTCTGTTTGTGAAGCCTGCCAGTGGATATTCGGACCTCTTTGAGGCCTTCGTTGGAAACGGGATTTCTTCATATTATGCTAGACAGAAGATTTCTCAGTAACTTCTTTGTGTTGTGTGTATGCAACTCACAGAGTTCAACCTTCCTTTAGACAGAGCAGATTTGAAACACTCTTTTTGTGGAATTTGCAAGTGGAGATTTCAAGCGCTTCGATGCCAATGGTAGAAAAGGAAATATCTTCGTATAAAAACAAGACAAACTCGTTCCCAGACACTGCGTAGTGATGTGTGTGTTTAACTCACAGAGTTTAACCTTTCTTTTCATACAGCATTCTGGAAACCCTCTGTTTGTAAAGTCTGCAAGTGGATATTTGGACCTCTTAGATGCCTTCGTTGGGAACGGGATTTCTTCATATAATGCTAGAGGGAAGAATTCTTAGTAACTTCTTTGTGTTGTGTGTATTCAACTGACAGAGTTGAACCTTCCTTTAGACAGAGCAGATTTGAAAGTCTCTTTTTGTGGAATTTGCAAGTGGAGATTTCAAGCGCTTTGAGGCCAAAAGCAGAAAAGGAAATATTTTCCTATAAAACCTCGACAGAATCTTTCTCAGAAACTGCTCTGGGATGTGTGCGTTCAACTCACAGAGTTTAACTTTTCTTTTCATTCAGCGTTTGGAAACACTCTGTTTGGAAAGTCTGCACGTGGATATTTTGACCTCTTTGAGGCCTTCGTTGGAAACGGGTTTTTTTCATGTAAGGCTAGACAGAAGAAATCTCAGTAACTTCCTTGTGTTGTGTGTATTCAACTGACAGAGTTGAACCTTCCTTTAGACAGAGCAGATTCGAAACACTCTTTTTCTGCAATTTGCAAGTGGAGACTTCAAGCGCTTTGAGGCCAAAGGCAGAAAAGGAAATATCTTCGTATAAAAACCCGACAGAATCATTCTCAGAAACTGCTCTGTGATGTGTGCGTTCAACTCACAGAGTTTAACTTTTCTTTTCATTCAGCAGTTTGGAAACACTCTGTTTGTAAAGTCTGCAAGTGGATATCTTGGCCTCTTAGAGGCCTTCGTTGGAAACGGGTTTTTTCATGTAAGGTTAGACAGAGGAATTCCCAGTAACTTCCTTGTGTTGTGTGCATTCAACTCACAGAGTTGAATGATTCTTTACACAGAGCAGATTTGAGACACTCTTTTGGTGGAATTTGTAAGTGGAGAATTCAGCCGCTTTGAGGTCAACGGTAGAAAAGGAAATATCTTCGTATAAAAACTAGACAGAATGATTCTCAGAAACTGTTTTGTGATGTGTGCTTTCAACTCACAGAGTTTAACCTTTCTTTTCAAAGAGCAGTTAGGAAACACTCTGTTTGTAAAGTCTGCAAGTGGATATTCAGACCTCTTTGAGGCCTTCGTTGGAAACGGGATTTCTTCATATTATGCTAGACAGATGAATTCTCAGTAACTTCCTTGTGTTGTGTGTATTCAACTCACAGAGTTGAACGATCCTTTACACAGAGCAGATTTGAAACACTGTTTTTCTGGAATTTGCAAGTGGAGATTTCAGCCGCTTTGAGGTCAATGGTAGAAAAGGAAATATCTTCGTATAAAAACTAGACAGAATGATTCTCAGAAACTCCTTTGTGATGTGTGCGTTCAACTCACAGAGTTTAACCTTTCTTTTCACAGAGCAGTTAGGAAACACTCTGTTTGTGAAGCCTGCCAGTGGATAATCGGACCTCTTTGAGGCCTTGGTTGGAAACGGGATTTCTTCATATTATGCTAGACAGAAGATTTCTCAGTAACTTCTTTGTGTTGTGTGTATGCAACTCACAGAGTTCAACCTTCCTTTAGACAGAGCAGATTTGAAACACTCTTTTTGTGGAATTTGCAAGTGGAGATTTCAAGCGCTTCGATGCCAATGGTAGAAAAGGAAATATCTTCGTATAAAAACAAGACAAACTCGTTCCCAGACACTGCGTAGTGATGTGTGTGTTTAACTCACAGAGTTTAACCTTTCTTTTCATACAGCATTCTGGAAACCCTGTGTTTGTAAAGTCTGCAAGTGGATATTTGGACCTCTTAGATGCCTTCGTTGGAAACGGGATTTCTTCATATAATGCTAGAGGGAAGAATTCTTAGTAACTTCTTTGTGTTGTGTGTATTCAACTGACAGAGTTGAACCTTCCTTTAGACAGAGCAGATTTGAAAGTCTCTTTTTGTGGAATTTGCAAGTGGAGATTTCAAGCGCTTTGAGGCCAAAAGCAGAAAAGGAAATATTTTCCTATAAAAACTCGACAGAATCTTTCTCAGAAACTGCTCTGGGATGTGTGCGTTCAACTCACAGAGTTTAACTTTTCTTTTCATTCAGCAGTTTGGAAACACTCTGTTTGGAAAGTCTGCACGTGGATATTTTGACCTCTTTGAGGCCTTCGTTGGAAACGGGTTTTTTTCATGTAAGGCTAGACAGAAGAAATCTCAGTAACTTCCTTGTGTTGTGTGTATTCAACTGACAGAGTTGAACCTTCCTTTAGACAGAGCAGATTCGAAACACTCTTTTTCTGCAATTTGCAAGTGGAGACTTCAAGCGCTTTGAGGCCAAAGGCAGAAAAGGAAATATCTTCGTATAAAAACCCGACAGAATCATTCTCAGAAACTGCTCTGTGATGTGTGCGTTCAACTCACAGAGTTTAACTTTTCTTTTCATTCAGCAGTTTGGAAACACTCTGTTTGTAAAGTCTGCAAGTGGATATCTTGGCCTCTTAGAGGCCTTCGTTGGAAACGGGTTTTTTCATGTAAGGTTAGACAGAGGAATTCCCAGTAACTTCCTTGTGTTGTGTGCATTCAACTCACAGAGTTGAATGATTCTTTACACAGAGCAGTTTTGAGACACTCTTTTGGTGGAATTTGTAAGTGGAGAATTCAGCCGCTTTGAGGTCAACGGTAGAAAAGGAAATATCTTCGTATAAAAACTAGACAGAATGATTCTCAGAAACTGTTTTGTGATGTGTGCGTTCAACTCACAGAGTTTAACCTTTCTTTTCAAAGAGCAGTTAGGAAACACTCTGTTTGTAAAGTCTGCAAGTGGATATTCAGACCTCTTTGAGGCCTTCGTTGGAAACGGGATTTCTTCATATTATGCTAGACAGATGAATTCTCAGTAACTTCCTTGTGTTGTGTGTATTCAACTCACAGAGTTGAACGATCCTTTACACAGAGCAGATTTGAAACACTGTTTTTCTGGAATTTGCAAGTGGAGATTTCAGCCGCTTTGAGGTCAATGGTAGAAAAGGAAATATCTTCGTATAAAAACTAGACAGAATGATTCTCAGAAACTCCTTTGTGATGTGTGCGTTCAACTCACAGAGTTTAACCTTTCTTTTCACAGAGCAGTTAGGAAACACTCTGTTTGTGAAGCCTGCCAGTGGATATTCGGACCTCTTTGAGGCCTTCGTTGGAAACGGGATTTCTTCATATTATGCTAGACAGAAGATTTCTCAGTAACTTCTTTGTGTTGTGTGTATGCAACTCACAGAGTTCAACCTTCCTTTAGACAGAGCAGATTTGAAACACTCTTTTTGTGGAATTTGCAAGTGGAGATTTCAAGCGCTTCGATGCCAATGGTAGAAAAGGAAATATCTTCGTATAAAAACAAGACAAACTCGTTCCCAGACACTGCGTAGTGATGTGTGTGTTTAACTCACAGAGTTTCACCTTTCTTTTCATACAGCATTCTGGAAACCCTGTGTTTGTAAAGTCTGCAAGTGGATATTTGGACCTCTTAGATGCCTTCGTTGGAAACGGGATTTCTTCATATAATGCTAGAGGGAAGAATTCTTAGTAACTTCTTTGTGTTGTGTGTATTCAACTGACAGAGTTGAACCTTCCTTTAGACAGAGCAGATTTGAAAGTCTCTTTTTGTGGAATTTGCAAGTGGAGATTTCAAGCGCTTTGAGGCCAAAAGCAGAAAAGGAAATATTTTCCTATAAAAACTCGACAGAATCTTTCTCAGAAACTGCTCTGGGATGTGTGCGTTCAACTCACAGAGTTTAACTTTTCTTTTCATTCAGCAGTTTGGAAACACTCTGTTTGGAAAGTCTGCACGTGGATATTTTGACCTCTTTGAGGCCTTCGTTGGAAACGGGTTTTTTTCATGTAAGGCTAGACAGAAGAAATCTCAGTAACTTCCTTGTGTTGTGTGTATTCAACTGACAGAGTTGAACCTTCCTTTAGACAGAGCAGATTCGAAACACTCTTTTTCTGCAATTTGCAAGTGGAGACTTCAAGCGCTTTGAGGCCAAAGGCAGAAAAGGAAATATCTTCGTATAAAAACCCGACAGAATCATTCTCAGAAACTGCTCTGTGATGTGTGCGTTCAACTCACAGAGTTTAACTTTTCTTTTCATTCAGCAGTTTGGAAACACTCTGTTTGTAAAGTCTGCAAGTGGATATCTTGGCCTCTTAGAGGCCTTCGTTGGAAACGGGTTTTTTCATGTAAGGATAGACAGAGGAATTCCCAGTAACTTCCTTGTGTTGTGTGCATTCAACTCACAGAGTTGAATGATTCTTTACACAGAGCAGATTTGAGACACTCTTTTGGTGGAATTTGTAAGTGGAGAATTCAGCCGCTTTGAGGTCAACGGTAGAAAAGGAAATATCTTCGTATAAAAACTAGACAGAATGATTCTCAGAAACTGTTTTGTGATGTGTGCGTTCAACTCACAGAGTTTAACCTTTCTTTTCAAAGAGCAGTTAGGAAACACTCTGTTTGTAAAGTCTGCAAGAGGATATTCAGACCTCTTTGAGGCCTTCGTTGGAAACGGGATTTCTTCATATTATGCTAGACAGATGAATTCTCAGTAACTTCCTTGTGTTGTGTGTATTCAACTCACAGAGTTGAACGATCCTTTACACAGAGCAGATTTGAAACACTGTTTTTCTGGAATTTGCAAGTGGAGATGTCAGCCGCTTTGAGGTCAATGGTAGAAAAGGAAATATCTTCGTATAAAAACTAGACAGAATGATTCTCAGAAACTCCTTTGTGATGTGTGCGTTCAACTCACAGAGTTTAACCTTTCTTTTCACAGAGCAGTTAGGAAACACTCTGTTTGTGAAGCCTGCCAGTGGATATTCGGACCTCTTTGAGGCCTTCGTTGGAAACGGGATTTCTTCATATTATGCTAGACAGAAGATTTCTCAGTAACTTCTTTGTGTTGTGTGTATGCAACTCACAGAGTTCAACCTTCCTTTAGACAGAGCAGATTTGAAACACTCTTTTTGTGGAATTTGCAAGTGGAGATTTCAAGCGCTTCGATGCCAATGGTAGAAAAGGAAATATCTTCGTATAAAAACAAGACAAACTCGTTCCCAGACACTGCGTAGTGATGTGTGTGTTTAACTCACAGAGTTTCACCTTTCTTTTCATACAGCATTCTGGAAACCGTGTGTTTGTAAAGTCTGCAAGTGGATATTTGGACCTCTTAGATGCCTTCGTTGGAAACGGGATTTCTTCATATAATGCTAGAGGGAAGAATTCTTAGTAACTTCTTTGTGTTGTGTGTATTCAACTGACAGAGTTGAACCTTCCTTTAGACAGAGCAGATTTGAAAGTCTCTTTTTGTGGAATTTGCAAGTGGAGATTTCAAGCGCTTTGAGGCCGAAAGCAGAAAAGGAAATATTTTCCTATAAAAACTCGACAGAATCTTTCTCAGAAACTGCTCTGGGATGTGTGCGTTCAACTCACAGAGTTTAACTTTTCTTTTCATTCAGCAGTTTGGAAACACTCTGTTTGGAAAGTCTGCACGTGGATATTTTGACCTCTTTGAGGCCTTCGTTGGAAACGGGTTTTTTTCATGTAAGGCTAGACAGAAGAAATCTCAGTAACTTCCTTGTGTTGTGTGTATTCAACTGACAGAGTTGAACCTTCCTTTAGACAGAGCAGATTCGAAACACTCTTTTTCTGCAATTTGCAAGTGGAGACTTCAAGCGCTTTGAGGCCAAAGGCAGAAAAGGAAATATCTTCGTATAAAAACCCGACAGAATCATTCTCAGAAACTGCTCTGTGATGTGTGCGTTCAACTCACAGAGTTTAACTTTTCTTTTCATTTAGCAGTTTGGAAACACTCTGTTTGTAAAGTCTGCAAGTGGATATCTTGGCCTCTTAGAGGCCTTCGTTGGAAACGGGTTTTTTCATGTAAGGTTAGACAGAGGAATTCCCAGTAACTTCCTTGTGTTGTGTGCATTCAACTCACAGAGTTGAATGATTCTTTACACAGAGCAGATTTGAGACACTCTTTTGGTGGAATTTGTAAGTGGAGAATTCAGCCGCTTTGAGGTCAACGGTAGAAAAGGAAATATCTTCGTATAAAAACTAGAAAGAATGATTCTCAGAAACTGTTTTGTGATGTGTGCGTTCAACTCACAGAGTTTAACCTTTCTTTTCAAAGAGCAGTTAGGAAACACTCTGTTTTTAAAGTCTGCAAGTGGATATTCAGACCTCTTTGAAGCCTTCGTTGGAAACGGGATTTCTTCATATTATGCTAGACAGATGAATTCTCAGTAACTTCCTTGTGTTGTGTGTATTCAACTCACAGAGTTGAACGATCCTTTACACAGAGCAGATTTGAAACACTGTTTTTCTGGAATTTGCAAGTGGAGATTTCAGCCGCTTTGAGGTCAATGGTAGAAAAGGAAATATCTTCCTATAAAAACTGGACAGAATGATTCTCAGAAACTCCTTTGTGATGTGTGCGTTCAACTCACAGAGTTTAACCTTTCTTTTCACAGAGCAGTTAGGAAACACTCTGTTTGTGAAGCCTGCCAGTGGATATTCGGACCTCTTTGAGGCCTTCGTTGGAAACGGGATTTCTTCATATTTTGCTAGACAGAAGATTTCTCAGTAACTTCTTTGTGTTGTGTGTATGCAACTCACAGAGTTCAACCTTCCTTTAGACAGAGCAGATTTGAAACACTCTTTTTGTGGAATTTGCAAGTGGAGATTTCAAGCGCTTCGATGCCAATGGTAGAAAAGGAAATATCTTCGTATAAAAACAAGACAAACTCGTTCCCAGACACTGCGTAGTGATGTGTGTGTTTAACTCACAGAGTTTAACCTTTCTTTTCATACAGCATTCTGGAAACCCTCTGTTTGTAAAGTCTGCAAGTGGATATTTGGACCTCTTAGATGCCTTCGTTGGAAACGGGATTTCTTCATATAATGCTAGAGGGAAGAATTCTTAGTAACTTCTTTGTGTTGTGTGTATTCAACTGACAGAGTTGAACCTTCCTTTAGACAGAGCAGATTTGAAAGTCTCTTTTTGTGGAATTTGCAAGTGGAGATTTCAAGCGCTTTGAGGCCAAAAGCAGAAAAGGAAATATTTTCCTATAAAAACTCGACAGAATCTTTCTCAGAAACTGCTCTGGGATGTGTGCGTTCAACTCACAGAGTTTAACTTTTCTTTTCATTCAGCAGTTTGGAAACACTCTGTTTGGAAAGTCTGCACGTGGATATTTTGACCTCTTTGAGGCCTTCGTTGGAAACGGGTTTTTTTCATGTAAGGCTAGACAGAAGAAATCTCAGTAACTTCCTTGTGTTGTGTGTATTCAACTGACAGAGTTGAACCTTCCTTTAGACAGAGCAGATTCGAAACACTCTTTTTCTGCAATTTGCAAGTGGAGACTTCAAGCGCTTTGAGGCCAAAGGCAGAAAAGGAAATATCTTCGTATAAAAACCCGACAGAATCTTTCTCAGAAACTGCTCTGTGATGTGTGCGTTCAACTCACAGAGTTTAACTTTTCTTTTCATTCAGCAGTTTGGAAACACTCTGTTTGTAAAGTCTGCAAGTGGATATCTTGGCCTCTTAGAGGCCTTCGTCGGAAACGGGTTTTTTCATGTAAGGATAGACAGAGGAATTCCCAGTAACTTTCCTTGTGTTGTGTGCATTCAACTCACAGAGTTGAATGATTCTTTTCACAGAGCAGATTTGAGACACTCTTTTGGTGGAATTTGTAAGTGGAGAATTCAGCCGCTTTGAGGTCAACGGTAGAAAAGGAAATATCTTCGTATAAAAACTAGACAGAATGATTCTCAGAAACTGTTTTGTGATGTGTGCGTTCAACTCACAGAGTTTAACCTTTCTTTTCAAAGAGCAGTTAGGAAACACTCTGTTTGTAAAGTCTGCAAGCGGATATTCAGACCTCTTTGAGACCTTCGTTGGAAACGGGATTTCTTCATATTATGCTAGACAGATGAATTCTCAGTAACTTCCTTGTGTTGTGTGTATTCAACTCACAGAGTTGAACGATCCTTTACACAGAGCAGATTTGAAACACTGTTTTTCTGGAATTTGCAAGTGGAGATGTCAGCCGCTTTGAGGTCAATGGTAGAAAAGGAAATATCTTCGTATAAAAACTAGACAGAATGATTCTCAGAAACTCCTTTGTGATGTGTGCGTTCAACTCACAGAGTTTAACCTTTCTTTTCACAGAGTAGTTAGGAAACACTCTGTTTGTGAAGCCTGCCAGTGGATATTCGGACCTCTTTGAGGCCTTCGTTGGAAACGGGATTTCTTCATATTATGCTAGACAGAAGATTTCTCAGTAACTTCTTTGTGTTGTGTGTATGCAACTCACAGAGTTCAACCTTCCTTTAGACAGAGCAGATTTGAAACACTCTTTTTGTGGAATTTGCAAGTGGAGATTTCAAGCGCTTCGATGCCAATGGTAGAAAAGGAAATATCTTCGTATAAAAACAAGACAAACTCGTTCCCAGACACTGCGTAGTGATGTGTGTGTTTAACTCACAGAGTTTAACCTTTCTTTTCATACAGCATTCTGGAAACCCTCTGTTTGTAAAGTCTGCAAGTGGATATTTGGACCTCTTAGATGCCTTCGTTGGAAACGGGATTTCTTCATATAATGCTAGAGGGAAGAATTCTTAGTAACTTCTTTGTGTTGTGTGTATTCAACTGACAGAGTTGAACCTTCCTTTAGACAGAGCAGATTTGAAAGTCTCTTTTTGTGGAATTTGCAAGTGGAGATTTCAAGCGCTTTGAGGCCAAAAGCAGAAAAGGAAATATTTTCCTATAAAAACTAGACAGAATCTTTCTCAGAAACTGCTCTGGGATGTGTGTGTTCAACTCACAGAGTTTAACTTTTCTTTTCATTCAGCAGTTTGGAAACACTCTGTTTGGAAAGTCTGCACGTGGATATTTTGACCTCTTTGAGGCCTTCGTTGGAAACGAGTTTTTTTCATATAAGGCTAGACAGAAGAAATCTCAGTAACTTCCTTGTGTTGTGTGTATTCAACTGACAGAGTTGAACCTTCTTTTAGACAGAGCAGATTCGAAACACTCTTTTTCTGCAATTTGCAAGTGGAGACTTCAAGCGCTTTGAGGCCAAAGGCAGAAAAGGAAATATCTTCGTATAAAAACCCGACAGAATCATTCTCAGAAACTGCTCTGTGATGTGTGCGTTCAACTCACAGAGTTTAACTTTTCTTTTCATTCAGCAGTTTGGAAACACTCTGTTTGTAAAGTCTGCAAGTGGATATCTTGGCCTCTTAGAGGCCTTCGTTGGAAACGGGTTTTTTCATGTAAGGTTAGACAGAGGAATTCCCAGTAACTTCCTTGTGTTGTGTGCATTCAACTCACAGAGTTGAATGATTCTTTACACAGAGCAGATTTGAGACACTCTTTTGGTGGAATTTGTTAGTGGAGAATTCAGCCGCTTTGAGGTCAACGGTAGAAAAGGAAATATCTTCGTATAAAAACTAGACAGAATGATTCTCAGAAACTGTTTTGTGATGTGTGCGTTCAACTCACAGAGTTTAACCTTTCTTTTCAAAGAGCAGTTAGGAAACACTCTGTTTGTAAAGTCTGCAAGTGGATATTCAGACCTCTTTGAGGCCTTCGTTGGAAACGGGATTTCTTCATATTATGCTAGACAGATGAATTCTCAGTAACTTCCTTGTGTTGTGTGTATTCAACTCACAGTAGTTGAACGATCCTTTACACAGAGCAGATTTGAAACACTGTTTTTCTGGAATTTGCAAGTGGAGATTTCAGCCGCTTTGAGGTCAATGGTAGAAAAAGAAATATCTTCGTATAAAAACTAGACAGAATGATTCTCAGAAACTCCTTTGTGATGTGTGCGTTCAACTCACAGAGTTTAACCTTTCTTTTCACAGAGCAGTTAGGAAACACTCTGTTTGTGAAGCCTGCCAGTGGATATTCGGACCTCTTTGAGGCCTTCGTTGGAAACGGGATTTCTTCATATTATGCTAGACAGAAGATTTCTCAGTAACTTCTTTGTGTTGTGTGTATGCAACTCACAGAGTTCAACCTTCCTTTAGACAGAGCAGATTTGAAACACTCTTTTTGTGGAATTTGCAAGTGGAGATTTCAAGCGCTTCGATGCCAATGGTAGAAAAGGAAATATCTTCGTATAAAAACAAGACAAACTCGTTCCCAGACACTGCGTAGTGATGTGTGTGTTTAACTCACAGAGTTTCACCTTTCTTTTCATACAGCATTCTGGAAACCCTCTGTTTGTAAAGTCTGCAAGTGGATATTTGGACCTCTTAGATGCCTTCGTTGGAAACGGGATTTCTTCATATAATGCTAGAGGGAAGAATTCTTAGTAACTTCTTTGTGTTGTGTGTATTCAACTGACAGAGTTGAACCTTCCTTTAGACAGAGCAGATTTGAAAGTCTCTTTTTGTGGAATTTGCAAGTGGAGATTTCAAGCGCTTTGAGGCCAAAAGCAGAAAAGGAAATATTTTCCTATAAAAACTAGACAGAATCATTCTCAGAAACTGCTCTGTGATGTGTGTGTTCAACTCACAGAGTTTAACTTTTCTTTTCATTCAGCAGTTTGGAAACACTCTGTTTGGAAAGTCTGCACGTGGATATTTTGACCTCTTTGAGGCCTTCGTTGGAAACGGGTTTTTTTCATGTAAGGCTAGACAGAAGAAATCTCAGTAACTTCCTTGTGTTGTGTGTATTCAACTGACAGAGTTGAACCTTCCTTTAGACAGAGCAGATTCGAAACACTCTTTTTCTGCAATTTGCAAGTGGAGACTTCAAGCGCTTTGAGGCCAAAGGCAGAAAAGGAAATATCTTCGTAGAAAAACCCGACAGAATCATTCTCAGAAACTGCTCTGTGATGTGTGCGTTCAACTCACAGAGTTTAACTTTTCTTTTCATTCAGCAGTTTGGAAACACTCTGTTTGTAAAGTCTGCAAGTGGATATCTTGGCCTCTTAGAGGCCTTCGTTGGAAACGGGTTTTTTCATTTAAGGTTAGACAGAGGAATTCCCAGTAACTTCCTTGTGTTGTGTGCATTCAACTCACAGAGTTGAATGATTCTTTACACAGAGCAGATTTGAGACACTCTTTGGGTGGAATTTGTAAGTGGAGAATTCAGCCGCTTTGAGGTCAACGGTAGAAAAGGAAATATCTTCGTATAAAAACTAGACAGAATGATTCTCAGAAACTGTTTTGTGATGTGTGCGTTCAACTCACAGAGTTTAACCTTTCTTTTCAGAGAGCAGTTAGGAAACACTCTGTTTGTAAAGTCTGCAAGTGGATATTCAGACCTCTTTGAGGCCTTCGTTGGAAACGGGATTTCTTCATATTATGCTAGACAGATGAATTCTCAGTAACTTCCTTGTGTTGTGTGTATTCAACTCACAGAGTTGAACGATCCTTTACACAGAGCAGATTTGAAACACTGTTTTTCTGGAATTTGCAAGTGGAGATTTCAGCCGCTTTGAGGTCAATGGTAGAAAAGGAAATATCTTCGTATAAAAACTAGACAGAATGATTCTCAGAAACTCCTTTGTGATGTGTGCGTTCAACTCACAGAGTTTAACCTTTCTTTTCACAGAGCAGTTAGGAAACACTCTGTTTGTGAAGCCTGCCAGTGGATAATCGGACCTCTTTGAGGCCTTCGTTGGAAACGGGATTTCTTCATATTATGCTATTCAGAAGATTTCTCAGTAACTTCTTTGTGTTGTGTGTATGCAACTCACAGAGTTCAACCTTCCTTTAGACAGAGCAGATTTGAAACACTCTTTTTGTGGAATTTGCAAGTGGAGATTTCAAGCGCTTCGATGCCAATGGTAGAAAAGGAAATATCTTCATATAAAAACAAGACAAACTCGTTCCCAGACACTGCGTAGTGATGTGTGTGTTTAACTCACAGAGTTTAACCTTTCTTTTCATACAGCATTCTGGAAACCCTGTGTTTGTAAAGTCTGCAAGTGGATATTTGGACTTCTTAGATGCCTTCGTTGGAAACGGGATTTCTTCATATAATGCTAGAGGGAAGAATTCTTAGTAACTTCTTTGTGTTGTGTGTATTCAACTGACAGAGTTGAACCTTCCTTTAGACAGAGCAGATTTGAAAGTCTCTTTTTGTGGAATTTGCAAGTGGAGATTTCAAGCGCTTTGAGGTCAAAAGCAGAAAAGGAAATATTTTCCTATAAAAACTCGACAGAATCATTCTCAGAAACTGCTCTGTGATGTGTGCGTTCAACTCACAGAGTTTAACTTTTCTTTTCATTCAGCAGTTTGGAAACACTGTTTGGAAAGTCTGCACGTGGATATTTTGACCTCTTTGAGGCCTTCGTTGGAAACGGGTTTTTTTCATGTAAGGCTAGACAGAAGAAATCTCAGTAACTTCCTTGTGTTGTGTGTATTCAACTGACAGAGTTGAACCTTCCTTTAGACAGAGCAGATTCGAAACACTCTTTTTCTGCAATTTGCAAGTGGAGACTTCAAGCGCTTTGAGGCCAAAGGCAGAAAAGGAAATATCTTCGTATAAAAACCCGACAGACTCATTCTCAGAAACTGCTCTGTGATGTGTGCGTTCAACTCACAGAGTTTAACTTTTCTTTTCATTCAGCAGTTTGGAAACACTCTGTTTGTAAAGTCTGCAAGTGGATATCTTGGCCTCTTAGAGGCCTTCGTTGGAAACGGGTTTTTTCATGTAAGGATAGACAGAGGAATTCCCAGTAACTTCCTTGTGTTGTGTGCATTCAACTCACAGAGTTGAATGATTCTTTACACAGAGCAGATTTGAGACACTCTTTGGGTGGAATTTGTAAGTGGAGAATTCAGCCGCTTTGAGGTCAACGGTAGAAAAGGAAATATCTTCGTATAAAATCTAGACAGAATGATTCTCAGAAACTGTTTTGTGATGTGTGCGTTCAACTCACAGAGTTTAACCTTTCTTTTCAGAGAGCAGTTAGGAAACACTCTGTTTGTAAAGTCTGCAAGTGGATATTCAGACCTCTTTGAGGCCTTCGTTGGAAACGGGATTTCTTCATATTATGCTAGACAGATGAATTCTCAGTAACTTCCTTGTGTTGTGTGTATTCAACTCACAGAGTTGAACGATCCTTTACACAGAGCAGATTTGAAACACTGTTTTTCTGGAATTTGCAAGTGGAGATTTCAGCCGCTTTGAGGTCAATGGTAGAAAAGGAAATATCTTCGTATAAAAACTAGACAGAATGATTCTCAGAAACTCCTTTGTGATGTGTGCGTTCAACTCACAGAGTTTAACCTTTCTTTTCACAGAGCAGTTAGGAAACACTCTGTTTGTGAAGCCTGCCAGTGGATATTCGGACCTCTTTGAGGCCTTCGTTGGAAACGGGATTTCTTCATATTATGCTAGACAGAAGATTTCTCAGTAACTTCTTTGTGTTGTGTGTATGCAACTCACAGAGTTCAACCTTCCTTTAGACAGAGCAGATTTGAAACACTCTTTTTGTGGAATTTGCAAGTGGAGATTTCAAGCGCTTCGATGCCAATGGTAGAAAAGGAAATATCTTCGTATAAAAACAAGACAAACTCGTTCCCAGACACTGCGTAGTGATGTGTGTGTTTAACTCACAGAGTTTCACCTTTCTTTACATACAGCATTCTGGAAACCCTCTGTTTGTAAAGTCTGCAAGTGGATATTTGGACCTCTTAGATGCCTTCGTTGGAAACGGGATTTCTTCATATAATGCTAGAGGGAAGAATTCTTAGTAACTTCTTTGTGTTGTGTGTATTCAACTGACAGAGTTGAACCTTCCTTTAGACAGAGCAGATTTGAAAGTCTCTTTTTGTGGAATTTGCAAGTGGAGATTTCAAGCGCTTTGAGGCCAAAAGCAGAAAAGGAAATATTTTCCTATAAAAACTCGACAGAATCATTCTCAGAAACTGCTCTGGGATGTGTGCGTTCAACTCACAGAGTTTAACTTTTCTTTTCATTCAGCAGTTTGGAAACACTGTTTGGAAAGTCTGCACGTGGATATTTTGACCTCTTTGAGGCCTTCGTTGGAAACGGGTTTTTTTTATGTAAGGCTAGACAGAAGAAATCTCAGTAACTTCCTTGTGTTGTGTGTATTCAACTGACAGAGTTGAACCTTCCTTTAGACAGAGCAGATTCGAAACACTCTTTTTCTGCAATTTGCAAGTGGAGACTTCAAGCGCTTTGAGGCCAAAGGCAGAAAAGGAAATATCTTCGTATAAAAACCCGACAGAATCATTCTCAGAAACTGCTCTGTGATGTGTGCGTTCAACTCACAGAGTTTAACTTTTCTTTTCATTCAGCAGTTTGGAAACACTCTGTTTGTAAAGTCTGCATGTGGATATCTTGGCCTCTTAGAGGCCTTCGTTGGAAACGGGTTTTTTCATGTAAGGATAGACAGAGGAATTCCCAGTAACTTCCTTGTGTTGTGTGCATTCAACTCACAGAGTTGAACGATTCTTTACACAGAGCAGATTTGAGACACTCTTTTGGTGGAATTTGTAAGTGGAGAATTCAGCCGCTTTGAGGTCAACGGTAGAAAAGGAAATATCTTCGTATAAAAACTAGACAGAATGATTCTCAGAAACTGTTTTGTGATGTGTGCGTTCAACTCACAGAGTTTAACCTTTCTTTTCAGAGAGCAGTTAGGAAACACTCTGTAAAGTCTGCAAGTGGATATTCAGACCTCTTTGAGGCCTTCCTTGGAAACGGGATTTCTTCATATTATGCTAGACAGATGAATTCTAAGTAACTTCCTTGTGTTGTGTGTATTCAACTCACAGAGTTGAACGATCCTTTACACAGAGCAGATTTGAAACACTGTTTTTCTGGAATTTGCAAGTGGAGATTTCAGCCGCTTTGAGGTCAATGGTAGAAAAGGAAATATCTTCGTATAAAAACTAGACAGAATGATTCTCAGAAACTCCTTTGTGATGTGTGCGTTCAACTCACAGAGTTTAACCTTTCTTTTCACAGAGCAGTTAGGAAACACTCTGTTTGTGAAGCCTGCCAGTGGATATTCGGACCTCTTTCAGGCCTTCGTTGGAAACGGGATTTCTTCATATTATGCTAGACAGAAGATTTCTCAGTAACTTCTTTGTGTTGTGTGTATGCAACTCACAGAGTTCAACCTTCCTTTAGACAGAGCAGATTTGAAACACTCTTTTTGTGGAATTTGCAAGTGGAGATTTCAAGCGCTTCGATGCCAATGGTAGAAAAGGAAATATCTTCGTATAAAAACAAGACAAACTCGTTCCCAGACACTGCGTAGTGATGTGTGTGTTTAACTCACAGAGTTTAACCTTTCTTTTCATACAGCATTCTGGAAACCCTCTGTTTGTAAAGTCTGCAAGTCGATATTTGGACCTCTTAGATGCCTTCGTTGGAAACGGGATTTCTTCATATAATGCTAGAGGGAAGAATTCTTAGTAACTTCTTTGTGTTGTGTGTATTCAACTGACAGAGTTGAACCTTCCTTTAGACAGAGCAGATTTGAAAGTCTCTTTTTGTGGAATTTGCAAGTGGAGATTTCAAGCGCTTTGAGGCCAAAAGCAGAAAAGGAAATATTTTCCTATAAAACCTCGACAGAATCTTTCTCAGAAACTGCTCTGGGATGTGTGCGTTCAACTCACAGAGTTTAACTTTTCTTTTCATTCAGCGTTTGGAAACACTCTGTTTGGAAAGTCTGCACGTGGATATTTTGACCTCTTTGAGGCCTTCGTTGGAAACGGGTTTTTTTCATGTAAGGCTAGACAGAAGAAATCTCAGTAACTTCCTTGTGTTGTGTGTATTCAACTGACAGAGTTGAACCTTCCTTTAGACAGAGCAGATTCGAAACACTCTTTTTCTGCAATTTGCAAGTGGAGACTTCAAGCGCTTTGAGGCCAAAGGCAGAAAAGGAAATATCTTCGTATAAAAACCCGACAGAATCATTCTCAGAAACTGCTCTGTGATGTGTGCGTTCAACTCACAGAGTTTAACTTTTCTTTTCATTCAGCAGTTTGGAAACACTCTGTTTGTAAAGTCTGCAAGTGGATATCTTGGCCTCTTAGAGGCCTTCGTTGGAAACGGGTTTTTTCATGTAAGGATAGACAGAGGAATTCCCAGTAACTTCCTTGTGTTGTGTGCATTCAACTCACAGAGTTGAATGATTCTTTACACAGAGCAGATTTGAGACACTCTTTTGGTGGAATTTGTAAGTGGAGAATTCAGCCGCTTTGAGGTCAACGGTAGAAAAGGAAATATCTTCGTATAAAAACTAGACAGAATGATTCTCAGAAACTGTTTTGTGATGTGTGCGTTCAACTCACAGAGTTTAACCTTTCTTTTCAAAGAGCAGTTAGGAAACACTCTGTTTGTAAAGTCTGCAAGTGGATATTCAGACCTCTTTGAGGCCTTCGTTGGAAACGGGATTTCTTCATATTATGCTAGACAGATGAATTCTCAGTAACTTCCTTGTGTTGTGTGTATTCAACTCACAGAGTTGAACGATCCTTTACACAGAGCAGATTTGAAACACTGTTTTTCTGGAATTTGCAAGTGGAGATGTCAGCCGCTTTGAGGTCAATGGTAGAAAAGGAAATATCTTCGTATAAAAACTAGACAGAATGATTCTCAGAAACTCCTTTGTGATGTGTGCGTTCAACTCACAGAGTTTAACCTTTCTTTTCACAGAGCAGTTAGGAAACACTCTGTTTGTGAAGCCTGCCAGTGGATATTCGGACCTCTTTGAGGCCTTCGTTGGAAACGGGATTTCTTCATATTATGCTAGACAGAAGATTTCTCAGTAACTTCTTTGTGTTGTGTGTATGCAACTCACAGAGTTCAACCTTCCTTTAGACAGAGCAGATTTGAAACACTCTTTTTGTGGAATTTGCTAGTGGAGATTTCAAGCGCTTTGAGGCCAAAAGCAGAAAAGGAAATATTTTCCTATAAAAACTAGACAGACTCGTTCCCAGACACTGCGTAGTGATGTGTGTGTTTAACTCACAGAGTTTCACCTTTCTTTTCATACAGCATTCTGGAAACCCTGTGTTTGTAAAGTCTGCAAGTGGATATTTGGACCTCTTAGATGCCTTCGTTGGAAACGGGATTTCTTCATATAATGCTAGAGGGAAGAATTCTTAGTAACTTCTTTGTGTTGTGTGTATTCAACTGACAGAGTTGAACCTTCCTTTAGACAGAGCAGATTTGAAAGTCTCTTTTTGTGGAATTTGCAAGTGGAGATTTCAAGCGCTTTGAGGCCAAAAGCAGAAAAGGAAATATTTTCCTATAAAAACTAGACAGAATCATTCTCAGAAACTGCTCTGTGATGTGTGCGTTCAACTCACAGAGTTTAACTTTTCTTTTCATTCAGCAGTTTGGAAACACTGTTTGGAAAGTCTGCACGTGGATATTTTGACCTCTTTGAGGCCTTCGTTGGAAACGGGTTTTTTTCATGTAAGGCTAGACAGAAGAAATCTCAGTAACTTCCTTGTGTTGTGTGTATTCAACTGACAGAGTTGAACCTTC